>NC_000003.12:56979696-57282727 GCF_000001405.40 Homo sapiens
CCCTGTCTTAAATCAGCCAGCCAACGAGGATGTGAATTCCTTTTCTTAGCCCTTTGTGGGTGACTCAGTTTCCTCATCTAGAAAATGGGGAAAATAATTGTACCAACTTACAAGGGTTTGGTTGTTATGAGAGTTAAAGGACTCAATCCTTAGAAGGTGCTTAGAACATTTCCTGACCTATAGGAAGCATCCTGTGCAGCTCTTATTTCTGCAGTGAGACTACTGACGGTGGTGGTTAGAAGCAAGGGCTCTGGAACCAGCTGCGTGGGTTCTGATCACACATCGACCACTCACTTGCCCTGTGACTCCAGGCAGGTTACCTAACTCTTTGTGCCTCAGATTCCTCATTTGTGAATTGAGAATGATGATGATAACTCACGCGCACCTCAACTTACAATGGTAAGTCGAAAATGCACTTAATACCCTTAACCTACCAAACATCACAGCTCAGCTTACCCTACAAATCCAATAAGTAAGGCAGTAGCAAGAAGACTTGCTTATGCCACATTGTGAAAATATAGAATTATCTGGATTTGGCACCTTAATGCATGCTTTTAAAGCCTAGCCCACTTAAACATGCCCAGAACACTCACATTAGCCTACAACTGGGCAAAATTATTAAACACAAAGCCTGTTTTGTAATACAGTGGTGAATATTTCATGTAATTTACTGAAAACTGTACTGAAAGTGAAAAAAAGAAGAATGGCTGTATGGGGACTCAAAGTACAGTTTCTCCTGGATACGTGTCACTCTCACACCATCAGAAAGGCTAAAAACTGTAAGGCGACTCATTGTGGGTCGGGACCATATATAGTACCTACGTAGGTTAGTGGGAATAATCACGTTATCTACCTTAGCTCTTAGAAGAGCTAAGAACAGTACCCATAATGAGTACAATGGTCCTAATATGTAAAGTGCATGTTAGCTGCTATGAATATTATGTCACTCTGTCTCCTATTAGCCCATTAGGAATGGCACCACTACCAACAGTAGTCATTATTCTGGCTGACAAGAACCTGAAGTATGTTCTCCTACGAGTGGGTGCCATTATCGTTCAGATTTACAGATGGGAAACTCAGGTGCAGAGAGCTCAAGTAACTTGACTTGGGTCACACAGCCAAGAAGCAGCAATGCTACCAGGCTTCAAGTCAAGTTCATCGGCCTCCGAGGCTCTTGCCTGACTGCACTACCCACCTCAATATCCACATGGCCTGTGGCTGCCTACTTGTGCAATTGTATGACTGCCAGTACTTCCTGGAGAGGGTGATGCATGGTTTTCTGGCTTTGAGATGACTCACTCCCAAGCCTTCCACCATTCAACACAAATGCTGGCCCCTGCAGACGTCTGACTAACAGAAAGTCACATCAGCAGAGTCGCCAAGGAGCAATCCCTGTCTTCCCTCCCCATCTTCCTGGGGAAATACATTGGTATGTGTCTGTCAAGATAAGATATAACCATTAAAACAAAATTCTGGACTGAGATATCTGCTTGGTGTCTTGGAAACACATGCCGATGTCCACACAGCTGGTTTTCCCTACAGCTGTTGGTAGTCATGTTTCAACTATGGCCTACTCATAAGTTTGCACTGGAAGATGAGGCCAGGGTAAATCTTTCTTAATGCATCATTCTAGCCTTTAAAGCATGACATCCATGACAGTGAAGCTCACTTTCCATTACCAGACTGAAAAGTTGGCAAAGCTTTGCTGCACACTATAAAGGCAGAGGTGTAGGTAGGTGCCACCAGCAAGGAGCAGCATAGCTTGAGCAGAGGTGGGTCTCATGTCCTTCACGGCTTCCTCAGCAATTCACCAACAGAGCTAGTTGTTGAATAAAAACAAAACAAAAAAAAACTTCTACCCAGGATCCATAACCCTGTATTATTTCAAACCTGGTAATTTAATTCAGTCATATCTGTTTTCAGATAATGTATCTAAAACTCAAACAGATCACAAGCTGGAAGGATCCTCAGAGAACCAGCTGACCACCCTCATTTAGGGACTGGAGCACTAAGACCTGGCCAAGCTCACATGGTCTGTTGGTCACAGGCTGGGACCCTTGAAGGTCTCCCTGTTTTCAGGCTGTTTTTTCAGCCCTTCCTGCTTCCTTAATCCAAGTGTTGTCAGAGTGGACATCTGCTGTTCCTCACTGCCCAGCATTTAGTCCCCATTCTTCTGCTAACAGCACCCAGATTTTCTGTTGGGGGATGCCCTCTCCCCTTTGGGACACTGTGATTCAGGAAGGGCCAACCCCAGGCTCCAGAGATGGGCATGTAACCTGGCCTGTTCAGTGGGAGTGGCCCCAAGACTTTGGCTGGCATTAAAGAACAGATATACAGTCCTTCTGGGACAGGCACTGAGCTGATGAGATGCAAACTTGGAGCTGTGCAGGGCATCTTGTGCAGAAAGCTTACCTGAGAAAGAAGCTAACCTGGGGAAAGCAGAGCAAGAGACCAAGAGAGAGAAGGCTCCTAATGACACAGATTAACCACCTGGATCGAGCTATGCCTGAAGGTAGCCTATCACTAGACTTGCCAGTGATAAAAAGTGAGCTCTCTTTAAAAAAAAAAAAAAAGTAAGCAAGCGTACATTCTATTTCTGTCACATGCAACCAAAAGAACTATGCTTTGTTTCTTTGCAAAAGTTCATTAAAGAAAGCATCAAAATGGGAATGTTCCCAGGGGACCATCCAGAGTGCCTAGCACACAGTAAGCACTTAATTCATGTGTAATGGAGCGAAACCCCTCCTTCAGGGCTCTTCTCAGTGGGACTCTCTCAGACCATCCTGTTGGAAACTGTGGCCCTCTCCAGCCTTCCTATCCACCCCTCTTGCCTGTTTTCAATGGTGTTTAGCACCATCAGACCTACCCTATGTCTTACTTACTGTTTCTTGAATCCCATAAGGGTGGAGATTGTTGTCTACTTTGTTCGCTGCTATAACCCTAAGGCCCAGATCAGGTCTCTGAACCATAAGTACCCAGTATACATCCGGTGAATGAATGAATGAATGAGGAAATGGATGATGGAATGAGTGAGTGCCTAGTGTGCTCCCAGGTCCCCACCTGTCTGCTGCCTTGGTCAGCAGCCCTGGGACCTGGCCTGCAGAACCCCTGGCTGTCCTTCCTCCTCTTTCTGGATATGGGTCCTCTTCCCACCGAGCAAACACTCCAGCAGCCAGCCCCGCAGTCCAGGCAACCTGACCGTCACCCACCTGCCCAGGGACCATCAACAAAAATTAAAGGGTAGGGAGCCCTTTGGGTTATAAAGATGTCTTCCTTCTTCTTTCCTGCTTACAAATAAATATCATATGCTCATTACAAAGGCAAACAAACAAAATTAAAATGTAAACAAGTAAGCAATAAAAAAAATAATAATTTAACTTCTAAGTTAAATTTGAGGTACAAGTCAGAAATGGGAAGACTGCTGGTATATTTTATATGACCCCTAGGGTGTATGTATGTATATATGTATTTATTTTTGAGGTAGCATCCAACATTTAAAAATCTAGATTTCATTTAGAAATCAGGTACAGTCTCTAGCTTCAGTTCAATATTTTAAAAAATCTCATCACTAAGGGCCCCTATTTCCACAAGTGACCATGGTCTGCTAGGGTTGAGTGGTAGCTGCCCCCTTCAGATGGACCATGGGCTCTTGGGGTCTCCATCCCTCCCCACTGTGACCCCTGCCCTTCCCTGGCCACTCATGTAAGGTCCTGCCTGGTCTCTGTCACACTCAGAGTTGGTGATCCCTGGCCTGGTGTATATCCTTTCAGACTCTGCTGCAGACATAAAGCTTTCTAAGAAATCCCTCTAAAAAATCCCCTCGCCTCCAATAGTACCTGTGATGCTACAAATAACTATGCAATTTCTAACACCAGAGAACAATGCATTTACAACACAGCCCCCTTCTGCAGGGTCAGCATGCTGGGTCAGGTTCATGTCTCCTTTTAAAACTGACTATCAGCCGGAAGCAGTGGCTGACGCCTGTAATGCCAGCACTTTGGGAGCCAGAGGCGGGCGGATCATGAGGTCAGGAGATCGAGGCCATCCTGGCCAATATGGTGAAACCCTGTCTCTACTAAAAATACAAAATTTAGCCAGGCGTGGTGGTGCACGCCTGTAGTCCCAGCTACTCGGAAGGCTGAGGCAGGAGAATTGCTTGAACCTTGGGGGCGGAGGTTGCAGTGAGCTGAGATTGTGCCACCGCACTCCAGCCTAGTGACAGAGCGAGACTCCGTCTCGAGAAAAAAAAAAAAAAAAAAGACTGGCTATCCCAGCTCAATAATTGACCCTGCCACACTGTACAGTCCCTCAGTTCACCCCACATAGAAGGACCCCACAGTCCTGAGCACTCATGGGGGCACCTTTTTGTAGGGAAATTCCAGATCTAGTGTTTAAATCCAGCCTCCCATTGTGGATAGCCTCACAGACACACAGCAGCCACAAGAGCTTACACAACCACTGAGCTGCCATCCATGCATGGAAGTCAAAACCACACCGTGGGCTGCAGCCCCCTGCCCACCACCCAGAGACCCCCACAATCTGCCATTTTCCCCTGTGTTTACTTACACACTGGTTCCACTATATAGCAGTAACTCCCCAAGGGCAGGGACCCTGCCTGTCGCATTGATAATTGTTTCTTAGAACCCAGCCCTGTTCCTCAGAGAAGAGCCCCTCAATCCATGATGGATGGATGGTTGGTAAGTGGACAAGCACATGATGGGTAGGTGGGTGGGCGAGTATGTTACAAGGAAGGGAGGGAGGTGGACAAGCCCCGCAAACTGTGATGTCTGATTTGCCCTTGTCATGAGGCAATGATTATATTAAAATACTGGACGAAAAACTAGAATATAAAGTTACATAAATAAACTCACAGGTTTAAAAAAAAAGATAAGGAAAACACTATAATATTGATCGTGGCATAACTTTTTAAAAAATCACTTTGTGCATTTCCCAAATGGACTACAAGTCTGTTTTATAAAGTTCATTTTTAACTGCCAACATGAAACTACATCAAGTGAACATTACTCCCTAGAGTTTTCTAGATTATGAAACACCAAGGGCCTACAGAGGAAAGAAAAATATTTGGATTAGTTTGGCTCTTAGAGTGGACTAGAGAGGGGAGGAAAAGAAAACAGGGGAGGGGAGCCCGGCCTTGGACAGTAGAAAAGGATCCTTCCAGGATCCTTGGTGGCCCCGTAATGACCAATACCTTTGCTACCTGCTATCAGCAAAAGCAACATCAGTTACCCTTCCAGATACTGGAAATCTAAAGTATTATGGGAAGTCATATTTCTTCTGGAGTAAAAGATGGTAGTTTTTTCACCCCTGGCCTATGAATGCTTCTGAAGAAAAGCAAAGAAACACAAGGACATCTTCTAACAGAAACACATGATTTGATTTGATTTTTTTGAGACAGAGTCTCACTCTGTCGCCCAGGCGGGGAATGCAATGGTGCAATCCTAGCTCACTGCAACCTCTGCCTCTTGGGTTCAAGTGATTCTCCTGCTTCAGCCTCCCAAGTAGCTGGGACTATAGGTGCCCGCCACCATGACCAGCTAATTTTTGTATTTTTAGCAGAGAGAGGGTTTCACCATGTTGGCCAGGCTGGTCTTGAACTCCTGGCCTCAGGCGATCTGCCCGCCTCGGCCTCCCAAAGTGCTGGGATTGCAGGCGTGAGCCACCGCGCCCAGCCTTTAAAACACAGGATTTTAAATTGGAATACACATTCTCTTTAAAAATCACTGCTGCTCAGACTGTCCTGGCACTGGGGCAGCCAGAATAGCATTGCACTCGCTACAGGGCGACAATGTGACATATTCATTCGCCGCCTCCACCCCTGAACTGGGGCTCTGCCACATTGGCTGTTCTCCACATGTATTCCACAGACAGGTGGGCAGCAGGGCTCAGGGCCAGCTATTTTGTAAAGACAGATAGGGAAACTGAGGTTCTGAGAGGGGCAGCAGTGCACGGGTCCCTGGGAACAGCATAGCTGAGAGCAGCCTGCGGCCTCGCCCCCTCGATCCCCTCACGCACATTCACCATGCCTCCTGGGCACTGGGCCCTGGCCAGAATGAACAAGCAGGTGAGAGGAAGGCACAGACTCTAACAAATGAGGATGTAAATGGACAACATACCCACAGGTGGGGCTGGGGGTGGGCAAGGGGAATTAGCAGCAAGGGGCAATGTGATGCCGCCTGGCTGGAAGGTCACCAGGGACACTCAGGGAGGTCCCTCTACAACAGGCTGCTGCTGCTGGGCTCCCAGAGAAGGCCCTGTTCAAAGACTCTCAAAGAGCCAGGCCTCAGAAACTTACCAAACATCAATATAGTGCAGTCACAAACACCCCAGCACGCTGCACTCTGCCAGATGCAACTTATTAACATTGTATTTGGGGCTCTGGAGTCTAGGAGGGATGCATGAATCACCAGCAGGGGGAAATTAAATGTAAAAGAAACCACACACCCACAAACTACCAGCAACCTAAAGAGCCCAACAAAAAATCAGGAAGTGCAGGGTCTTTAGGGGTGGACAGATTTGGGGTTTATCCTGCCTCCACCTGCAAAGGCTTCCCAGTGCCCTCAGACTGAATTCTCAGTTGCTTAAAAAGGCCTGTTGTCCCTAATCTCTGCCTCTAGTCTCTGAGACTGAAGGCAGCTCATCCCTCACCAGCCTCCAGAAATCTGAGTTTAACACATACAAAGTCTGGGGCCCCTGGGAGCTGTAGACAGAAAGGTTTGGCAACAGTGGGGAACTGGGATTTGCAGCTGAGGTCAAAGCCAATGTCCTGGCATGGCTGGGGTGACCAAAGGCAAGGACCTGCAGTGATAGAAGAGGCCGGAAGCAACAGCCCTGGGGACGGTGCAGTTGGGAGTAAGGGGTTGGGGGGAAGCCAGCAAATCGAGTGTTCCAGGAGGAGGCGGAGCCAGGACCCAATGCTGTGAAAGGGGAGTCCATGATGAAGACTGCACAAAACCCCCCAACAGCTTTGGCTCTCCAGATGGCTGGTCACCTCGAAGGCAGTTTCAGGGTAGTAGTGGGGGTAGTCACTGGGGAGGAGACAGTAGGTAGGAAAGAAGTGGGGGCAGAAAAGAGGATAAACGCATGCGAATTTTGAAAAAAAAAAAGATAAAAATAAAAATAGGTCTGGAGTGATGGTCATAATCTTAATAGTAATGATGGTCCATGGATATTGAATCCTTACTGCGGGTGAAGTGATGTTTAAAACACTTTGGAGGCCGGGTGTGATGGCTCATGCCTGTAATCCCAACACCTTGGGAGGCCATGATGGGAGGATCACATGAGGCCAGGAGTTCGAGACCTGCCTGGGTAAGATGGCAAAACCCCATCTCTACAAAAATTGAAAAAATTAGCTGGGCATGGTGATGCATGCCTGTAGTCCCAGCTACTAGGAAGGCTAAGATGGGAGGATCCTTTGAGCCCAAGAGGTCAAAGCTGCAGTGAGCTGTGATCGTCCCACTATACTCCAGCCTGGGTGATGGAGTGAGACCCTGACTCAGAAAACAAACAAACAAGTAACTCTGGGTTGCCAACGCCTCATTATAGTCCATACTTTCTGGACAGATTCTGTTAACATCACCATCTTGCAGATGAGGAATCTGGGGCATAATCATGTGCCGGCCACAGGGAGAGCAGAGCTCTGACTTCAGGGCTCCCCCTCTTTGTCTCTCAACTGTTACCAGCACCAGCACTGGGCTGAGCTCTGGGCAATGCAACGGCTGAGCAGGAGTAGGAGGGAAGTGTTTGGCACAGGAGGCTCCAGGCCCAATCTGCAGGCAGGAGGGAAGGAGCTGCTGGAAAGAGAAACAGAAGATGAAAGGGACTCTGGGGACGGGGTGATGAACACTCCTGGGCATGCCCTTAGCTAAGAGCCACTACACTGGGGTTTTGCTGAGAGCTTCTCAGCAGCAGAAACCTTGGGTCAAGCCCAATCCTACATAAACCTGGTAGAAGCAGAGTTGATCTAGAAGGAAGGAAAGGAAGGAGCCAGCCCCACTAACCTCACTCCCCCTACCGTGCACAGCCAATCCTGCAGCCACTAAGAGACCACCTCAGGAACATGGACACCTCAGGGCCTCCACTCACAGCGTATGCTCTCTGAGGGCTGGCTGGCTTTCTCTTCCTTTTCAATTTTCAAGTATTTGATTAACACATTCAAAACTAAAATAATTAAAATTAGCCAGAGATGCACTGTGTCTTGTGTGCACACCACTGGCTTACCACCTGATGTCCAGAGCATAAATGGGACTCCACAAATGGGTGACAGACAGGTATGGGCAACAGCTCTGAGGGGTCAACCTGGCTCCTCCTTCACCTGCTAAGTGACCCTCAGCAAGTACCTGACCCTCACAAAACCTCAGAAGTTCCAGCAGTTCCCCACCTCTTGGGACTTTAAGAGGGTTGTTTTGTTTTCTTTGGTTTTGTGTTTTGTTTTTGTTTGTTTGTTTTGAGATGGAGTCTCACTCTGTCGCCCAGGCAGGGGAGTGCAGTGGCGCGATCTTGGCTCACTGCAACCTTCGCCTCCCAGGTTCAAGTGATTCTCCTGCCTCAGCCTCCTGAGTAGCTGGGACTACAGACGCACGCCACCATGCCCAGCTAATTTTTTTGTATTTGTAGTGGAGACGGGGTTTCACCATGTTGGTCAGGCTGGTCTTGAACTCCTAATCTCGTGATCCACCCGCTTCGGCCTCCCAAAGTGCTGCGATTACAGGCATGAGCCACCCCACCTGGCCTAAGAGAGTTAAATAAGCTAGTAGTCATAAAAGTGCCCAGCACATGATAAGAGCACAATAAATGTCACCTGTCATTATTATTAATAGCATCAACAAGATTAAAAGTATGTTGGCAGGGAGAGGAAGAATCCACAGGAAAGAATTAAAGTGTCCCCATGGGAAGCACAGTGCCCTGCATGTCCCAGTGTTGTTCCCTACTAGGACTGGCCAGTGAATGCTCTGGTTTTTGCAACTGTCTCTTTAATTTTTGTACCAAAGGGAGGCAGGGCCCAGACCATGGAGGTGTGAAGCTCACGAGTTTGGCAGGCTGGGCTCATCTGGAGCCCAGTATTAATTAATTGGTGTTTATGCAACAGTATGTGCCCATCTGGCCCCGTTTCTGTCTGAATCTTGTGCTCAGAACCTTGGAGAATGCATCTCCCTCATGACTTTTCTAGACTTTGATGCCCAGACAACAGCAGATGCGGGTGTTAAAATAATAGCACCAACACTGCAACTCTAAAAGGGGAAGGTACCCTCTTGAGGACTCAAAGTTAAATTACAAATAGCTGGAAGACAATTTTTTCCAGGGCTCCTGCAGCCACTGAACGTTTCCAAGGAGAAAGACAGCACCGATTGTGAGTGAAGAGTGCCCTCTGCTGGCCGGTATTAGAAAACTTCAGTTGATTACTTCGTCCATGCCTCCCGGAGGGCTCCAGCTCCGCTGCCGGGTGGCAAGTCTCAAGTACCCTATTTAGTTCTTTTTTAAAATCTGAACTGAAAACAAAAAGTCTTCTTTTCCTAAAAGGATAAGAGATGAAAGAAAGGACAAGGTCAAGGAGCATTTTATTCCACTCCTCGCTTGCGTTTTTTTTTTGCTGGTGCACTAGAAATGGCCCTGTGGATGCTGTAGCGTGACATCTGCCTCAGAGAATACAAGTAACTTGGGGAGAGCAATCAAGTGTCCACAGGTGGCCCACAGCAGTGCCCCATTTCCATTTTAAGAGGCTGTCCTCTTGACTAGACTCCAAAGTGTACAGAGAGACACTCCGAGCCAAAACTGCTGCTTCCTTGCAGAAAACCCCAGCAGGTCTGTGCCCAGGGGGCAGGGGGCTCCTGGTGGCTGAGCAATCACAGTGGCTGAGAGCTGGCGCTGGATGGGTTGCTCTAGAATCATCCAGCCTGTGACACACGCCCAGACTCAAGCCCAGGACAGCACTCATCTGGCCTCTAGTAAGGCTGCTGCCTCCCCACAGCTGGGGCCCTCGTGGATTCCAGCCCCAGCACCACCCCTGCCCCACTCCCTAGGAACAACCCTGACTTCATCAGTGAGTTCTAACTCTCCTGGCTTTCTGCTCACTCAGACTTTACGCACGGGAGCCAACCTGGCTGAGCTTCAAACCCCTTCATCACTTCACAGCTGCAAGATGTCCCCATTGTGAACTTGACTTTCCTCCTCTGGAACAATAATGGGAGCCGCTATTTACCAAAGGTCCACTAACTGCCAGAAACTTCAAAGTAATCCTCATGACCACGCTATGGGACTGTGAGGGAGCTGATCTCCCCGAATCAAGGGCAAGAATTATTTAAAACAATGACGCTACCCAGCTTCGCTACCCAGCTTCCCAGCTTCGCTACCCAGATAAGGAAAGGCTCTGCCCCATCTACCATCTTCTTCCCTCCATTATGCAGTCTGAGTTCATCAGTTTCCATATGCAAAGTGCATTAATCAGAGGGGAGAGAAACAAGGACAGAGAGAGAAAAGAGAATACCAGAGGTGGGGTAGAAGAGGAAAGTCTTCTGGGGCAAAGCAAATGGAAGGAGAACTTTAGCAGAGTCCAGGGAAGGGCAAGAGAGGTTTCAGAACACCTGCAAGGTGGCTGGGCCATGGCTCACGCCTGTAATCCCACGACTTTGGGAGGCCAAGGCAGATGGATCACTTGAGGTCAAGAGTTCGAGACCAGCCTGGCCAATATGGTGAAACTCTGTCTCCACTAAAAATACAAAAATTACTTGGGCGTGGTGACGTGCACGTGTAATCCCAGATACACTCGGGAGGCTGAGGCAGGAGAATCACTTGAACCCGGGAGGCAGAGGTTGCAGTGAGCTGAGATCATGCCACTACCTGAGAGTAGTTTCCTAAAAGAGTTGGTATTGGTTATAAAATGGATCCCCCTTGACTATTCTTTGAGAGACACAAATAAAAAGAACTGCCTTTATTGTTAGCTAATGGATTTCAAATCTCTGAATGTAACCAAAGCCTAAGTCTGGAGGATTGTGGACTTTGCTATTTGCTTAGATTACATTACAATTTTATAGGTAAAAAAACAGGCGGAGACAGCCAGTAACTTGCTAAGGGTCACCCAGCTCATGAATGGCAGAGCTTAAATTCAACATCTCCACAACCCCAGCTCTATCTGTGAGGCTCTCTGCCTCTGAACCAGAGGAACAATAATCCTGCCTAAGGGGTCAGGTGAGGGGTGAGCGTGAGATGAGCCGTGTACACTCAGCTTTGCACAATGAATTGCACACTGTGGGTGAAGCCACAAATAACAGTCCCTTTCCTTCCCCTCCCTTTGTCCTAATCACCGAATTCTCCCTTGTTCTTAAGACCCAGTTCCTGCTTGATAACCTAGTTCTCACTGCTAGATTCCTGCCATGTCTTTTACCGCCCCAAGCCCTGTTTGGGTAACTGCCCCATTACCCTAGTCCCTCTCAGGCTGCTCACAGCTGGTCTTCCGACCCCAGACTCCTCCAGCATGAAGGCTGAGGTTCAACTTCCTAGTGGAAGGCTTTTCCTGTATTAATACCCTGGCCACTCACATGCCTGAGGATCCAACCTTTCCCCATTTGCTCATTCATTCAAGAAACAGTCACTAGTTCCTCCTTTGTGTCAGGTACTATGCTAGCCACTCAAGATAGAATGCTGTTAAAAAAAGAAAAAAAAACTGTCCCAAACTTGGAAATAAAGTATAACTTTTCAAAGTCATCTATCTACACCCCGAGTCTGCTTACAGGGAGGTTATTTTTGTTTGATTCACTATTTGCTTTTGATTAGGGCCCAGACTCTGTAAAGTTAAGTTGTTAACTTGTTAAAGATTGATAAATTTGATAAATTGCAAAAAAGAATTCTGTCAGATACAGTCTCAAAGGTTACAGTGTTATTTTCCTATGGGACATTAATCAGTTTTGTTTTGTTTTGTTTTTGAGACAGGGTCTCGCTCTGTCGCCCAGGCTGGAGTGCAGTGGCACGATCGCAGTTCACTGAAGGCTCTGCCTCCCAGGTTCAAGCAATTCTCCCACCTCCGCCTCCCGAGTAGCTGGGATTACAGGGGCATGCCACCACGAGCAGCTAACTTTTGCATTTTTAGTAGAGATGGGGTTTCACCATGTTGGCCAGGCTGGTCTCAAACTCCTGACCTCAGGTGATCCACCTGCCTCAGCCTCCCAAAGTGCTGGAATTACAGGCATGAGCCACCGCGCCCGGCCCATTAACCAGTTTTATATCTGAGTTTGCAATCTTATTCCAGCATTCTTTTTTCCATAATATTTTTCCATAATTCACTCACTCACTCTCACTCTCTCTCCCCTCCTCTCTCTGTGTGTGTGTGTGTGTGTGTGTGTGTGTGTGTGTGTGTGTGTGTTCCTGGATGGTCCTTAGAACCAGCTTTCTCATCCTCATCCTGCTAGTTCGCTCATTAATGAGTTAAATGTGTGTGTGTTCCTGGATGGTCCTTAGAACCAGCTTTCTCATCCTCATCCTGCTAGTTCGCTCATTAATGAGTTAAATAAATATTTTGCCCAGGCTAAGTATATATTTGTACAAGAGTCAGAGAAAAATGAACCTCTGTATGAGACCTGTGAAATCTGAAGAATGAAGGTGAGGAAAGCATTTCAGGCAGAGGTGGTGACACCATGTACAAAGGTCCTATGGTAGGGAGGATGGCTTTAAAAAAAAAAAAAAAAAAAAAAAAAAAAAAAAAAAAAAACAGAAAGAAGGTCATGTGGCCTCCAGCATCTGTCTCAATCAGCCCCAGCTGTACCAACATTATGAACTGACTGTCAACTTGAGTCCCTTCTGTCTGCTCCAGACACATGCAGTGGCTAAGAACACAGCATGGGAGAACTATGTTTCCTGGATCATGCCATCCTTCAGTCATCAGGGGATGAGCCAGGTAAAGGACAGTTGGTGAAGTCCTAAATTCACTGGACTCCACCCCAGGCACCAGCCTCAGCACATAGCACAGAGGACAATTACCCTCTGTGAACATGAGCTGCTCAGTGCCAGGTGCTCTCTCAACCCCAGCGCAGTCTGTGGCTTGGTCCAGCTTCCCAGTCTGCTTGTTCACTAAGTCAACATGGTTAATACCTGCACCAAGTCAATACCTGCTCAAGGAAGCTTTTTATTTTATTTTTTATTTTTTTGGAGATGGAGACTCACTCTGTTGCCTAGGCTGGAGTGCAGTGGCGCTATCTCGGCTCACTGCAACCTCTGCCGCCTGGGTTCAAGCGATTCTCCTGCCTCAGCCTCCCCAGTAGCTGGGATTACAGCTGCATGCCGCCATGCCTGGCTGATTTTTGTATTTTTAGTAGAGATGAGAGTTTCACCATATTGGCCAGTCTGGCCTCGAATTCCTGACTTCAGGCGATCTGTCTGCCTTGGCCTCCCAAAGTGCTGGAATTACAGGTGTGAGCTACCGCGCCTGGCCTCAAGGAAGCTTTTTAAATTCTACAATAGGATGATAATTTCCACTGAAAACATCATTCTACACTCAAGCCTTACTTCATCCTCCTGATTTTGCCTGTCTAAATCAACTCCTAGTTCAAGATTTGAACAGAGGTTTTTGCTCTCTTTCCTGGCATAAAGGACATTAGCAATGGGAGCAGGAAGAAGACCCCAACCAGAGGCTGATCCTTAACTATATAACTTTGTGGGGGTTTTTTGTTGTGCTTTTGTTTTTGTTTCTGAGACATGGTCTCACTCTGTTGCCCAGGCTGGAGTACAGTAGTGCGATCTTGGCTCACTGCAGCTTCGGCCTCCTGGGCTCAAGCGATCCTCCTACCTCAGCCTCTCAAGTAGCTGGGACTACAGGTGCGTTCCACGATGGCCAGCTAATTTTTAAATTTTTTGTAGAGACGGTGTCTCCCTATGTTGCCCAGGCTGATCTCATACTCCTGGGCTCAAGCAATCCTCCTGTCACAGCCTCCCAAAGTGCTGGGATTACAGGCATGAGCCACCGTGCCCAGCCTAACTTTGGATACATTGCTTAACCTTCCTGAGGTTCAGTTTCCTCATGTGGAAGGAGAAATATTCATATCTCATTAAAAGGCTCAGTGATCATGGATGAAAGCACACTGTAGGCCAGGCGCGGTGGCTCACGCCTGTAATCCCAGCACTTTGGGAGGCCAAGGTAGGTGGATGAGGTCAGAAGTTCAAGACCAGCCTGGTCAACATGGTGAAAACCCGTCTCTACTAAATATACAAAAAATTAGCCGGGCGTGGTGATGGGTGCCTGTAATCCCAGCTACTCAGGAGGCTGAGGCAGGAGAAACGCTTGAACCCGGGAGGCGGAAGTTGCAGTGAGCCGAGATCGCGCCATTGCACTCCAGCCTGGGCGACAAGAGTGAAACTTCGTCTCAAAAAAAAAAAAAAAAAAAAAGCACACTGTAGATTATAACACACAATCTAAACGTGTGTTATTTTCATAGTTGTTATGATTATCAGATGTATTTTTTGAAATCTCACAAGGCTTTGTTAAGTAAGTAAATGATACAACTCTACATGAAACTTGGGCAAAATTTCCCTACACAAATGTAAAGCCCAAAACAACTAACAAGCAAAAAGCACGGCAAGGAAACGAGGTTTAACTATAGAAGCTCTAGTACTAAAAGGCTGCCAGGTGCCATTTCTGGAGGGCTCATGTGCATCAGGCACTGTGTTGGGCACTGACCTGAATCATCCTGAGCATTAAAATATAACTTACGGAGAATTTAAGTCTCTTTTTTCAATCTGTTTGGATTTTTCAAAAGAGACTACTTTGTGGATAACATGACTATTTTTCTAAAATTATTCGCCAGAAAGGGAAAAGAGTTTCAACAGCCCTCTTGGAAAAGGGATTTCCCTTTTCCCTCTTGGAAAAGGAGTTTCCACCACCCTCGCTGAAGAGTTCATATTTTTCCATTACCATATGCCTTAATTGTCTCAAGATACTAGCAACGGTATGGATGGGTAATCTTTTCATATTTTTCTCATTAAACCTGTAACAAAACACAGTATAACTTAAAAACTTCCCACACTCCCCCGAATCCAGGACAATAGAAGAAAATACAAGATGCGGCAGGAATGATGACTGACTGATATGGTTTGGATCTGTGTCTCTGAATCTCATGTGAAACTGTGATCCCCATGTGTCAGGGGAAGGGCCTGGTGAGAGGTGACTGGACCTGGTGGTGGATTTCCCCCTTGCTGTTCTTGTGACAGTGAGTGAGTTCTCTCAGGATCTGATGGTTTAAAAGTGTGGCACGTCCCCCCTCACTCTCATTCTCTCCTGACCCCATGTAAGATGTGCCATGCCTCCTCTTTGCCTTCTGCCATGATTCTAAGTTTCCTGAGGCCTCAGGAGACTGGGCCTCAGTTCTCCTCTGGGGAACTGTTCATCAATTAAATCTCTTTTCTTTATAAATTACCCAGTCTCAGGTAGTTCTTTAATAGCAGTGTGAAAATGGACTAATACAATGGCTGGGGCACAGAGCACCAATTTTCAACTCTTTGTAAAGCAATTTATGCTCAAGGATCATAATTTTCCTCTGTGCTATGAGCTGAGGCCGGCGTCTGGGGGGTGGAGTTCAGTGAAGAGGCATCTTGTCCTTCTCAGGAATTAGGACTTTGACAACTGTCCTTTACCAAGCTCGTCCTCTGATGACTCTGATTTGTTGTATCAAAGAGTAATGTGAAATGCTAAAAAAAAGATATAAAATCTTCCAGACAGAATTCATTTTAACTTTGTTTATATGCCTTGCTGCTTCTTTAGGAATGGACTGAATGGCCATGATAAGATCAGGCAGTGAGGATCTTTGTGGCACCCAGCAAACAGGAGACATGCAATCATCATTTTTTCAATCAATCCCAAAGTGACTGGACTCAAAGAGGTATTCAAAAGTCTGACACTAGGGGGCAAAAGAGAGTAAATTTTCCGAGAGAGAGAGAGAGAGAGAGAGAGAGAGAGAGAGAGAGAGAGAGAGAGAGAATTTTTTTTAACCTGGTCTCAATTTGAGACCCCAGTAGAGAGAAACCTAAAAAATGTAAGTTGAATAGAGAGGAAACTAAAAAATATAAGTTGAAGCTAAAATTGGACATTTGAAGATTTTCTGGCAAAATTTTGATGACAAATTCAAGGCTGCCCTAAAAGTCTGAGGACTCCTTTAGTCTAGTTAGTGAGAACCTCTGTTTAAAATGGAAATAGGCTACCAGGACCGGATAACATATTAATTCCCATCAACCATTAACTCCCACCTGTGATGAGAAGTAATTCATCAGCTGAGTTATCAAAGAGCAAGGCCCTGGGGGATTGGAACACAAGGTTGGGAGCTTTCAATTGAAAGAAGGAAAAAAACACAGGTGACAGTGCCCTCCAAGCACAGCCCCCATGAGATTGCCTTTAATCCCCATCATCATCCCTTATTCTCATTTTGTAGACCTAGAGACTGGGACTCACCAACTGAAACACAGTCTTAATGACTGGCATCACCATCTGCCCCCATTTCCACTGTGGAACCCAGGGGGTCTGCTGAGCCACCCTCCCTCATTTCTGCATCCACTCTGCTTCAAACCCCCTCCTCTCCTGTCTATTCCCTATCTTAGCTCTCCCTGCACACTGCAAACGAGAAGCTTCTAAATCTCAAATATAGTTATTCCTTCCTCATCCCATTTCAAACCCTTGAAATTGCTATGGTCTGAATGTTTGTGTCTCACCAAAATTCATGGGTTGAAACCTAATCCCCCATGTGATGGTATGAGGAGGTAGGGCCTCTGGAAGGTGATTAAATGAATGGGATTAGTGCATTAATAAAAGGCCCCAGAGAGCTTCTTTCCTTTCCATCTCATGAGGACACAGTGAGAAGGCACCATCTATGAACGAGGAAATGGGCCCTCACAAGATGCTGAATCTGCTGGCACCTTGACCTTGGACTTCTCAGCCTCCAGAACTGTGAGAAATCAATAAATTTCTGTTGTTTATAAGCCACTCTCTTTATGATGTATTGCTACAGCAGCTCAAATGGACTAAGACAGCAAGGCCCCGTATCTCTTACAGAATAAAATCCAAGATAAAAAAGCACAGCTATGCAGACCCTATAGCCCAAGCTTGTGCAACCTGTGGCCCGCAGGCGGGCCCAGTACAGCTTTGAACGTGGCCCAACACAAATTCGGAAACTTTCTTAAAACATTATTATTATTATTATTATTATTTTTTTTTTTTTTTGCAATTTGCTTATTTGCTCATCAGCTGTCATTAGTGTTACTGTATTTTATGTGTGGCCCAAGACAATTATTCTTCTTCCAATGTGGCTCAGGGAAGCCAAAAGATTGAACACCCCTGCTCTAGCCATTACAACCCTCCCCACCTCACCTACCCCTCAACTCA
This sequence comes from Homo sapiens, assembly GCF_000001405.40. NCBI lineage: Eukaryota > Metazoa > Chordata > Mammalia > Primates > Hominidae > Homo > Homo sapiens. The sequence continues at coordinate 56,997,068 of NC_000003.12, forward strand.
TTTCCTGGGATCCCTACCCCAGCATCCCCACACAGGGCCTCCAGCCCTGCAGAAGCACTTGCCACCAAACAGCACTGAGGCCTGCGATGCTTGGTTTCCACTGAGCAGCTCAGCCTCTGATGACCCAGCCCCAGGGCCATCTTCTCTGACAAGTCTTTCTGACCCTCATGACCTCCCTCAGGATGGACCACTCCCCCGGAGCCCCCAACTCTCAATTCAGACTTCTAGCCTGTCCACTCACATGCCCTGTGGGGAGGTCCTGCAGAGCAGGGTCCACATTTGGTCACTTCTGCCCAGTCCATGGCCTGGAAGACAGTCGGGCCCAGGGATCAGGTGGAGGGCTCTTGGTTCTTGGAAGGGGCTGGTATCAAGAGGAAGATGGCTAAGGGTGGGCAGAAAGAGATGCCAAAAGCAAACTCTGCCCCCCTAAGAGCTTAGCAGCAGGCTTGCCTGAGCAAGAAGGCCTGGGCAAAAGTGGGGTCTGGCAGCCTCTCCATAAACAGGGCTGACTCCGCGCAGATCTACCCCGGGCAGGTTGTCACAGGAACTCAGAGGAGCTGTTTGTGGGGGCTTTTTCACATCCACGTATGCCTTTGCCCTGATCAACAGAGAGACAGCCTGCGAGTACAATGAGAGGCCCCCAGTAGGAGATGACGAAGGGTAAATGATCCAAACACCTGCTCTGCACCCCTTACTTCACTGCCCTGTCATTCCCCTGTATTATCAGGAAAACTGAAAGATTTTCTATTTTCACTCCTCCAGGGCCTCCACATTCCAATTCTAGAATTCCTGGAAGATGCTTCAGCAAGAACTCATAAAACTTTCACAATTCCAAAGTCACACTTCTCATGAACGTGTGTACAGTTGAAGGCAACGTCACATGCAAGCTCTTCTGGCCTCTGTTTCCTCATCTGCAAAATGAGGCGGACAAGACTTAATTAACTTTGATGTCCTGCAACTACAAGGTATAATGTACAGTTGGGTTTTTAAGGTTCTCAAAGTTATTTATGCAAACACTGAATCAGTAACATCGCAAACTGCTGCTCGCTTCCCAGTGCCAAATTTTTACAGTCAGCCAAGGCTTCCTGCATAGAGACAATTGAAAAACAATCACTCTTTTATTCAATCCACACAAACACACAAAAGAAAATGGTCCAAACTCTCTCTGCACACACACAAAAAAACTAACCAGGGAAATCAAACAGAAAGAGGCCCTCCACTCACTCATTTGGCAAAGCTATTACTTGGTATCAGATACTGTTGAATATTTACAAAGATTAACACTCATTAAATAGGACCAGGAAGGTGGCTTGGCTCCTTCTCTTCCCGGTCATCCTGACTTTTTTTTTTTTTTTCCTTCCCTGCAGCCAAGAGCAACACTGGCTGGACCTTGGTTCACTTCCCTACTTTCCTTGCTATGGGGACCCCAGGCACAATGACTGAGTCCAGAAACATGAATGGTGCTATGAGCTCCTTCATGACCTCAGCAGTCATCTGGGGGTGCCACAGCTGAGCCCTCAGCCCGAGCCCTCCTGCCCAGGGACTTCACAGACCACTCCTCAAACTGCCTTCCCAAACACCACAGAAAGCCAAGTGGCCATTTGGGTTTTCTTGGTTTGACTTTTAATGCAAGCTGTCTCAAGAAATGATAGATTCAAACACAGCTGTCCTTCCTCCTTTCCCCCTACTGTGGAATTGGCCATTTCAGGATCCAAAGGAAGGTATGTCCACATGTTTATGCCCACAGGCACACAGAGTCCTAACCTCAGCAGATACCCTGAAGCAGATCCCATGTCCACCTTTAAGCACGTTTTGCTGTTCTGGGCCCTCACAGTGTTTTATGTACACTCCATATGAGAAGAACCCCATTGAACTTTATTATTACCAAGAAGTCATCAGGTTGAAATTCTTGATTATTCATGATGGGAGCTTGGCATTAGTTCAGCCAACAGATAAAGTAGTAAGAATTTTCAAGAGGTTTTTGTTGTTGTTGTTGTTTTGAGATAGAGTCTTGCTCTGTCGCTCACGCTGGAGTGCAGTGGTGTGATCTCGGCTCACTGCAACCTCTGCCTCCCGGGTTCAAGTGATTCTCTTGCCTCTCCTGCCTCAGCCTCCTGAGTAGCTGGGACTACAGGTGCCATGCCCAGCTAATTTTTATCTTCTTAGTAGAGATGGGTTTCACCATGTTGGCCAGACTGGTCTCGAACTACTTACCTCAAGTGATCCGCCCACCTCGGCCTCCCAAAGTTCTGAGATTACAAGCATGAGCCACCACACCCGGATGAGCTATTTTTTAATCATACACTTATCTAAGACATTTAACTTATCACAAATCATTCTTGCCTACTCATCAAATCAATTACTATGAAAAATACTATTAAAGAACACACTGTCTTAATTCCAAATATAACCTTCGTGAAGTGGGAAGAAATAAAACTTTATTTTTTAATATTTTAGCAAATATTTTCCAGGCTCACACTGTAATCCCAACAGTTTGGGAGGCCAAGGCAGGAGGATTGCTTGAAGCCAGGAGCTTCAGATCAGCTTGGGCAATATAGCCAGACCCCATCTCTACAAAAATTAGTTAGATGTGATGGTGCACACTTGTAGTTCCAGCTACTTGGGAGGATGAAGCAGCAGGATTGCTTGAGTCCAAGAATTCCAGGCTACACTGAGCTATGATTGCACAACTACACTCCAGCCTTGGAAAAAGAGTGAGACCTCATCCCCAAAACAAGAAAAATTTTCTGCTCATATTGCCCTTCCTCTAGTCAACTAAAAATAAGAGATCTTTACTGAAGAGAACATAGTAGGCATGTAATTATGACAGTGAGAGATCACTATGTAGGGAATGCTTAAACCATAGGAAACAAGTCCTGTTTTGCTCCATATGCTTGAACCCTGACTCTATCATATACTAGCTGTGTGGCCTTGGGCAAATGACTTAACCCCTCTGAGCCTCTGCTTCCTCAGCCATAAAATGAGACTAATAGGCAGCATCTGTATCCTAGGCTGATTGTGAGGAATCAATGAGAAAAGCCTGCAAATGCTTGCCCGAGTGCCTGGCATATGGTAAGGGCTCGATAAATGTTAGCTATTGTCATAGTGAATGTTATTTTCACTTCTCTACAAAGAGCGCCCCACGTATCTTCAGAAATGACTTCTCAGTGCATCACATACACTCTTACAATAACCAGTGAGAGGCAGATTTATTGTAAAGTCCTTTTTTTAGAGGGTAACTCCCACACACACACACACACACACACACACACACACCTTAAGCATCAGGCCCCACAAAACCTGGATCCTTCCCTGATCATAGGTAACAACTGATGCTCACTGTACATCCCTCCCCAGTCAAATTCCTCTCCATGTCCTCCCTTTTGATGTGGTGTCAATCACCCCCATTTGTATTTTTTACCTTTACTACATTATTATTATTATTATTATTACTACTATTATTATTATTTGTGTGCATGTGTGTGAGACGGAGTCTCACTCTGTCGCCCAGGCTGAAGTGCAGTGGCACAATTCGGCTCACTGCAACCTCTGCCTCCCGGGTTCAAGTGATTCTCCTGCCTCAGGCTCCAGAGTAGCTGGGACTACAGGCACACGCCTCCTTGCCTGGCAAATTTTTGTATTTTTAGTAGAGATGGGGTTTCGCCATGTTGGCCAGGCTGGTCTCGAACTCCTGACCTCAAGTGATCCACCCGACTCAGCCTCCCAAAGTGCTGGGATTACAGGCATGAGCCACCATGCCCAGCCACTACTACCTTATTATTTAACTGTAAGTAACAGAAGTGTTTCTACATGTAAACTTTATGTAAATGGAATCATACTATATTATACCTATATAACCTTCTGCAATTTTATTTTTTAATTTTTTTTTAGAGACAGGGTCTTGCTTTGTTGCCCAGGCTAGAGTGCAGTGGCACTATCATAAGTCACTGCAGCCTCAAATCCCTGGGCTCAAGCAATCCTCCCACCTGAGCCTCCCAAGTAGCTGGAACTACAGGCATGCACCACAATGCCTGGCTAAATTTTAATTTTTTTGTAGAGATGGAGTCTTGCTATGTTGCCCAGGCTGGTCTTGAACCCCTGGCCTCAAGCAATCCACCTGCTTCAGCCTTTCAAAGGGTTGGGATTATGGGCATGAGCCACTGTGCCAGGTCCTTCTGCAAATTTGTATTTGAAATGTTATACATTTTAGACTTATCCACGTTGATGCATGCAGGTGATAACTGCTCTATAGTACTTGATTATATGGATATAAGCTCAATTAATTTACGCATTCTCCTGTGGATGAACATTTAGGTGTTCAGAGTTTTTTGCCATTTGTACAAACAACGCTTCAATAAGCATGCAGCCATTCTTGTTCTAGGGAATCACGACAGATGCTGATGCATCCTTTTGTCCTTTTTAACAGAACTCAACACGTTCCCAAGTTGCAATTCAACATTCTTACCTTCCCAGACCCCCTGTAGCTACAGAGCTTCAGTTCTGGCCAAATATGTAAACAGAAATCTGCTGGGATTCCTGAAAGACTTTGTTTTCCTGATACAGTGCAGGCCTTCCCTTCTCCTTCCTTCTTCCTGCTGGAACGTGGACATGAGGGCAGGAGATGAGCAGCCATAGTGCAAACATAAGGCAAAGCCTCACCAAGGGGATGGCGGAGTGAAAAGAAGGCTTGAACTGTAGCCAACTGAATTATTTAGGTGCCAAATTAACCTCCTCCTGCCTTCAACACCATTTATGTATCATTCCACAAAGGAATAGAAGATATTTCCTCACAAAAGATGAGTCAGTTTTGTAGTCTCGTCTTAAATCCTAAAACCCAAAGTGAGATAGTTTTTTTTTTTTTTGTTTTTTGTTTTGAGACGGAGTCTCACTCTGTTGCCCAGGCTGGAGTGCAGTGGCGTGATCTCGGCTCACTGCAAGCTCCGCTTCCCGGGTTCACGCCATTCTCCTGCCTCAGCCTCCTGAGTAGCTGGGACTACAGGCGCCCACCACCGTGCCTGGCTAATTTTTTGTATTTTTAGTAGAGACAGGGTTTCACCATGGTCTCGATCTCCTGACCTCGTGATCTGCCTGCCTCGGCCTCCCAAAGTGTTGGGATTACAGGCGTGAGCCACCGGGCCCGGCTGACATAGTATTTTTAAAAAAACTTTTACTATAAGGATGAAGTATCATTAGTCAGTAGTATCAGTTCTTAAGTATCAGCAGTCAGAAGAACCAAATTGGAAGATGGAATATGCATTCACACAATTTCTGAGTGCTTATTAAGGGTAGAATAATGGTAATAATAAAATATAGTACTCAAAATGCACTTATTATATGCCAGGCACTGTTCTAAGCACTATATATATATATATATGCCAGGCACTGTTCTAAGCACTATATATATATATATGTTATATATATATATATATGTTATATATATATATATGTTATATATGTATGTTATATATGTAATATATGTTATGTTATATATATGTTATATGTATGTTATATGTGTTATATATATGTAATATATATACTTTGAGTTCAGGGGTACATGTGGGGGGTTGTTACATAGGTAAACGTGTGTGTCATGGGGGTTTGTCACACACATTATTTCGTCACCCAGGAATTAAGCCTAGTACCTATTGCTATTTAGCACTTCATATATTATTTCAATTATGCCTTAGAAGAAGAAGTTCTATTTCTTTTCTTTTTTTTTTTTTTTGAGACAGAGTCTTGCTCTGTCACCAGGCTGGAGTGCAGTGGCGCAATCTTGGCTCACTGCAACCTCCACCTCCCGGGTTCAAGCGATTCTCCTGCCTCAGCTTCCTGAGTAGCTGGGACTACAGGCGCACGCCACCACGCCCGGCTAATTTTTTGTATTTTAGTAGAGACGGGGTTTCATCATGTTGGCCAGGCTCCGTCTCCTGACCTCAGGTGATCCCACCCACCTCGGCCTCCCAAAGTGCTGGGATTACAGGCGTGAGCCACTGTGCCCAGGAAGTTCTATTTCTATCCCCATATTAGATGAGGAAGCTCCTTAAAAAGAAATTAAAGGCCGGGCGCAGTGGCTCACGCTTATAATCCCAGCTCTTTGGGAGGCAGAGGCGGGCGGATCACGAGGTCAAGAGATTGAGACCATCTTGGCCAACATGGTGAAACCCTGTCTCTACTAAAACACAAAAATTACCTGGGTGTGGCGGCGCACTCCTGTAGTCCCAGCTACTCGGGAGGCTAAGGCAGGAGAATCGCTTGAACCCGGGAGGTGGAGGTTTCAGGGAGCTGAGATCGCACCGCTGCTCTCCAGCCTGGCAACGAAGCGAGACGCCGTCTCAAAAAAAAAAAAAAAAAAAAAAAAAAGTTAAATAACTTGCCAATATCACCAAGCTCATGAGTGACTGAGCTAGGACCTGACTCCAGGCAGGCTGGCACCCAAGGCTGTGAGCTTAGCACTACAGGGTATGAGTCCATGTGGTGGGCTGAATAATGGCCCCCAAAAGATGTCCCCATCCTAATTCCCAAAACCTAAGACTTTTTTACCTTACATGGCAGAAGGCATTTTGCAGATCTGATTATGTTAAGGATCTTGAGATGGGGTGTATCGTGGATTCTCCAGGTGGGCCCAATGTGGTCAAAAGGGACCCTCTGACAGGGAAGCAAGAAGGTCCGAGCAGTAGTAGGAGATGTGATCATGGAAGCAGAGGTCAGAGTCATGCCAGGAAGGGGCCAGGAGCCAAGGAATGCAGGCTGCCTCTAGAAGCTGGAAAAGCCAGGAAACCGATCCTTCCCTATGGCCTCCAGAAGGAGCCAAGCCTGCTGGCATCTGGACTCCAGCCCAGTGAGACTGCATGGAGACTTCTGATCTCCAGAACTGTAAAATGATCAATGTGTGTTGTTTGAAATTGCCAGATTTGTGGTAATTTGTTACAGCAGCCACTGGAAACTACCACAGTCAATGACCCTGACCCCAGTCCTTGCCCTCAAGGAGCTCATTCATCCAGAGGGAGGCAGAGAAGCTACCACCTGCTCCTAAAGACTGGATGGAATATGGGCCCCAGCCGTGCCCAGTGAGGTGCTGTGCGAACCTGAGGGAAGGTGTTCGGTCCACACACACAGGACCCTGACCTTCCCAGCAGAATGTCCTCGTCAGCCACAACTGGTTACAAAACCCAGGGAGATAATGACAGTCTGGAGCCACTTATTTGCAGATGTTTCAGTGGATTCATTTTCTAATAGATCCGCCCTGATAACGTGTCCACATTTGCAAGAGATAAAAAGCTGGCAAGGGAGACAGCAACACCCTCGGGGCTTCCTTCCTGGAATCCTTCAGTGGCTCGTCTGCATTTACCAGCCAGGTTTTCCTTCTGTTCTCTTCAGTTCCTCACCGCACCTTCAGACAGCTGATGCCCGACATTTCCTTTCTGTCTGGCCAAGGCCAGGCACATAAGCAGATTATTCTCATGTAAGAGAGGCAGCAGCATCTTCAATCTACAGATCCCCTTTCAAGTAAACTGGCCCCAGCATGCACTGATCTTAAACAACATGTCACAGAGTCTTACCCCAGCTTGTCCAAGCAAACTGAGATTTCATTACATGCCTAGACAATAATAGTTTATGCAGCCGGCGCAGTGGCTCATGCCTGTAATCCAGCACTTTGGAAGGCTGAGGCGGGAGGATTGCTTGAGGCAAGGAGTTCAAGACCAGCCTAGGCAACATAGTGAGACCCTGTCTCCGTTCTAAAAATTAGCCAGGCATGGTGCTATACACCTGTAGTCCCAGCTACTCAGGAGGCTGAGACAGGTGGATCACTTGAGCCCAGGAGTTTGAGGCTGCAGTGAGCTGAGATTGTGCCACTGCAGTCCAGCCTGAGTGACAGAGCAAGACTCCATTTTAAAAATAAATAAATATATATATATATATATAGCTCTGTAATCCCTGAAATAAATGGAGGTACAAAAAAGGAAAGTCTTCCTCTTTATAGATGCTTTCTTAGAATCTGCAAGGGATCTCAGCCCTTGCTAAAATGTAGACTATAAGGCCAAAATTATAAGCTACAATGATTCTACTAGGCACCTCCTAGGTGAACAACAGCTTCAGAATTTGAGAGATTTGAGAGATGGGAATGGGAACGTCCAGGAATAGCTAAAAGAAATGACAGCATTTATTGAGTACTTAATCTTATCATAATACTTACCATAATACTACATCCTAGGTACTAACATTTATCCCCTTTTACAGATGAGGAAATTGAGGCACAGAGCATAAAGTAGCTTGCCCACGAACCACAGTTAGTAAGTAGTGGAGCAGAATGAGAGCCCAGGGAGGCAAACTCAACAGTAGAAATGTCTGTGGCAACCCATCTCAGTGCCACCTGTCCCCACTGCCACACAGTCAAATCAAACAAGGGAGAAAGGAGTGTTGCCAATGAGAACTGGATTTTTTTGTGCAACGGGGCAATCTCAACATGAATCACAGACTCACTGGAAGTCCTCTAAACAAGCCTAGCATTTCAGTTGCTGTGACAGCCTGCCCATCCTGCTCCCTATCGGGAGGGGTTCCTGCCATCTCTGTCTATAGACCTCACTCATCCATGTCTGGCGCTGAGGGTCAGGACCTGGAGCTGTAAACTGGGTCCTTGAAGGAGTGACGGCATCACTTCCATAAAGCTCCGTTCTCTAATATGTAAAAAGCAGAGAATAATGTTTGCTGGGCACCCGGCAGAGGGCCTCCCTTCTGTACCATAACTCAGCATAGAAAGGGAAGGTTACATGCCCTGGAACAAAAATACCCCTCAGATTTGCCAAACGCTTTCTAGTGTTCAAAGTTTTTTACGTATGCGATCTCCTCTGGGATAAATCAATATTATTTCTTGTTAGGATATGATGAGCACCTATTAGAAGTGACAAACGCATATGACAACATACAGCCTTCAAGCCTATAATTAACTTACCTGTAACACTGCACCCACATAAAGCCTGATGGCCCCATAACTGTAAATAAAGCTATCCCTAGCACCTGGCACACAGTTGGTGGCTTAATCAATGTTGAATGAATATTGGATAACCAGGAACCACTTTTAATAGGATCTGCCATGTTCCCTGTTCCCTGGAGCCACATAAAGCAAGTGTATATATAGAAACCATCCCAGTCATGCATTAAAGTAACGTGAGAGCAAATCACTGAGAAGCCAAGTTCTGCCACACCTGCCAGGGGAGCTCCCAGCTGTCGATGCCAATGACCAGCGTGAGGTATCTGGAGAACCACTACACCGACAAGATAGATTTCAGTTGTTTTCAAACAAGCCATCAAAGTGGCTAATGGCTTCCCTCAAAGAAACCCCACACCTTCAGCCAACAGACAAGGAACTCATTAGGCGGAGCTCCCCGCTCCGATCTCCACTGTCCACAAGCTTCTTCCAAGCCGTTAGGAAAACAGCTCCCCAGAGCCCACATGCTGACAGGCAGCATCCGGGGTGATCAGATTTCTATCAGTAAAGACACATGGCATTTCTCTCTGGCTCCAGTTCAGAATCTCACCCCACCCACCCCCAACAGGCAGATCGTAGCTTTTCATAGGTCCTAAATAATCCGGCCTTTAAGAAAATGCTCGTGTATCAGTGACACACACAACATCACCAACACAGTCACTCGTTCAATGTGCTGCCTGCTCTCGACACCCCCCCAAACACGGTCACACTTTCTCATGCCCGCCTGGAAATCCATCTCCATCAGAACCAATGAACCAGCATCTCCCTTGGGCCCTAAGCGCCACAGGAGTCTCCCTCCTGACATTCAGAGAACAACCCTCCCTGGCTGAGTTTTCCCAAAGCTGGATGGCACAACCCTGCTTAGGGATCTTTAAGCCCAAAACTCCTGACCCAACATCCAAGTGATATTCCACTGACACACGGTGAGAATTTGGGCTGCTGGTTCTGCCCGTGGAGGGGCCACAGGGGGCGCTCCTGGGGCGATGGTCACACTGTGCTCCTCACTCTGGGTGCTGACTATTAAGGTGTGCTCAGCATGTGAAACCCAGCAAGGTGTACAGTTACTTGTGCACTTTTGTTTTTATGTTATTCATCCATAAAGAATTAATAAATAAGGTGCTGACTCACATGAATTCTCAGTTTGTTCTGGAATCTTAGGAGTCGAAGGTGGGGGGGTCAATAACACCATACTTCAGCCACATAAATCAGACTTTCTCAATAGCCTGAAAAACCAGTTGTTCCTGCCATTGATTGCGCTGGTTCCAGAAACACCTCCAACAGCCCTGAAGGAAAGACAGCCATGAAACAGTCACCACTGCACGTGCCTTCTGCTGAGGCTGAGCTGGAATTGATTTTGTTTATTCCAAAATCAGGCTTGGAAAGTGAGAATTTGGTCTTCCAGGTGAAAACAGGCAGGCATCTTGGTTTTCTGCAGAACCTCCTATTTTTAAAATTGGGTTGCTCACAGGGGATGGATGCTTTGACCCGAACACACAATGTTTTTCAAAAACAGAGGCCATGCCTGCAGTGTTGCGCCCGCCCCTCCACATTTACCACCACACTCAGCCTCTTCCTAGCCGACCAGGGACGGGTGAGTTCCGGGAACTCTGCTGCTCATGAGTCACCCTCCAGGGGCCTGACAACTGCTCCTGGATCCTGATCAGTTTTCTTCAAGAGACTGGCTTTGGTGTTTAGGGCTCACGCTGCAATAGCTTGCAAAAATAAAACTTCTCTCCTTATTACGAGCAGAGTGAGCAAGCACATGAGAACACAAGAATCAAACCCTGCCCCTCTCCTCCTGCATAACAGGAAACATTCATTTCTGAGCCCCTAGGTCAGGCTATCATTTGGCAGCTCAACTATTTTAGCAAAGGCAAGTTTCTCATCACCTTTTCCCGGCAGGGCTGCTTAGCTGGGCACCTTGGGTTTGTGCCATGGTCCAGGGGCAGTCTGGACTTTCCTGGCCAGAGGACAAAGCTGGATTGGCCTAACACCACGAGAATTTTTCTAGCCTGCTTTGTGCTCTGCTGAGATCTCCAAAATATATTAACCGTGTAGATCCTTGGGCAGAAAATTCTCTGTTGAGCCACGCTACATGTACTTTCCTAGAACAGATCAAACTTCAGCAAAATTAAATCTGTGAGCTTTTCAGTATGATTAATCCCTAGGAGGTGGCCCTGCCAAGAATAGCCTTGTCTGGAAACGTGTGAGCCTTTTTGGCTCAACCGAGAATGAAGACCACGCTCACGCTTCCTGGGGCTCCTGTGGTCACTCTGCTAGCTCCACAGAGCAGTTTGGATGACCCCTTTACCTGCAATAAAACTCCACGTAACAGCCCGCTTGCCAAACAGAAACACACTGTCTGGATGGAATTGGAAGAAATAGATCTGCAGTGGGAGCTCCAGAGAGCTGGATTCCACGGACAAGCCTTTTTTTTTTTTGAGACAGAGACTCACTCTGTTACCCAGGCTGGAGCGCAGTAGCGTGATCTTGGCTCACAGCAACTTCTGTCTCCCAGGTTCAAGCAATTCTCCTGCCTCAGCCTCCCAAGTAGCTGGGATTATAGGCAATTACACCCAGCTAATTTTTGTTATGTTTAGTAGAGACGGGGTTTCTCCATGTTGGCCAGGCCGGTCTTGAACTCCTGGCCTCATCTGATCCACCCACCTCAGCCTCCCAAAGTGCTGGGATTACAGGCATGAGTCACTGTACCAGGCCCTGTCATTTTTCTCTGGACCTCTGTTTCCGCATCTGTAAACCCTAGGGGCACAAGCACAGCATCTCTCAAGTCCCTTGCAAGCTGGTGGATTTTCAATTCCAGCTCAAAAATATATTTAAAAGAATTTTTTTCAATGAATTGCCAACATTTCAAAGTCCAGATGGCTCTCATGAGAATTGGGAAGTTTTACATTAAGATTCCAATTTCTACATGATCTTGGGAAATTGGCAGATCTGGCCCCATGGGCTAGCATTCTCAACAGGAGGCAGGAACCAGGATGGGCCATGAGTTCCTGGGAAACAGAATGCATGGCCCAAGCCATTGCTCTCATTTTCATGATGGGCTGGCCCTGTGAGCCTCAAGTTTGAGGCTCCCATTCTGAGGTCCGGCTCCTCCCCACCCCTGCCCTTTAACATATTGCTTAAACTTTTTCACTTTTCATTTCAGCTGAACGCTCAAGAATGAACTATGAAATCAAAATTTTTTATTTAAAAAAAATAGTACCAAAAAATCTGTTAAGTGGAGATCCACCAACTTGGGGCCTATCCCCCAGCCTGCCTGCAATTCTGACACTGCTCATGCAAGGAACCTAGAGCTACTTCTAAAGTTCCCCGGACCCTCTGACCTCTATGGGCTGTCTCGCACAACCCGCCACCCCTTATCCCAGTCCCTCAGCCCCTCAGCCAAGAATCCATGTTTGGGACCCATGACAGTGAGGCTAGAGGCGGGTGGATCTCTGAGCGGGGTGGTAGCTACATCTGCATTTTATCAGCCTGCTGGACAGGCCAGGATGTGAAGGGTGGCTGCAGGCCTGCCAAGTTGCTGGAGGAGATTAAACAAAAAGTGAGCCACACTGCTGCGGGAAACAAATGAGAGTGCGTGGAGAAGACTCCCAGCACACCCAGTGTGTGTCTGTGTGATGGAATGCCAGGGTAAGAAGATGGGACCTTGTTCCACATCTCTTTAAAGGAACCACACAAGCCAAGAGACACAGGATGGAATCTCAGTTCTCAAACCAGCCCATCTCATTGGAGGTGGTAATAATAATCATGTTATGATTAATTAATAATAATAATAGTGAGCAGCAACACAGCATGACAGCTAACATTTAGTAAGCTCTTACTCTGTGCAAAGCATGGGTATTCTCGTCATACCCATTTTAAAGATGATGAAACAGAGGCACAGCAAGGCCATGAACTCAAACAAAGTCACACCGCAGCAAGTGGTGGAGCAGGAACTGGACCACAGGCAGCTGCCTTCTGAGCCCGGGCTTCTGACCTCAGGGCTTTCTCCTGTCTCTTTTTAACATGCAGGCGCCACAGCACACATACCTTAGATATTCAGAATTCAGGGACACACCTTGTCTTCTATACCCTCTTCCATTATTAAAAACCACAGTGGGCCGGGCGTGGTGGCTCACGCCTGTAATCCCAGCACTTTGGGAGGCCAAGGCGGGCAGATCACGAGGTCAGGAGATAGAGACCATCCTGGCTAACATGGTGAAACCCCATCTCTACTAAAAATACAAAAAAAATTAGCCGGGCGTGGTGGCGGGTGCCTGTAGTCCCAGCTACTTGGGAGGCTGAGGCAGGAGAATGGCGTGAACCCAGGAGGCAGAGCTTGCAGTGAGCCGAGATCGCACCACTGCACTCCAGCCTGGGTGACAGAACGAGACTCCATCTCAAAAAAAAAAAAAAAAAAACCCACAGTGGAATTTATTTACATGTGCACTCCTCTATATGTGACAACTATGTACATTGACATCTACATATACAGGTTATTTTACAGGGTTGTACATACAAAACTATGCATGGTTTGGAGGATTTATGCATTTTGAAGATTAATTTTGACTATCTATAACCTGTACCTGACATGCCAACTTTAGGTGTGTAAAACTCCACTGTTCACAGTCAAAGTGTCTGCCTCCTCAGAGCCCTGACTCCCAAGGAGCCCACCATGGAGAACCAAGGACCCCAGTGTTCATGGAAAGGCCTGAATCATGGGGAGACTAATCTTGAAAAATAGACTTGGGCTGTTTTACAAAATACACTTTACCCCAAGGAAGAGACATTTGGACCCTTGTTCATCGTCTGCTCACTCCTAATTTACACACACTCCACTAAGCTTAGAAAGAAAGATTAAAAGCAGCAAAATTTGAAGAAAGAAATGAGCCAAACACAAAAGGGTGTTAACAGGTGGCACAGGAATCTCCAGGAGGGAGACCAAAAGGAAATTGCAAAGCAGACCCAAAGTAGACTTTAGTATGAGGGGAAATGCTCCCGCCCGCTTCCATAGTTAGTGGGAGCACCCCTGCGTGTAGGAGCTATGATGAACATGCAACCGGCGAGGGAAAATCGGAGGGAAGGTGAAACTGGGACCGGAATGCAGCCTAATGAAGAAACAGAAGCACAGTTGATGAAAACAAAGACGTTTTTGGCACAAGGAGGCAAAGTTAAACCGCCTGGAACTTACAGGAACATGATGGTGCTAAGCACATGATCTAAAACAACGATTTCACCTTTTTTCTGCCCTAGCGGTGAACTCCCTAAAGATTTCCCACGGGGCACACTGATGACAGCAATCCAAGTTGGATAGAGTTGCTCTCAATCCCCACTGCCCACATTCAAATATATACGTCTCCTCTTTTGCCTTTCCACAGGACATATGGCAATGTCTGGAGATATTTTCTTTTGTTACAAGGGAGTGGGGTGAGGTGGGTGCTACTGGAATCTAGTGGGGAGAGGCCAGGGATGCTGCTGAACATCCTCCAATGCACAGGACAGCCCCCCACCTTCCCCCGCCACCCACAGCAAAGAATTCTCCAACCCAAGGATTCAATAGTGTCAAGGTTGAGAAATCCTAATCTAAACCAGAGCAAAGGCAGCAGGTATGGATTTGACACCAGAAAGAAAGGTGTCCTAATACTATCACTTATTTACCTGCTGTGTGACCTGAAACTTTGGTCTCCTCATCTGTACAAGGAGATAATCACTCCCAATCCCTTACAGCTATGCTGAGGATTCATGAGACCTGGCTTTTGAAAGTATTTTATCACTGCAGGCCTCACTCCATCTTCACTGCTTCCCAGTGCTCGCAGGGCCTCTGATTTGCACTATGAGGAAGGAAGAAGGTGGTGGTGAGGAGAAGCGGTGGGGTCTGGTTAGGTGGAAGAATGGTCAGCACTGACTGGCCCTGGGTCCTGGGTGGTCCTTGCTGAGGATTCAGACTCCCTCATAGGATACTCAAGAGGGACATGTGCCTTCTGAGGGAACTTGAGGGGCTGCTCCCAACGAGCTGTGCCAAGAAGACTGAGGTTGAGTATGAAATGGGGTCTACAGGAGATGGCCTCGTGACCTGCCTCAAAACCCAAGAGCCACTACCATTATTACAACAATGCAATCACAATAACAATATTAAGAATGGCCAACATTCATTCAGCACTTAAATCTGTACCTGGTCGTGAACTAAGCCCTCTTTTGTTATTGTTGTTGCTGTTGTTGTTGTTTTGAGACAGGGTCTCTCTCTGTTGCCCAGGGAATGCAGTGGTGTGCTCTTGGCTCACTGCAACCTCCACCTCCCGGGTTTAAGTGATTCTCTTGCCTCAGCCTCCGGAGCAGCTGGGATTACTGGTGCCCGCCATGACACCTAGCTAATTTTTGTATTTTTAGTAGCGACGGGGTTTCACAATGTTGGTCAAGTTGGTCTCGAACTGCTGACCTCAAGTGATCTTCCCACCTTGGCCTCCCAAAGTGCTGGGATTACAGGCGTGAGCCACTGCACGTGGCCACTCTTTGTAGTTTATCAATTTAATCCTCACAACTGACATAGAAGGTGGGTAGAATGATTATCACCATTTGACAAGTGAACTAAAGTCACTTACTCAAGGTCTCACAGTTCAGCCAGAACTAGGTTTTGCACCCAGGATTCTGATGCCATAGTGAGAGGTGACAGTGTGCTGGCAGCCGTTGCTCGCTCTTGGTGCCTCCTCAGCCTTGGCGCCCACTCTGGCCACACTTGAGGAGCCCTTCAGCCCACCGCTGCACTGTGGGAACCCATCTCTGGGCTGGCCGAGGTGAAGCTGGCTCCCTCTGCTTGCAGAGGGATGTGGAGGGAGAAGCATGGGCAGGAACCGGGGCTGCGCACGGGCTCGCAGGCCAGCGTGAATTCCGGGTGGGTGCGGGCTTGGCAGGCCCTGCACTCCTGCTGGCCCTGGGCAGTGAGGGGCTTAGCACCCGGGCCAGGCTGCGGAGGGTGCACCGGATCCCCCAGCACTGCCGGCCGGCCTGCCTGCGCCACACTCGAATTCTCGCTGGGCCTCAGCTGCCTCCCCGCTGGGCAGGGCTTGGGACCTCCAGCCCGCCATGCCTGAGCCCCCCGCCCTGGCGGTGGGCTCCTGTGTCGCCAGAGCCTCCCAGACAGGCACTGCCCCCTGCTCCATGGTGCCCATCCCATCGACGGCCCAAGGGCTGAGGAGTACAGGCATGCGGTGTGGGACTGGTAGGCAGCTCAGCCCCCGGCCCTGGCATGGGATCCACTAGGCGAAGCCAGCTGGGCTCCTGAGTCCAGTAGGGGCTTGGAGAACTTTTTATGTCTAGCTGGAGGATTGTATATGCACCAATCAGCACTTTGTGTCTAGCTTGGGGTTTGTGGATGCACCAATCAGCACTCTGTATCTAGCTAATCTGGTGGTGACTTGGAGAACTTTTATGTCTAGCTAGAGGATTGTAAATGCACCAATCAGCATTCTGTGTCTAGCTAAAGGTTTATAAATGCACCAATCAGTTCTCCGTGGCTAGCTAATCTGGTGGGGACTTGGAGAACTTTTGTGTCTAGCTGGAGGATTGTAAATGCACCAATCAGCACCCTGTGTCTAGCTCAAGGTTTGTAAATGCACCAATCAGTGCTCTGTGTCTAGCTAATCTAGTGGAGACTTGGAGAACTTTTGTGTCTAGCTAAAAGATTGTAAATGCACCAATCAGCACTTGGTGTCTAGCTCAGGGATTGTAAACATACCAATCAGCACCCTGTCAAAACGGACCAATCAGCTCTCTGTAAAATGGACCAATCAGCTCTCTGTAAAATGGACCAATCAGCAGGATGTGGGTGGGGCCAGATAAGGGAATAAAAGCAGGCTGCCGGAGCCAGCAGCGGCAACTCTTTGGGTCAATTTCCACTCTGGGGAAGTTTTGTTCCTCTGCTCTTTGCAATAAATCTTGCTGCTGCTCACTCTTTGGATCTGCACTGCCTTTATGAGCTGTAACACTCACCGCGAAGGTCTGGAGCTTCACTCTTAAAGCCAGCGAGACCACGAACCCGCCAGGAGGAACGAACAACTCCAGACGTGACCCCTTAAGAGCTGTAACACTCAGCGGGAAGGTTTGCAGCTTCACTCTTGAAGCCAGCAAGACCACGAACCCACCAGAAGGAAAAAACTCCAAACACGTCTGAATATCCGAAGGAACAAACTCCGGACACACCATCTTTAAGAACTGTAACACTCACTGTGAGGGTCCGCGGCTTCATTCTTGAAGTCAGTGAGATCAAGAACACACCGATTCTGGACACAATAGTGCACAGCCTTAACCACTACAGCACCTTCCTTCCAAACCACGCCCCTTCCATCACCACCCCTGTTCATCACAACCTGGACTCCCATATTCCAGAAGAAAGCAGGAAATCGAGCCAAATATGTGGTATAATTCTATTAAAATATTTACTGTGCATATGCGTACCAATGCAAGAAGGAAATTTCTCACAATACTCACTGATTAACAGTATTTAATGATCAGCAGAATTAGAAAACTATATTTCTTTATAGTTTTCTAAACTTTTCAGTTTTTTTACAATAAACAGATTAACAGTTAACATAGAAAGTAAAATTACAAAAGCAAATATTTATAAAGCTTGTTAACTTTTTTTTTTTTTTGAGACAGAGTCTCGCTGTGTCACCCAGGCTGGAGTGCAGTGGCGTGATGTCAGCTCACCACAAGCTCCACCTCCCAGGCTCAGGCCATTGTCCTGCCTCAGCCTCCTGAGTAGCTGGGACTACAGGCGCCCGCCACTGCACTTGGCTAATTTATTTTTTTGTATTTTTACTAGTCACGGGGTTTCACCGTGTTAGCCAGGATGGTCTCGATCTCCTGACCTCGTGATCCTCCCGCCTCGGCCTCCCAAAGTGCTGGGACTACAGGCGTGAGCCACTGTGCCCGGCCAAAGCTTGTTAACTTTTTTCATGTACTTTTTTTTTTTTTTTAGCAAAAGTCTGCCAACAACCTGAAATTATTAATTGTCTAAACCAGAGGTTGGCAGACTAGGGCCTGAGGGCCAAATCCAGCCGTCTGCCAGTTTACATAACGTTTTACTGGTATACAGCCACGCTCATTCACTTATGTAAATGACTAGGACTGCTTTTGGCTACAACTGAGTTAAGTAGCCACCTGCAGACACATGGTAACACTATACCCCGTTTCTAATCTGACCTAGAGATAAACTTCTTACTCTCCTACCTCTAAACCTTCCCTCACAACATGTCTCTACTTGTTTTGCTACAGCCCAAAATGGATATTCTAGGAAACCAATGAAACTGAAGCTTAGGGGCCCCTCACTTCACAGGACCCTCCTTAGAAAGGTGTATGTGCTCTTACAATTTTGTAAAATTCGGAAAGGGATATTTAAAAATTCTTTTTATTTTTTCTCTGTTGCCCAGGCTGGAGTGCAGTTGCAGGATCATGGCTCACTGTAACCTCAACATTCTGGGCTCAAGCTATCCTCCCGCCTCAGCCTCCTGGGTAGGTAGGACTGCAGGCGGACACCACCACGCCCTGCTAATTTTTTTTTTTTTTTTTTTTTAGTACAAACGAAGTCTAGTTATGTTGCCCAGGCTGGTCTCAAACGCCTGGGCTCAAGTGATCCTCTTGCCTCTGCCTCTTAAAGTGCTGGGATTATAGGCGTGAGCCACTGCACCTGGCCTTAAAATTCTTTTTCTTGAAAAGGTCCCCCAAATTATATAAGTTTCAGACCCTCAAAATGGATCTACCTGTATCTAAAGCCCTAGACACTTCGCCACCCTTGTTACATTTTCAAGACCACAGCATGTTCAGTGGTGAGACAAGTCTTGTTCCCACCAATTCCCAAGCAGCACTGGCAATGATGAACTCTTGGATCTCCAATCCCCAGATGGCCGAATCTTGCAGACAGAGACCACAGAGGCAGGGGTCCACCTGGGTGCGTCCTCATATCCAGCAGGAAGTTCACAGAGCAGACCATGCCCCTACAGGACCCTAGTGGCACTCACACCCACACAAGGAAAAGAACATGCACAACTATCACACAACTATCTTTCTGCCATTTGTGACCTCTACTGAAATCCACCTTCCAATCCAATTTATGTATTTCGTGATACAGAGCCTCAGACATCACAGCACATCCAAGTGGTAAGACGCAGGCAGGTGGACTGAAACTGCTTTCTAAAAGGTAATGCTGCTTGCAAGAATGACAAAAACGGCCAGGCGCAGTAATCCCAGCACTTTGGGAGGCCTCGGTGGGAGGATCATGAGGTCAGGGGTTCAATATCAGCCTGGTCAAGATAGTGAAACCCTGTCTCTACTAAAAATACAAAAAAAAAAAATTAGCTGGGCGTGATGGTGGGCGCCTATAATCTCAGCTACTCGGGAGGCTGAGGCAGAGAATTGCTTAAACCCGGGAGGCGGAGGATCCAGAGAGCTGAGATCGCACCACCGCACTCCAGCCTGGGCAACAGAGCGAAACTCCGTCTCAAAAAGAAAAAAGAATGACAAAAAGGAGATCAAATCACATAATGTCCATGCAAATGTTTTATTATTTTAAAGACTTCTCGAATGTGTGGAGAGTTTTTCAAAATAGCTACCGTTAGGATGGAAAATTTACATCAGCTGGTGCTAAGCACAGTTGTCAATCCAAATGCCCACCCACACCTCTGAGTTGGTGCACAGTGTCCTTCACTCTCTTGCTCTTGGTCCCCCCCAGGTCTATTCTTATATCCCCTTTTCCCTGGTGTGGGGGAGGGGTCTTCTTTGTGGAGTGCAGCTGGCGGTTATGATAAGCAGGTGTCAGGACTTTGAAAATGACCTTGCCCATCAGCTGGTGGGAACCAAGAAGACAAGGAAGTCACTGTGTCACTGTCTGCCGGGTCTCAGTCCCCGAAACAAGACACAGTGAGGCCTGGTGGGGGAGAGAGAGGAAAGCTTTCTCTCTGTCTCTCTCTCTCTCTCTCTCTCTCTCTCACACACACACACACACACACACACACACACACGAGTCACCAAACAAAAGGAAATGCACACAATGTCACCACTAAAGAGCAAAATAAAAACTCAAAGGTGAGGATTAAGTGTTTCCTAAACAGCAGAGGTAAACCAAGGAGACTGAGGCTTAGACAAATCCAGGGAAAGTCTGCATTCTATGCGTGGAGTTGGCAAATTCCATCAGGAGAGAGTCAGCAGAGGTTGGGGGAAGGGTAGGGATGTATATTCACCCAAGGCTGATTCCAGCGCCCAGAAAGCCAGGGCCATGTAAATGGCTGTTACTGTACCAGTCCCTGGAAAGGTTCCAATACCCAGGACATGCTCTGGGAAGAAAGAGAATGTCCACTAACCCAGTTTCTAATTAAATGTGGGTTAACTGGCACTGCTCCCTGCAGCTCAAGGGGCCAATTGAGAGCTAAAAGGAGCGTTTTTCAAAATAAAAAGGCCGAGCCCACCAAGCCAGCACTTTTTGTTTTCTCACATCCTTTCAGTTGCTCAACTTGACCCTCTGCTAGTTGGGTTGACTCCTTGGTCCTTGAAGAAACAAACCCTTCCCTGCCCCCACCAGCTCCACGTCTGCAAGGACAGAGATGCCCCCTTGGCACACGTTGGATTGAACTCTGTTCCTCCTTTCCCACGATGTCGTCACGGCTGCCCAAGGATGAGTCACTGTGAAAGCCACACATTGTCCCCAGTGGACAAAAGGCTGGACCCAGGAGAGTGGCCCATTCACGCTTCTCCAAGAGCTAACCAGCCTCTTTCTACAACATCCAAAGGATGCTGCCTGATGCTGGGAAATGGTTAGTCTTCTCTCCCAGCTCCCAGTGCTAACATGAATAGGAAGAGAAACGAGCTTGGAAAAAAACTTTCAGTGAAGTGCAAAGAGCACATGCAGTAGTTACGCTGTGAAAACCAAGGCAAAACTTCATTCAAGATGCTTAAAAGCCAGGTGCAGTGGCTCACGCTGTAATCCCAACACTTTGGGAGCCCAAGGCAGGTGGATCAGTTGAGGTCAGGAGTTTGAGACCAGCCTGGCCAACATGGTGAAACCCCATTTCTACTAAAAATAGAAAAATTAGCTGGGCGTGGTGGCATATGCCTGTAGTCCCAGCTACTCAGCAGGCTGAGGCAGGAGAATCACTTGAACCTGGGAGGCTGAGGCTGCAGTGAGCTGAGATGGCACCCCTGCACACCAGCCTGGGTGACAGAGCAAGGCTCTGTCACAAAAAAAAAAAAAAAAAAAACTTTAAAGGCCAAAAAGGAATATAGATCAATTTGTTAGTAATAATAATGTCACATTTTCTGCACATCAACTAAGGCACTGGGCTAAGGAAGGGTGTTGTTTGCATTATCTCATTTCATCCTCAGAACTACTCTATAAGGTAGGTCCTATAATTAGCCTCATTTTACATGCAAGGAAAGCAGAGCAAAGAGAGCTTAAGTAACTTCCAAAAGGTCACACATCTGGCCAGTGGTACAGTCAGGATTTGAACCAGAGCAGTCTGGCTCCAGAGCTGTGTTCTTAAATATACCATGCTATCATTAATTAATAAACTAATTTATAATGATTAAAGTTATGCTAAAGTGTTCACATTTGGGGGAGGTTGTGATGCTTTACGTTTATGTCGTGTCTCACCTTCCCCACACCAAAAAAGTCACAACCTGGCTTTTCCCATTTAAAGACAGTATCTGCCAGGTAGTGTGCTGAGCATGTGACATGTATCATCTCATTAATCCCCACAACCAATAATATGAGGTTGGTGCTAATATTATTCCTTTTACAGATGAAGACATCGAGCTTCAGGGAAGTTAACATCCTTGCCCAAGGTCATAAAACAAAGAAGGAATTTGAAGCCAAGAATGTCAGATTCCAGCATCTGTATTCTTTCCATTATATATGCCATCTCTCGCAGAATTTCAAGATTTTCCAGAAAAAAAAAAATTAACAGTATCATGAAATGAGGGATGAGAATGACCGAGTCCAATGTTAAGCCACCTGGATTCATTGGGTAGCAAGGACCACAGTGGGTAGCTGGCCCATAAACCAGGACCATCCTCCTGGCCTCCAGCCTACATCACTGGATGGGTGAACTGTGACAAATCACTTATCTCTCTAGACCTTGGTTTCTTTATTTATAAAAGAGGAACAAGAGAGCAAGGGGGACTTCCTGAGTCTCAGGTAGACCAGGGCACTCCCAGAGGGCTCTGTAGGTGGCCATTTCTCCTCCATGGATGGACGCTTCCCACCTCCCTTCCCGGCACAATTCTTCAGGATCAGGTTTCTTATTTTTTCCCTGGACCCAAGTGTGTGCACCCAGGTAGGCAATGGCAAGAAAGTCACAGTCTTTCTCAGCCTCGGTGTGTTCCTAGGGAGGAGATGAGGAGGGGAGGGAAAGAAAGGGGGCTCGAAAGGAGCTGGAATGGGGGCAGAGTGCTTGAACAAGTGCTACACCTGATCCCAGGAGGTGTAAACATATGCAGAAAAGCTTGTCCCTTAAGTTGGCATGTGTGTCAGATATATTTACACCTCAATCAAATTAAAATAAAAAATACTATTTGAAGAGATGCCACATCAGATCAGGCAAGATTTTGTCAAATTAAAACTTTGCTACTATAAAGGCTCTATATTAAGTATGTAACATCCCATCCAAGACACCTTTTTAAAGGCATCTACCTTCTAAGTTCATTATGAAAAGGGAACAATAAGGAATTGACAAGAAGGATTATTATATGTGGCTGAGAGGCTGGGGGTAAGGGTGAGCTTGGGGAAATCTTTTCTTTAATAATCAACCCTCAAGGTGCACGGATGATGCCTTAACTCTCTATTTCCATCTATTTTCATGATTGATTGATTTATGAACGAGACAGAGTTTCACTCTTGTTGCCCAGGCTGGAGTACAATGGTGCAATCTCGGCTCACTGCAAACTCCACCTCCCAGGTTCAAGTGATTCTCCTGCCTCAGCCTCCCAAGTAGCTGGGACTACAGGCGAGCGCCACCTCGCCCAGCTAATTTTGTATTTTTAGTAGAAACGGAGTTTCACCATGTTAGTCAGGCTGGTCTCAAACTCCTGACCTCAAGTGATCTACCTGCCTTGGCCTTCCCAAGGGCTGGGATTTCAGGTTTTCATGCCTAATTTAGTGGAGCAAATAAAGCCTGAAACTTCAGGTAGGGACTTAAAATCCTGATGCTGTCACTGATTTGCAGGGTCCTGGGGCTGAGTCAGGAATCATGGCTCCCTGCCACCTCCCCTCTCACTTGTGAAAAAGGACAGTGAAGACCACAAAGGGGATCGCTGGCCCAGATGGCATGAACATCTGGGGTGTCTGCCACCCAGCATCCAATTCCCTGTGTGTGGGTGACAGCACCTGGCCTTCCCATTGGGGGACCACCCCTCCCTCACTCTCCATCCATGGGTTCAGATGAGGCTGACTCCATCCTCCACCCCCGAGTTCCAGAGTTCCAGGAGAGAGCACGAAGCCCACGTTGTGAACAAATCTGAGTTCACTCGGGAAGCTCTGCTGGAACAAGTGGGAATAAGCTTTCACTCCATAGCTGGAGTCAAATGCCAGCCTGGAGTTGGTGGTATCACAGGGAGGAAACGTTCCTGAGAATGATTTCAACACAGAAGAAAGCAGAGCCAAGAGAAGGGCAGAGTGACAGCAAGGCCTAATCGACACTGAGCCCCTGGATCCCACCATGCCTGAGGCTATCTACTGTCGGACCTTCCATTCCTGTGGGCCATTACATTCCCTATGGAGCTTGATCCTGAATGAACTGCATTTCTGTCACTTGCAATAACATTTCCTAGCAGAACCACTGCATAGAATCCTAAGTCTCTTAGTTATAAGGGATACTGGTGGCTGTACACCCAGCAGCATTTTGCAGATAATAAGCATTCAATAAATGTAAGTTGGTCTAATGGATGAATGGTTTGTTCATTTCCTCTAGCTTCAATGCCTCAAACAGAAGGAAAGCTATCCTGTCAGTATTACTCTAAGCCACAGGATAAACCAAGTACATCTTCATGGAGTACTAATTTAAATGACAGAAAGTAGCTCCATGCTTGAAAAGCACAGCTGTAACCAAACATAGACACCTGTGGTTCACCCCAGGAATGAAAGGATGGGTCAACATTAGGAAATCTATCAATATAATTCATCTCATTACAGAGTCAAAAGAAAAAACAAAAACAGATGTCTCCTTAGATGCCAATCTTGTTGAATTCCAACATATATTCCTGATTGAAAAAAGAAACTTTTAACAAAACAAGAATGGAATGAAACTTCCTTAAGAGATATAAAGCTCAAACTGAAAGCCTGCATCACATCTCCTAGGGAAACATTAGCGCACTCCCACTGAAGTGGGTACAAAGCAAGAGGAACTCTACATACCACCGCTAGTTAACATTATTCAGGAAGCGGCCAGGCGCGGTGGCTCACACCTGTAATCCCAGCACTTTGGGAGGCCGAGGCAGGCAGATCATGAGGTCAGATTGAGACCATCTTGGCCAACATGGTGAAACCCCATCTCTACTAAAATACAAAAAATTAGCCAGGCATGGTGGTGCGTGCCTGTAACCCCAGCTACTTGGGAGGCTGAGGCAGGGGAATCACTTGAGCCCGGGAGGCAGAGGTTGCAGTGAGCTGAGATCATGCCACTGCACTCCAGCCTGGCGACAGAGGAAGACGCCATCTCAAAAAAAAAAAAAAAATTTATTCAGGAAGCATTTACCAATCCAATTAGAAGACAAAAAAAGTCATACTGACTAGAAAGGAAGGGAAAACAAAATTGTATTAATTTGCAGATGATACAATTATATGTCTGGAAAAATCCCTCCCTACAAAAATATAGTAATAATAAAATAAGATCTGCAAAACTATTAGAGCAAACAGGAAAACTAGATAATATTAATCAACATGAATAAAAGAAGTTGGCTGGACATGGTGGCTCAAGCCTGCAATCCCAGCGCTTTGAGAGGCTGAGACAGGAGGACTGCTTGAGTCCAGGAGTTCAAGATCAGCCTGGGTAACCCAATGAGACCTTGTTTCTACAAAAAAATTTTAAAAATTTAGCCGGGCACGGTGGCATGTGTCTGTAGTCCTAGCTACTCTAGAGGCTGAGTCAGGGGGATTGCTTGAGCTCAGGAGTTTGAGGCTGCAGTGAGCTATGATCACCTCACTGCACTCCAGCCTGGGTAACAGACACTGCCCTGTCCAGTCACCTGGGGAAGCCCAGGAGGTCCCTGTCTTTGCCAACAAAGGAAGAGAGGACCCATCTTTCAAGACATGACTCGCAATAGCAGGGCTGATCAGACTGATCCACACGTGTGACCATCTCATCACCCACATCTGTACTGATCTGAATGTCATTTTTGTCTCAAAAAAAAAAGTTATTAATCAATAGCTTTCCTATATACAAAAAAAAAGAAGCATGAATACATGCTGGTGATCCAGCTAACATAAATGATTATTCCAGAAAAACATTCCTTCTTGTGCTCTGCCACATTTCCTCTTCTCTACTTGTGTGAATGTTGGTGGCATGCTTGAAACTCACAGCTGTACCCAAACATAGACACTACCAACCAGGCACTTATTTTGCCTAGGCTCAACCATCTCTGTTGACTGGGAACCAATCTCCCGAGACTGCCCTGTCCAGTCACCTGGGGAAGCCTAGGAGGACCCTGTTTTTTGCCAACAAAGGAAGAGAGGACCTATCTTTCAAGACATGACTCGCAGTAGCAGGCTGATCAGGCTGATCCACACGTATGACCGTCTCATCACCCACATCTGTACTGACCTGAATGCCATTCTTTGTCCAAGCTAAGCCCCTGGGCCTTAGCACATGCTGTCCCTGATGCCTGCCATGATTTTCCTCAAGAAGGCTGCAGGGCTTGCTCTCTCAACATTCAGGTCTATGTTGAATGTTATTCTCTCAAAAAAGCTCTCCCTGTGTCTCTATGTAAAACTCCACCTGCTTATGCTCACCCTATCACATACTCTATCTTTCCTCACAGCATACACCACCAGCTAATGCCACTTCACACATCTGTTTATGGTCTGTCTCTCTCACCAGAAGGTAAGCTCCATCAGGGCAGGGACCACCACATCCGCTTCATTCACTGCAGTATCCCTATCCCAAACACAGTCCCAGATGCACAGAAGGGGCTCAACAGATGTTAGTTTTATAGGTGGATGGATGGATTTGTTCAGTCCCCAGATCCACTCTCAATTCTACCACCGAATATTTTTCATGAGTTCACCTCTCTCCATTGGTTATCCAAGCTATCCACTCACTTATTCTCAACAGGTATTTATGACCTCCATCATCTCTCTCCTGGATGGCTACAATACCCCCAGCTGGTTACTTAGCCCTGAGTTTTGCTTCCCTCCAAATCTTTTTCCCACTCTAGCCAGAGATCTTTTCTCAAAATGCAGATTTAATCAGATTTAAGAAGCCATTTAAAACACTTCAGTGGCCTCTTGGGACCCTTAGGACAGAGTCTAAGCTCTTTACTACCAAGGCCAAGAGGACCCAGTGTTCCCAGCCCAGAGGACTCCCAGGCCCCTGCCATATGACATGATCCAGTCTCACTGAGATGCTGTCTTTGCTTCCGGCACATCACATCTCTGTGGAGTCCGGACCTTGGCACACACTGCCCCTTCCACATGGTTTGCTCTTTACCTGGCTATCCCTCACAGATGCTTCCATTTTCTGTCTGCTACTTCCCACGGGGAATGTTAGGTCCACCCCAAAGGGACTACAGATCCTCACACTTCCCTGTCACATGCTCACTGCCCTGGGAATAGCTTGTTTAGGTCTGTGTGCTCCTGTACTATAAGATTCACAAGAGTCGGCCTGTGCCATTCACAGCACCCAGAACAACGCCCCCGGCACTGAGTAGACACTCGAGATAGACTTCCTTGACTTTAATTTAAATCATGCCTTCTCCAAATTGGCATGGGGTTGGTTTCTTTGTGTCACATCTGATGCTGCTTTGGGCACCCCAATGCACCCTTCATACTCCCTTGAGAAAACAGCAACACACAGGTACATGCTTACACTTGCATACACACAGCACTCGGGAACCCACCACTCCCCAAAGTGCCCATTCCACCATGACATTCTAACCTTGCAGAAATCTTCTTTCCTGCCTAATGTTATAAACAGAATATTGAAGCTTCCTACATCAAGAACACTCTACTCCAATTTGACCTGGATCTATCAAAAAGAAGGAAAGATATTAAAAAAAAAAAAAAAGTAGGGGGCTGCCTCTGAAATATCTCCCTTAGCCACCATACCTGGAAGGCCAATAGCAAACAGATTCAATTTTACTTGACAATCTTAAAAAAAAAAATCAGAGCTATACCTGTATATGGCTTATTTCTGTAATAAAACAAAAAAAAATCCACTTTGTGTAGGGTAAGAGCAATTTTGTTTTTTTCTTTTTTTGAGACGGAATCTCGCTCTGTCGCCCAGGCTGGAGTGCAGTGGTGCGATCTCGGCTCACTGCAAGCGCTGCCTCCCGGGTTCACGCCATTCTCCTGCCTCAGCCTCCCAAGTAGCTGGGACTACAGGCACCCGCCACCACACCCGGCTAATTTTTTGTATTTTTAGTAGAGACGGGGTTTCACCACGTCAGCCAGGATGGTCTCGATCTCCTGACCTCATGATCCGCCCGCCTCGGCCTCCCAAAGTGCTGGGATTACAGGCGTGAGCCACCGCGCCCGGCCAAGAGCAGTTTTTTATTACAAATGCTTATCCTTGTTAATAGTTGTTAGAATTATGGTCAATATAATATCTCAATCTGATCTAAAACAAAACAAATGCAGGCTAATGCCTTCACCAGCGTGTCAACTGAGCAACACCAGCATGGGTTATCCTGACGTTGGAGTGATGTCACCCACGAGGGCCTCTCACTGCAAATGCTGCACCTGGACTCCACCCTTGAGGCTTCACTTGAAGTTCATGGAACTGGAGGACCAAGGTAAATGGCACCGCAAAGACACACCTAGACAAACACAGAACGTGGATCTGACTCTTCAAAACGCTAGTGCCATGGAGGGCAAAAATAAAGGAGGGATCTGTTCTGGATCGAAGGAGACTAAAGAGATGAAATTATCAAATACAGTGCTTTAGCCAGGAATGGGCCGAGATGAGTAGGGAAAGGAAAAGGGGTTTCGGAGCAATGGAGGGACTCTGGATCCTGAAGAAGAGTTAGGAGACAGTATTAGTCATAAAACTTCAGAGCTGTGAAAAACCATCACCATCTTTACAATGACACAATGATCCACGATTTACCAAGGAATTTCATGTGACCTAGTCCCACCCGCTCACTTCAGAGATGAGGAAACTGCACTCAGAGGAGTGGCTAGACTCTAGCCCTAATGCAGTGGGTTGCTGAAGTTGGCACACACTGGGAAGAGTGATTGCACACATCTCAGTGACTCTGTGTTAGCATGTTGAAGTTGGCCATGGTGGGAGTATTTACAGAAGTAGGCAAATGCTACAAGTCTGAGCTTTTTCCCCTCAGAAACTCATTTGCCCTAACCCTTACCCTAACCCTGTCCTAAAGCCAGACGTGAACCTAGGCCTCCCTCCAGCCATTCAGGGCTCCTTTCCATCACCCTTGTTTTTGCTCCCTCTTGAGTCCTCTGCCCCTGAAAAACCTATGCCAGACTGCAAAGTCCTCCAGGGCACGGACTCTATTAGATTGTAATCAGGGCCCCTGCCTGTCCTACTCACCAATGTATCCATGAGCCCAGCACAGTGCCTGGCACACAGCCTCGATAGATACTCATCATTAGAGAAGACGATTCCTCCTACTTGGGCTCTGCACACAGGTGGGACAAAAGCCACCTTCAGCTCAAGCCCCAGAAGCACTCCTGGGGAAAGGCTTAACTCAAGTTCCCATGCTCTTTTCTCACCTAGGGAACAAAATTCTCAAGACTCCCCCCATTCACACCCTAGCAGAATACCCCAGACAAAACCAACACTTAAGATATCTCAATAACCTGTACCTTATGAGCCTAGTGAGCCCATAAGATACCTTAACAATGATGGAGGCAGGACGCAGTGGTTCACACCTATAATTCCAGCTCTTTAGGAGGCCAAGGCAGAAGGATCACTTGAGCTCAGGAGTTTGAGACCAGCCTGGACAACATAGTGAGAGTCCATCTATACAAAAAAATTTTTAAATTAGCCAGGTGTGGTGGTGCAAGCCTGTAGTCCCAGCTACTCAGGAGGCTGAGGTAGAAGGATCACTTGAGCCCAAGAGGTTGAGGCTGCAGTGATTCATGATCACACCACTGCACTCCAGCCTGGATGACAGAGCGAGACTCTGTCTCTTAAAATAAAAGAGGTTTGGATGCCTCCCACCCCACGCTTGCACAGCTCTCTAAGCCCAGTGCTTAACTCCTAGGGTTGAAAAAGTTGATTGCCCTCCAGAGAAAGCGTCACACTCTCACCTGGCAGGAATTTTCTATCAGATTTCCCAGGAGGGAGACCGACATGATGTACATGGTCTCCACCCAGTGAGGGTACCACATAAGGACAGTGGCTGTTTTAGGTGCCACCATCTACCCTACCTGGACAGGGCCGGGGGAGCATCCTCTTCACCAGATGAGTGTGGGCCAGAGGCAAAACCCCTCAGAGACATTCTTTTCCTGCCTGTTGTGCTACATGGTGCCACCTGAGTGCTGTGCCCATCAGAGGCCACCTGGTGTGTGTGTCTTTAAACACTTCTCGATTGTGCACTAGGTGCCAGACACTGCCAGGCCCTTAAGCCTTTATTGTCTCCTATCACTATATTCGTCTCCTCATCTAGACTGTAAGCTGCTTGAAGGCAAGGTCCATGTCTGACTGTAGCCCAGCATGCCCGAAAGAGTGATTAGTACATAGTAGGTACTCAAATAACTGCAGAATGCATTTTTTAATGTGATCACCCTATGTTAGAAATTGTCACAGAGAAGTAGAGGGCATGCATTCTGAGACCTCCTCCTTGACTCTGCAGTTGGTGGGAGAATGATTTTTGAACTGATAAGAGACTAATGCCACGTGCTAGACATTGGCCAGATGCCCAGTGACAGAGCTAAGCATTTCTTACCACACTGAATCCTTGCATAACTCTACAAACTAAGTACCACTGTTATCCACCTTTCACAGATGGGCAAACTGAGACTTGGGAAACTTCAACAACTGGGCCAGGGTACTCACTTCCTCCCCTAACACCCTCCTGGCAGTTCCCCTTGTCACTGGCGCCACCCTATGAGAAGGTGACTGCCTGGCATTAGGAACATGCTGATTGGCTCCCAATGCCCACCCTTCCACACCTCAGTGGACTGCCTGGGATGAAGCCCACTCCCACTCTTGGAGCAGCCACAGAAATTGCTCCCATTCTGCAGAGGGGCTCTGTGCTCTGGTCTGCAGGGAGCAAGTAGGAGGACCCAGACAGACAAGAACAGGTGGGGTGGTGAGAAGGCTGAGAGCTTTCTCTGGGAGCGTCAAAGGTGCAGGTTTAGGCTGGGCACACTGGCTCACACCTGTAATCCCAGCACTTTGGGAGGCTGAGGTGGGTGGATCACGTGAGGCCAGGAGTTCAAGATCAGCCTGGCCAACGTGGTGAAACCCTTTTTCTACTAAAAATACAAAAAAAAATTAGCCAGATGTGGTGACGCACACCTGTAATCCCAGCTACTCAGGAGGCTGAGGCAGGAGAATCGCTTGAACCTGGGAGGTGGAGGTTGCAGTGAGCCGAGATCACGCCATTGCACTCCAGCCTGGGCAACAGAGCGAGACTCTGTCTCAAAAAAAAAATCAAAGGTACAGGTTTAAGCCTAAGCCCTAGAATTACCTGTGACATTGGAGCAGGTACTTTAGAACCCTTTTTCCCTCATCATCACTGGCCATCAGAGAAATGCAAATCAAAACCACTATGAGATATCATCTCACATCAGTTAGAATGGCAATCATTAAAAAGTCAGGAAACAACAGGTGCTGGAGAGGATGTGGAGAAATAGGAACACTTTTACACTGTTGGTGGGACTGTAAACTAGTTCAACCATTGTGGAAGTCAGTGTGGCGATTCCTCAGGGATCTAGAACTAGAAATACCATTTGACCCAGCCAACCCGTTACTGGGTATATACCCAAAGGACTATAAATCATGCTGCTATAAAGACACATGCACACGTATGTTTATTGCAGCATTATTCACAATAGCAAAGACTTGGAACCAACCCAAATGTCCAACAATGATAGACTGGATTAAGAAAATGTGGCACATATACACCATGGAATACTATGCAGCCATAAAAAATGATGAGTTCATGTCCTTTGTAGGGACATGGATGAAATTGGAAACCATCATTCTCAGTAAACTATCGCAAGAACAAAAAACCAAACACCGCATATTCTCACTCATAGGTGGGAATTGAACAATGAGATCACATGGACACAGGAAGGGGAATATCACACTCTGGGGACTGTGGTGGGGTGGGGGGAGGGGGGAGGGATAGCATTGGGAGATATACCTAATGCTAGATGACAAGTTAGTGGGTGCAGCGCACCAGCATGGCACATGTATACATATGTAACTAACCTGCACAATGTGCACATGTACCCTAAAACTTAAAGTATAATAAAAAAAAAATAAATAAATAAATAAAAAAAAAAGAACCCTTTTTCCTCATCTGTAAAACGGGGTGAACAATATGTGTTGTTCACTGGGTTGCGACGATGTTTGGAGCCAATGTATATAAAAAGCCCCTCAGGAGGTGCCCCAAATAAGCAGGCATTATAATTTGCTGTGTAGAGGATTAGCCATGCTCACTGGAGACCAAGGAGCTTTTTTAGTGACTTTGCAGCAAATCTTCCAAGATGTTTTCCAATCCATGCCTTTGGCCATTACAAGGGCAGATAATGGTGAAGACACACACACACACACACACACACACACACACACACCTCCCAAAATAGGACCTGAGGTTGAGGGACCAGATCTGGGGCTTAACTCTTCCACTCATTGGCTACAGGACTGCAGCCAAGCCCTTCACCTCCATAAGCCTCAGTTCCTCATCTGTAAATAACATCTACTTGGGCCGGGCGTGGTGGCTCACGCCTGCAATCCCACTACTTTGGGAGGCCGAGGCAGGCAGATCACCTGAGGTCGGGAGTTTAAGACCAGCCTGACCAACATGGAGAAACCCCGTCTCTACTAAAAATACAAAATTAGCTGGTCGTGGTGGCACATGCCTGTAATCACAGCTACTCAGTAGGCTGAGGCAGGAGAATCACTTGAACCCAGGAGCGGAGGTTGCAGTGAGCAGAGATCATGCCACTACACTCCAGCTTGGACAACAAGAGCGAAACTCCGTCTCAAAAAAAAAAAAAATCTACTTACCTCATTGTCCTGATCACATAGTTGAAGGACTGGGTGAAGGCTCAAAGACCCAATCCAGCACATCCCTGGGGTGATCTCTACAGTAGCAGATGTAGGGAGCTGCCCTCCCTTAAGAGACCTCTGCATGCACAGTGACACTTTATAGGCTCTGATGAGGTCTGCAAAAAGGTCCCCATTTAACTGAGGTTAAGCCAGCACTGGCCAAACAAATTTGACAACAAACCCCACTTTTTCCTGCCATACCTAATCATGTAAGGAGGAAACCATATTCTAAGTAGCAGACTGTGGGAATGCTGATGGGATCTCCAAGAAGACACCTTAGAGAGATGTCGCCTTGCCCAGGGTCACAGAGCCCAAGGTCAGAGGAGTTTGCAAACCTCGGGCTCTTGCTCTCCCTTATGTTGGGTTTCTGGCTTCTCAAGGTCAGCAGCTAAACCTCTGGAGGGTGGGGGAAGCAGAGCAGGTCCCAAACAGCCTTTTGGACAGTGAACAAAGCTACTAAAAATCAGTGACCAAAACAGCCCTGGCCTAATGCCAAGATGGGAGCTGATAAGTGGATCAAGGAGAAGAGAGCAGCTAAGAGCAAGCAGCGAAACCACCACGTCTAATGGGGAGGGCTTCGAGCACTATACAAACCAGCCTAACCCTGCAGCATGAAAACTGCCTGCAGCGCTGGGGCAAATTGCAATTCTGGGTCAAGTCCTTCATGTTGCCATCTACAAATCACTCTGTCTTCTAGCCAATTCAGTCCACCAGAGCCACACACGGGGAGGGCCTGGGCCGGATGTCAGGCATCACTGCACCAGACAAGGCCCTTCCCTCCAGGAGAGTAAAGCCTAGCAGAACCGGCAAGGAGGAGGTGCTCAACACATACGGAAGAGGTGAGCAAGCCAGGGGAGATTTTTGTTTTGGAAAAAGAGACATATATGTATATAATCCGTGCCTGGAAGACTCTGCAGGGAATGCCTAATCCCTTGTTTGAGCATTTTCCCAAAGTGCTGAGGGCCACTGAGTAATGGGATGTTTGTTGACTGACTGACCAAATGAATGAATGAATAAATGACCTAAATTAAATCTTCCCATTTCTCCAGCATAAGTGAAGTCCTTACTATCCAACCATTTCACCACAGGTCCATTCATAGGAAGAATTTACAAGAAAGACAAGGACTTTTCCCCCTCAAAATTCTCTCCTTTGCACCTGAGGAAACTGTTCAGAAATTCTGCTTCTGTTGCCACACAGCTGAGGAAACTGAGGCATAGAAATGCACTATCTGTCTGCAGTCACTGATGACCACAGAAAACTGCACTCTCCAGGGTATTTATCTTCTAGAAATCCTATACTCTTGGGCCCCTAAAGTGTAAGTTGGCATCCAGAAATAGAAGCAGCAAGAAATTACTGCTCAGTCAATAAATGCTATGCAAATAGTCCTCCTCACAATAAAGTCATTTGGTTAAAAGACAAACTGCCCATAAATCACAGTAACAAAACTGCATCTCACAAACGGAAGCACGGCCTGTGGGCAGGGATTCCAGGGAGCCCCAGTCCTTGAGGAAGTGGGGTTGGCCCAGGCTGATCTGTGGTCCTTCCAGCTGGTCGGCTTTGTCTCAGCACCTCATCTCAAGGATCCTAGGTCCACCCTATCTTGTTACTCCACCCCTTTTACTCATTGGTCTAGAAATATTAGTAAGTACCTACTGTGTGCCAAGCACACAGTAATGAGGTAAACTGTGTAATAATGGTGAACACAAGAGGTGAGACGTAGCCCCATGAGGTTTGCAGTCCAATAGGTGAAAGAGACACTAAAAAGATAAATACATCTAAGATGAGAAATTGTGTTTACTGATTACCATTTCTGAAACATAAGTCTATCATTCTCCTGACAGAAAAGTCTTTCTAGGTTCTTCACTCTATATGCGACTAAAAATAAGCAAACAAAAACAAAAAATGCCGTCTTTACTGGGTACTGACTATATGCCAGGAGCTTTCCAATGATTAACTCAGAACATCCCCAATGACCCACTGTGGGAGATACTATTATTATCCCCACTGACCAGCATAGATTCATGGGTTTCCACTTAACCACCGCTCAGATGTGTGCAACTACCTCTCCCCCACAGATGCCAGACTCCAAATTCCCTAAGAATTCATATCTTACCCATCTTTTTGTCACTTGTGCATACAATAGTATTCAATCAATGCCCACCAAATGAACAATCAATTAATCGTTCAATGGGCTAGTTTTCTGCAAGATAGTACCCGCTGAATCAGTACTTTGGGAGGCTGAGGTGGATGGATCACGTGAGGCAGTTTTGGAAGAAGAAAGGATCAGTCTCCTAATAATTGCACAAGAGGTAGCTGTGATGCTGTGGAAAGAGCCAGAGCCAGACCCTGGAGATGTGGGAGCATGAACTTGGCAATCATTTCATCACTCTAGGTCTGTTTGCTTAAAACTGTAATGCAGAGTTAAACACAATGAATCTATGATTTCTTCTGGCTCTAAATTTTTATGTCTCTGAAATATATACTAAAAGATGGGGGCTGAGAAAGGCATTTGAAATTGCACTCTGTCTGCAATTTCTTGATCTTAGAATAAGACCTAAAGTCAAACATTTTAGGGTAGGTTGACTGATTAGGGGAGGGCAAGTGAAGTACTTCCTCTCCCTGCACAGCTCAGTTTATGCACTCCCCATAAGGAAGTATATGTAATCCCCATGACAAATATGCTCAACTTGTAAAACCCCTTTGCAGAGAAACATTTTGGATGGGCATGGGTGAGGCTGCCATCCCTAACGGTACCCAAGAACAGTGGTACTGGTGATATGCAGGAGCCCCTGTTCATATGCTGGACAGGGACAAAGCCATCACTTTCAACTCTGCTCTCCCCTGGAAATACCACAGATTCTGAATAACAACTGAGTGTGGTCAAAGCAACTGCAAACATGGGCGTGATGGCCCCAAAGCCATGCTCATTAAACAGAACTCAGCACTCAACAAATGTGGGTCTGTTTGTTACTCCAAGTGAGAGCACTGGGTAGAAACCAGGGATCCATGGTGAGCAAAGTTTTGCTGGTTTCCTTTTACTCTTTGGGTTGGTTTTGAATACGTTTCTGTCTGTTACCTAATGGCCACAAAATGGGGAGAAACAACACAACTTCCTACCTTAG
This sequence comes from Homo sapiens, assembly GCF_000001405.40. NCBI lineage: Eukaryota > Metazoa > Chordata > Mammalia > Primates > Hominidae > Homo > Homo sapiens. Next base: position 57,032,618 of record NC_000003.12, read on the forward strand.
AGGACCACTGTGAGAATTAAATGAGATAAACAGGCCAAGTGATCCACGCAGAGGCTGACATAGTAAATTCTCAAACTGTTGCCAATGCTGATGGCATCAGTGATGGTAGTGGTGGATATAAAAGTAGGGAAATCCAGCTGAGGGCTCTTTGAAGCCCCTAGGGTTAGAAGGAGAAGCAGATGATCCCGGGCTGGACTCTCCTGGGGGAGTATAAGTATACTCCTTGGATGCTTCTCAGAAGAGAAAACAACGTAGCAACCACTCCTGGGAAGGGCCAGGCTCCCCAGATGCCCTGGGGCCCTGGGACTCTGGATAGGTGGATGGGTCCCTGTGGGGACAGAGGCTTATGGCACCATCAGGAGATGAAGCTAGGCAACAGAGTCCTAAGAAGATGAACAACCTCAGAGTTCAGAGGAGGCAGAGGAAACTACAACCACAGAAAGACACAATCATTCACCCAAAAGACTAGCAAAATTAAAAAGCTAAAGATCTGAGGCATGGCAAGATGGTGAGCAAATAGGAGATCTGGTGCCCAGGTGATAAGCAGTGCCCTTTGGAGGATGAACTGGTGATGTTTCAGACCTTACAGGCATACACAGGATGACCCAGCAACTCTAATCCGCGGCAACCTCCCTAGAGAATTCTTGCCCATGTGCTCAGGTGGAACATACCAGAAAGCACATCACAGCACTACCATAAGGGCAACAAACAGAACAAAGCTAACCACCACCATCAGGGAAATGGCCCAATAAACAGCTGGATCCTCGTACTGTGGATATACTATTCACTTGGCTGCAGTAAAAAAAAAAAAAAAATGTAGATTCACATATGTCTTGAAAACATTTTAGGACATATTATTGAATTTATAAAAGGGCTACAAAATAGGCTAACAAGCATAGTATAACAGTACATATTTAAAAACAGAAAGAAAAAAAGGAAGAAAGGAAAGAGTGACTTTTGTTCTACGTATCTAGATAACTAACAAAGTTATGGAAGAAAATGTACAAGGTAGATCCCAGTGGTTACTTCTGGGAAGGGCAGGGATGAGGTAGGAGCTGGGAATGAAAATGGGAGTCAATGGGGATTTCATTTGTATTTTTAACAAGGAAAATCTATTTATTTATTTATAAATAAAATTAATTTTAGGCTGGGCGCGGTGGCTCATGCCTGTAATCCCAGCACTTTGGGAGGCTGAGGTAGGTAGATCACCTGAGGTCAAGAGTTCGAAACCAGCCTGGCCAACATAGTGAAACTTCATCTCTACTAAAAATACAAAAATTAGCCATGTGTGGTGGCGGACACCTGTAATCCCAGCTACTCAGGAGGCTGAGGCAGGAGAATCGTTTGAACCCAGGAGGTGGAGGTTGCAGTGAGCTGAGATTGCACCATTGCACTCTAGCCTGGGCAACAGAGCAAAAACTCTGTCTCAAAGAAAAGTAAATAAATAAATTAAATTAAATTAATTTTAATTATTGACATTACACTAAAAGTTTTTAATTATCTAATGTACTTATTTATTTTAGAGATGGGAGTCTTGCTGTGTTGCCCAGGCTGGAGTGCAGTGGCTATTCACAAGTGCAATTGTAGTGCACTTCAGCCTTAAACTCCTAGGCTGAGGCAATCCTCTTGCCTCAGCCTCCTGAGGAGCTGGGATTACAGGCACACACTACCACAAATGGCTTAAAAAAAAAAAAGGCATAAGAAAGAGGAAGAAATGGTGAGTCAAAGAGAAGACGGAGCTGCCAAGAGCTCAGGGTCTGCCTTTGCCTCCTCTTGGGGGACTGGCCACTCACAAATGCTGGCACAACACATCCAAGCATGGGGCATAGTGTTTTGGAATGAATGTCCATAGTTTGGAATAAAATATTTAATTCTATATCACATTGGTCCTACTTATACCAACTCTTCCTTCTAAGTCTTAGAAAAATCCCATCATACTGAATGGCATTCCTCCTCTGGCAGAGACGTGAAAGAAACATCTCTAGTAAGAAATTAGAGATGTGGAAGAAAATATGTGAAATTTTGCTAACTCCAAATTCTTTTTTTTTTTTTTTTTTTTGACAAGGTCTCACTCTGTCACCCAGGCTAGAGTATAATGGTGTGATCATGGCTCACTGCAACCTCAACCAGCTGGACTCAAACAATCCTCCCGCCTCAGCCTCCCAAGTAGCTGGGACTACAGGCACACATCACCATGCCTGGCTAATTTTTTTTTATTTTTAGTAGAGATGAGGTCTCACTATGTTACCCAGGCTGGTCTCGAACTCCTGGACTCAAGTGATCCTCTCTCACCTCAGCCTTGCAAAGTGCTGGGGTTACAGGCATGAGACACCATGCCTAGCACTATCTCCAAATTCTTGATGGCCTCTACTGACTTATGTAGGCTTAAAGGAAGCCCTCCATTTCATTTAATTGTTGCATACAGGAATTTTAAAATTTTTAATTATTTAGGTTATTTGATTATTTTTACCTTTCCTTGTTTTCTTCCATTCCTCTACAGCTGCATTGATTCATTGCTGTGGAACTGTCCATAGACTCAGTATGGCAGGCTCAGGTCTCCTTTTTTAAAAAGCAAAACAACCAACATTTATCATCTAGGTACATTTATGTTATAAACACACAAAGAGCTGCATTAAATACAAGGGGAATATATCAAGGGTTACCCAGTGTCCACCAAAATCCAATATTTCCTTCTTCCATAATTATTCAAGTTTTATCAGGTACAACATTTTCTTTTCTTTTCTTTTTTTGAGACAGAGTCTCGCTCTGTCACCCATGCTGCAGTGCAGTGGCACAATCTCAGCTCACTGCAACTTCTGCCTCCCAGGGTCACACCACTCCTTTGCTCAGCCTCCCGAGTAGCTGAGTTTACAGGCACACGCCACCACACCCGGCTAATTTTTGTATTTTTAGTAAAGACAGGGTTAGACCATGTTGGCTAGGCTGGTCTTAAACTCCTGACCTCAGGTGAGCCGCCCACCTCAACCTCCCAAAGTGCTGGGATTACAGGCGTAAGCCACTGCGCTCCGCCAGGTACCACATTTTCCAAGCATCCCTGCAGGGAGATATAGCCAAATATCTGGGTTCCCAGTGGAACGTGAGAAGAAGTGATGTGTGCCACTTCTCGGTCTAGGTCTTAGGATATGAGCAACCTTCCCACGGGCTGGAACCCAGCTCTGCCCATGCAGATGATGACAATGCACTTGGAATGACAAAGCAACAAGGTAGAAACCACCTGGGCCTGTGATTGCATCTAGCACAGCCACCCCTGTCACCTTAGAATTACTACCTTACAGAGAAATTTCTTTGTTCTTTAAGTCATTGTTTTATAGGCCCTGGTTTTATGGGTTGTGAACTGTCATCCCAGCTGGGAATATGATTACATGTCCTCACTGGGGCCCTTCTGCAGGTGGGTTTGGTTATTTGGAGCTTGGTACACACTATGTATGTAGAGACAGGTGAGGCCAAACTCTTTTTGGACACAATTTCAGTGAAACTACATGCAACTTCCTGAGGGCCTGGTGCATAGTAAGTACTCAATCAGTACTTAATGAGTGAGGGGATGTTAATAAGCAGGTAATATCTTCCAGTGCGAAGACTCTCAAGAGCAGAGCACTGGGCACAGAATGAAGAATACAGAGGGCATCTCCAAGTATGAGCTGTGAGTTTCATGTCACAAAATGACCACCTGGACTGGTAAAATACCATTCGGGTGCATGACGCCCAAGTTTAGGTAAGGATTCAAGCAGGTGTGCTTAGGAGCAACAGAGGCAAAGAGAAAGACAAGGGAGAGAGACAGAGACAGTGTGCACAGGAGAAGAATATTCCAGTGGCGTGGAGGATTCCTCCCACTATTTCGCTTCCTGAACATTTGCCCCAGGATGAGTCTGAGCCATAACTCTGGGATCCTTCTTCAGTCTCAGGCATTGCATTCCTCACCACTCTGGGTGTGGTTGAGGATCAAAAGATAGATTTTCTTTGTACCACATGGCCCCAAACACAAACCTGCTGCTTCATCTAGTGTCAACCAAAGAAACAGCCATCAGTTTCAACTGTAGAACTGGCTGTGCAGATCATACTGAGGGATAGTGTATTGGTCTCCAGCCTGTCATCGTCCAGGCACAGGGGGTGAGGGTAATTTGGACCACCCATGTTCTTCTAAGCTAGTGCTGGCTGAATGGTCCAGCACCGTTGCATCCACTACTTTGATTACTGAGAATCACAGGCCTGCTTGGCCATATCTCCAGCACAGCCTCCTCCATCTGCCCTACCACAGGCCTGGCCAGATTAAAGCACCATTTAGATAAATTCTCCAATCTAGGTGAGCAGGACCTACAGGATACCTGGGACCCTTGTACCCCAAGGCGTTAGACAGTCAGTTTAGGGGAGAGTCCCCAGCCACTGCCTCCAGTGCCGGTCTTTAACTTGCAAAAAGCACACCATGAAATATTTTTAGCATCTGGATCCCTGTCAGGGGCCACTGCTCTGGCTTCCATCAGAGCTAACTTCATCAGCTGAGACATGTGCATTATGGAGGGGCCCAGGCTAGGGCGAGAGTGAAAATGTGGATCCCAGAAGAAGAAAAGATGGAAGGGTGGTGGGACTTGAGTTCAGAGTCCCGGAGTTGCCACTGCATCCACAAAGGGTATGAAGAGGAATTGAGTAGCCCATACCTGGGTCACTTCTGCAGCTGTGAACACCTCAACCTACCTCATTTCGGCCTAGAAACCAAGGTTGCTCAGTGTCCCAAGCTCCTCTGCAGCATGTAACTGCTGCAAGGGACTTTACACCCACATTCCAAAATGATGCCAACCACAGGACTCTCCTCAAAGCCACATTTCCCAAGCAGCCATGAGGGATCAGGGCCTGCCTTTGAGGGGCCACTGGCTAGTTCTAGGTCAGAGCTTTAGGCTTTTCCTTTCCCATATTGGCAAAAATATTCTGTAGACAGGCACCAATAAACCATCACCCTTTAGGCTGGGCGCAGTGGCTCACGCCTGTAATCCCAGCACTTTGGGAGGCCGAGGCAGGCGGATCACGAGGTCAGGAGATCGAGACCATCCTGGCTAACACGGTGAAAACCCGTCTCTATTAAAAACACAAAAAAATTAGCCAGGCTTGGTGGCGGGCACCTATATTCCCAGCTACTCGGGAGGCTGAGGCAGGAGAATGGTGTGAACCCGGGAGGCGGAGCTTGCAGTGAGCCAAGATTGTGCCACTGCACTCCAGCCTGGGCGACAGAGCAAGACTCCGTCTCAAAAAACAAAACAAAACAAAACAAAACAAAACCCATCACCCTTCAGCCTGTGGCTAGGGGCAGGGACTGGGGGCATCGATCTCTGTGCTCTAGCACTGAAGGATGCCCGAGGGCCTGACACGGACATTGACATGGATTGTTGCATCAAATTCTCACACCAGCCCTAGGAGGCAGGGACTGTTACCATCTCACATGAAGAATCAGAAAACTGGGCACAAAGAAGTTAAGACTTGGCAAAGGCCACACAGGTAGCAAATAATAAAGCTGAGACTGGAACCCCAGGCATTTGGCCTGGGAGTCTGTGTTTCTCCCGACTGTGGCATGACATGCACAGGAAAGCTCGGTGGTGGCTGAATGAATGAACAAATGAATGAATAAACAAAAAATTTCAAAAGCCATTTCAGGAATCGGGTAAGGAATAGTGTCTCAATGAGGCCCCGGGGGTTGTTGGGTTGATCGTGAGCTTAACCTCATCTGCCCTGGATGTCAACCAAGAGGTGATACTCTCGGATCCCTCTCAAGGTTGAGTGTTCAGCCCCAGGAACACTCTAAACCTAGGGGTTTCATACCATTGTTTTGTTTGTTTTTAAGGCAGAGTCTTGCTGTTGCCCAGGCTGGAGTGCAGTGATGTAATCATAGTTCACTACAGCCTCAAACTCCTGGGCTCAAGTGATCCTCCTGCCTTAGCCTCCCATGTTAGCTGGAACTACAGGTGCACATTACCACACCTGGCTCATTTTTTTAATTTTTTGTAGAGATGGGGTCTTGCTATGTTGCCCAGGCTGGTCTCTAATTCCTGGCCTCAAGCAATTCTTGCACCTCAGCCTACCAAAGAGGTGGGATTACAGGCGTCAGCCATCGCCTCAGACCTATACCATTGTTGGTAATGACCACAGCCACTGCTGACTCAGTGCCTCCTATTTATAGGTGGTAAGTTCAGGGCTCTCACACAGAGGCTCCTCTCATCTGCCAGGGCCCTGCAGAAAAGCCAGGATCATACCCATTTTGCAGATGGCAAAACCAGAGATCTGACAGGCTGTGACTTGCTTATAGTCGCAGCACTTAAATGAGGGCTGATGAACAGCATGGGCTTTTTCCCCACCACATAATACCCACCACATCCCTTGGTTAGTCACAAAGTTACAAAGATGAGATAAGCGCTGTTCTGACTCTTCAGATGGAAAGTTTCGTGTTAATCTAAAGTTCATCAGTATTTCCCATCCCAGTCACCTGCATGGAAGAGGAATTCCATTTCTCCCCAGCTAAAAACTCTGGCACCACCACTCCCTCGTTCCTCTCCTCAGCTGGCAGGATCAGCACCCATTGGTATTTGCTGATACCTCCTGCATCAACCTCCTGCAAAGCACAACTGCGTCCATTGGACAGAAGGTCCTGCTAATTCTTCATTTAAAAATTTCCCAGGAAGCACCAAGTGTTGGTGAGAATGTGAAGCAACCAGCACTCTCATATACTGCTGTTGCTGGGAACATAAATTGGTCCCACCATCTTGGAAGACCGTGACAATGTCGAGTCAACCTGCATTTGCTCCTAGGTACGCACGTGCACCAAGAGACATATTCTAGAATGTCCTCAGTAGCACCATGCACAACTCCCCTACATTTGTCTTTCATTGCTGCTGTAATCAATTACCACACGCTTAGTGACTTAAAACAGCACAAATGTATCTCCTCTCATAGCAATGTAGGTCAGAAATGGGTCTACATGGCCTTGCAGGGCAGCATTCCTCCTGGACGTTCTAGAGGAGACTCTGTTCTCCTGCCTTTTCCAGCTTCTAAAGGTCACTTTGCATTCCTCGGCTTGTGGCTCCTCCTCTTGTTTTCATTGCCAGCAATGGTATCTTCAAATCTCTGTCTTCTCTTTCCTCTGCTTTAATCACTACATCTCATTCTCTGAACCAGACCCTCCTATAGGAATCCTTGTGACTACACTGGCCCCTCAAGGATGATCTCCCCATGCCAAGATCCTTAAAGTCATCACATCTGCAAAGTCCCTTTTTCCATGTAAGGTAACACAGTCCCAGGTATTACTGGTGAATGGCACCCGTGACCAGGGATTAGGTCAGAAACATCTTTTGGGAGGGCCATTATGTGACCTACCACAAACTCAAACTGGAAGCTACCCAAATGCTTATCAACAATAGAATGAATGAAATCAATGGTGGTGATTCCCAGCAATGAGAATGGATGACCTACAACCACATGCGGCAACAAGAAAGACACTCAGAAAACAATGCTGAGCTAAAGATGCCAAACACAAGAGTGTGTGCTATCCAAGTCTGTCTACAGAAAGTACCACAACAGGGCCAGGCACAGTGGCTTATGCCTGTAATCCCAGCACTTTTGGAGGCCAAGGCGGGTGGATCACGAGGTCAGGACATTGAGACCAACCTGGCTAACATGGTGAAACCCCATCTCTACTAAAAATACAAAAAATTAGCCAGCCGTGGTGGCACGCACCTGTAGTCCCAGCTACTCTGGAGGCTGAGGCAGGAGAATCACTTGAACCCAGGAGATGGAGGTTGCAGTGAGCTGAGATCACGCCACTGCACTCCAGCCTGGGCGACAGAATAAGACTCCGTCAAAAGAAAAGAAAAGAAAAGAAAAGAAAATACCAAAACAGGTAAAACCATCCCAGGCTATTAGGAGTTAGGATAGCGGTTCTAGTGGGGGAGTGGTGGCTGGAAGAGGAATGATGGGGCTTCTGGGGTGCTGGCAAAGTTCTGTTTCTTAATACAGGTATGATCCATTTGTGAAAACCATCAAGTGATACAGTTATGACCGGTGCCCTTCTCTGTGGGTATGCTGTGCTTCAATAAGATGCTTTAATAAATGGCTCTGCCTGCTTCATCCCATTTCCACTCCACAGGCCTGTGTCCTTTCACCTCTGAATGAAGCAGACCCCAGCTGACCTCCTCAACACCCACACCACCCTGCCAACCGCTGCCCACCAGACTGACCTGGAACTGATCAGCTACTGACAGTGCCCTGCTGCTGCACAGTGCCCTCCTCTGTGAAGGAGTACCTTCACTCCTTTACCTGCCTCTCACATACAGTGACCCCATCTATAACCCCATCTCCTCTCAGGCACTCCCCACTCCCCACCAACTTCTGTAAAACTTGAAATAAAAACCACATCATTTGGACTTCATTATGACTGTCATATACTGATTGCTAATAGGACCAAACACCTACTCTTATCTCCCCAAACAAACTGCAAGTGTCTCAAAAGCAGAACATCTCAAGGTCTTGCACATTCCATTCTGTTCCTAGTTCTGATTGTATGTGAACTTCCAGTGCTAATTAATAATAACTCCTACTAATAGCAACAGCCTTTACTGAGCACCTCATATGCACCAGACTCAGTGCTCCTCGTGCATTATCTCACTTCCTCTTCTCCCACCCTATGAAGCGGGCACTATCACAATCCCTCTATTGAATAGTAGGAAACTGAGGCACAGAATGGTGAATTAACTTGTTCAAGATCCCAAAGTGTATCATGGTAGGGGAGGGATTTGAACACACACCATCTGATTCCAGAGCCCATGCTCTTAAGCCAGACCCCACTCTGCTTCCATAACAACCCCACCCTAATGGGGTGTTAGGCATACAGTTGGTGCTTAACAAACACTTTCACATACTTAATTACCAAAATATATATATACTAAGAAAAAAAGTACACAAACAACAAAATCAAGACTCCACCAAATAAGATCTTTTCATCTTCAGATCTCAAAAGAGGGCATGCCCTCCAGGGAAATTTACAAAAGCTCCGTGTACTCCTTGCTCTGCCTCATGCTTGGCACTCACAGCTTTATAAACTTTTATCAGCAAACAACAGTCAGAGTTGTCCTCCAGGCTTTTATCTGAGCAGGGAGAGAGCGGGATACATTTTTTCTTGCTGTCTGCCAATCTCAGGGCCAGAGCCAACATCAGAACTAAAGGATGGTTGGATGGCTCAGGCTGGGACCACAAGGTCCCAAGCCACCCGCTCCAGATGACCTCACCTCCCCAGTGGCCAAGAAACATGACCCAGAGCCCTTGGCTAAAAACGAGGCCACCACCCCCGAGGGCTGATGTGGCCACTAAACTGAACCAGAGATAATGACATGAGCAGCCGAGACATTAGGTCAGTTACCAAACAGTGCTCTGGTCAGTGTGGACACAGCAGCGCACCTGGGCCAGCTTAGCATTGTTTCCAAGCATCCACTATCACCCTGAGTCCACCCACGCATGGTCTTGAAGCATCTACATGGATACAAATGAAAAGTTCCTATGCCCCAGGAGGATGGGGACTACTATGAGGAGACATACCCTATGAAAAACAACCAAACTGTCCATCGATAAGGCACTGGAGAAATAATGACTGATTGGTGTAGAATATGCAACAGCTAAAACAACAAAGCAGATCTAGATGCACTAGCATGGGAAACACAGCTCAACTCAACATTAGAGGGGAAAAAAGCAAGAACAGAACCTAAAGTATAATGATGTTTCTAGCAAAAGAAAAACCCCACATACTTCAAGACTCCAGCTATATGAAGCAGTGGTGGATGAGAGCCAGCACATACTAGTTTGAGAAAGTCAATGGTGCACATCTCTTTCCAACTCTGTTCAGTCATGTCGGGGTTTGTTGGCCATGGTGGGAGTTTTACACCATGGAAATCAGAAAATGCGGCAAATCATGGCTCCCCGCTCTCCAACCTGTCCCCAAGAGCTGACTGTTAAACATGTCCCAGCATAACACTGTATGTACATAAATATATATATATATATATATATATATATATATATATATATATATATATATTTTTTTTTTTTTTTAGACGGAGTCTCGCTCTGTCGCCCAGACTGGAGTACAGTGGCGTGATCTCAGCTCACTGCAAGCTCTGCCTCCTGGGTTCAGGCCATTCTCCTGCCTCAGCCTCCCAAGTACCTGGGACTACAGGCGCCCGCCACCATGCTCAGCTAGTTTTTTTGTATTTTCAGTACAGACGAGGTTTCACCATGTTAGCCAGGATGGTCTTGATCTCCTGACCTCGTGATCTGCCCTCCTCAGCCTCCCAAAGTGCTGGGATTACAGGCATGAGCCACCGCGCCCAGCCCATAAATATATTTTTTAAAGTTTAGAAAACACAACCTCAAAGTTATTTTTAAGTGGCTGTGTCTGAAGTGGGATATGGGACGGCTGGAAGCTAAGACAGGCTTCAGTTATATCTGTACCACTAACATTTTTTTTTTTAAGACCAAGTCTCTCTCTGTTGCCCAGGCTAGAGTGCAGTGGCGCGATCTCAGCTCACTTACAACCTCCACCTCCTGTGTTCAAGCGATTCTCCTGCCTCAGCCTCCTGAGTAGCTGGGATTACAGGCATGTGCCACCATGCCCGGCTAATTTTTGTATTTTTAGTAGAGATGGGGTTTCACCACGTTGATTAGGCTGGTCTCGAACTCCTGACCTCGTGATCCTCCTGCCTTGGCCTCCCAAAGTGCTGGGATTACAGGCATGAGCCACAGCGCCTGGCTGCCACTAGCATTTTACAACACCAACACCAACAAAAATGTTTATATATGTTAGTATTACTAAAATTGTTTCAAAGTTAAAAAAAAAAAAAAAACCCTGAGCATTACAGTATAATGTAACAAAGCTGTAATGATGGGATATACAGTTGTAAGAGGAAGAGCATCAAGTCAGCCTGAGCATATCATGGAAGGCTTCTCAGAGGAGGTGATGACTGGGCTGAGTTTTGAAGGGTGAATAAGAGCCTACCAGGTCAACAAGCCAGGGCTTCTCTGGATAAAGAACACAGCATAAGTAATTAACAAGGAGGAAAAAGAGATTACAAGAGTGAGGAGGAGGGTGACAGAAAGTATAAGGAGGGCTGGGGCAGTGCAGTGTGTCATCACAGCAGGTTGTGCACCCTTGCATGACATGAGATCATCCATGTCCAGTGTTTAGCCAAGAAGATGTACTCAATGGTTAGTGTTAACTATTTATATTTGCATTTCTACTCCATCATCCCTGGACGCCAAACACTATGGAGGTTATGGGAGATTGCTGGGGCAAGAATTTGGAAGTGAGGTCCCATGACCATCCTCTGAGAGACATTTTGTCAGCTCCACCACTCACATCACCCCCTTGGATTTTCCCAGAGTGCTCTGAAGATGGGCTCTGGTGCCTCCTTAGTGCCCCTGCCACACTCCTCCTTCACCCAATCACACCAATGTGTGCACATGTGTCTCCCCAACTGCACCAGGCTGTGTGGCACCCTGAGCACACAGACAAATGCAATACTTGTTGAACAAATGAACACATTCAGTGAACTGTGTACTCTTCCACTCTAATGAAAGATGATACAAACCTGCTGTGGAATCAGGACACCCGCGCCATGGAGGCATCACCACCAGCTGAAGCAATAAAGTGGTCCACTTGGGGGGGTTGGCCATTCGAGAATCACAGGAAAAGAAGGCATCAAGAGGCAAAGCTGCACAGTACCCAGCCGAGTCCGTAAGTCACTATCCCTCAAAGGAAGATGCATGCTGGGGACACAAGGACTTGTATTTCTAAACACAGTGTCAAGATACCCCAGTGATGAAATGGATGCAACAGGCTAATGACAGCATCGTACTTGCTCCAACAAGTATTTTGAACTCCACTCCCACCAGGCAGCCTACAGGTTTGGTGCTTGCTGCCCCTGTGGCTTAATTACATGGATAGACTGAGTACCAGTTCCAGTTTTCACTGCTTATGTACAAGCTGGTACTGTGGGCATGGTCTCCATCACATGTTCATTTGGGGAGGTTTGGGGAGAAGGTTAGTCAGTCCTCAAGGTCATATCACAAGTCTCTAGTCTTCCCAGTTGAAAATCAGATCCCAGATCCCAGGATACGAGGCTTGGTGGGGATACCACAAGCGGTCAACCCCTGCCTGGTTCCAGGATGCCTGTCTTTAGGCCAAAAGGTATTCCAATTTCAACCAGGGCATCTCATCTTTTATTATGATTTATATGCTAGGGTTCTTGGAGGAGTTCTCATACTGTCAAATGGTTCCAATGGAACAAAAAAGTTTTAAAACCTTGCTTTACATAAAACTATTGGCCGGACGTGGTGGCTCACACCTGTAATCCGAGCACTCTGGGAAGCCGAGGCAGATGGATCACCTGAACTCAGGAGTTCAAGACCAGCCTGGCCAACAGGGTGAAACCTCATCTCTACTAAAAATACAAAAATTAGCTGGGCGTGGTGGCGGGCACCTGTAATCCCAGCTACTGGGGAGGCTGAGGCAGGAGAATCGCTTGAACCTAGGAGACGGAGGTTAAAGTGGGCTGAGATCGCACCATTGCACTCCAGCCTGGGTGATAAGAGCGAAACTCTGTCTCAAAACAAAAAACAAAAAACAAACTACTACTGTCAGCCTGTCTCTCTCTGGGTCTCTTCAGTAATGCCTTTCATGGACACTCAGTATGTTTTTGTTGATGGACAGAGAGCATGCTTATGGATTCATGGAGGACCCAAAGGTAGGAAGGAACAGGACACAGTGGTCAGAGCAGGACTGGGGTCCCCCATTCTGTGCTGCCTACTGTATGATAGGCATGGACCCAGCAATGGGTTGTCTATGTCACATTGTCATCATTGTCCTCCTCCTCACCACAAGCAATGGCAATAGAGGCCTTTTCATATGCCAGACACCCTGCTGAGGGCTTCAAATGCTCAACCCACTCAGCAATGTTGTCAGGAACTCTTATCTCCTCACAGAAGAGGAAACCTAGGCACAGAAAGCACAGATTTGCCCACAGAGCTAGTGACCTTAAGAACCAGGGCAGAAGCACAAAAACCAAGAACGTTCTCCCCCAAACAGAGGTCCCAAAGGGAAGTGGCAGACATGCAAAATGGCCCTAGAAATGGTCTTGTGCCAGTTTTTCTAATTGAGGTTAAAACTGGATCCCTTGGGCAGCGAAAGATTTTCTGACCTGATCCTGCACCAAACAGGGCATTTGTTTAAATGAGCTTCATAGAATCAACACACATCACACTCACTAACTCAGCTCAAAGTCTGGTTTGTCTCGTTATCATTCATTACTTGCAAGGACAAATGCTTAAGTACAGCATACTTCATGCCCAGAGTGCTTCAAAATGCAGAAAAAAATAAGGTGAGCTCTCTTAGAAGCCCAATTCTAAATAATGCTTTATGAAATTATACCTAGCTAGCCACTTAGAGACAATTTACAATTCACTGAAATCTATGAGGCTCTAGTTAAGGGGCACAGATGACCAAGATATATCAAGGACCTGTTCTCTAACTGCAAATTCACACAAGATCCCAGAGATGTGCACATTGTTATCCACATTTTCGAGAACGAAATAAACTACAGCTTTAAGCAACCTGGCCAAGGTCCAGCAGTTGGAACCGGACAATAGGGGTTGAACAGCTGGGTCTGTCTGACTCCCGGGTCCAGACCTCCCAAACTTCCAATATCTCATAGGTTCTGGCACCTGAGTAAATATGCAGCCCAACTCCCCTACAAAACAAAACTCTCTGGCTCAATCTTAGCTCCATCTCTGTGCTCTGACCCAAATGTCAGCTGAGAAAGACCCTGCAAAAGGGAGGACGAAGCTCAGCCTTCTGACACTGGAGGGCGAATTCTAAAGTTAGTGGGAAAATCCTGCAGAGTTCAAAATTCCCCTGGAAAACCCCTCAGGAAGATGCATCTTAGTGAGCTGCTCACCCTCTCTGGAGGAACACAACTCGGTTCTCCTACAGTGCTAGAGCAGGTGACTGTGTGTTCAGCTGCACTGCAGGTAAAGTTGGTGGTCAGAGCCAAAGGAAAACACACACCTCTAACCCCCAGACTCACACACAGAGCTGCCCTGGTTGAAGTGCTCCGAATGTGGGGCCTGTACAGGGAGTCCAGCAGATTCACCACCCCCAATCTCCTGTATCCTTCAGAATATACACTCATTAAGTGGAACAGTGAGATTAAACTGCTGTTTTTCTCTTTTTTTCCTAAGAGATTCTAGTTTCGTTTACATGAACTAAATGCAAGAGAAATGTGATTCCATAATACCATAATTACACAATGACAAGATTTTACATAAGCTATTAAAACATCTATATTGCAAAAACATTTACAACAGAGAAAGCCAATGGAGGCCTGGGGTTCCAAAATTAGACTACTGGGACCTGGTGTGGTGGCTAACGCCTGTAATCCCAGCACTTTGGGAGCCAAGGTGGGCAGATCACCTGAGGTCAGGAGTTCAAGCCCAATCTGGCCAACATGGTGAAACCCCGTCTCCACTAAAACTACAAAAATTAGCTGGGCGTGGTAGCATGAGCCTGGAATCCCAGCTACTCAGGAGGCTGAGGCAGGGGAATCACTTGAACCGGGAGGTGGAGGCTGCAGTGAGCCGAGATTTTGCCACTGCACTTCAGCCTGGGTGACAGAATAAGTAAGACTCCGTCTCAAACAGAAACAAAAACAAAAACAAACAAAAAAAAAACTTCGTCTCAAAAACAACAACAACAACAAAGTGAAACTATTGGGACTTAAATTCATTCGACCTCTGCTACTTAGCAGCTATAAGATCTTGGAAAGGACTGCTCTATGCCTCAGTTTCCCCAACTAGAAAGCAGGGGTCGTAATGGTGTCCATCTCATGGGACTATTATGGAGATCCAATGAAGCAGTGTAAGCAAAGAGCCCAGCACAGTGCCATGCAAAGGTCAGTGTCCTTTCCTCCTTTATAAAAACAAACCAAAAAAGATGGGAAAGCAGAGGGTCTCTTGGAGAAGTTAAAAAGCCTTTTGGAGATCCCCCAGTGAGCAAGTTTCAGAGTCAGCGTTGTATTCAATGCTGTCGATTTTGGGAGCTGGATGTAAGAGAGGAGACCTCTGTTGGAATGAAGTGAACCCAGGGCAGCTGGGTTAAAGGAGCAGGAGATAGAATCTGAAGCCTTCCGGAGCTGGGATGCTTGAGCAAACAGGAGGGTGAGAAGAAGTGGGGGAAAGATACATCCAGACATTACTAAAATACCCATGAGGAACAATTACAGACCCACCCAGAAGGCAAGATTGTACAGGCATGTGGATCTCCAGAGGCAGTAAAGCTCAGCCACAGTCACAGAGAAAGTGACCTGACTGATAGTAACCCTTGGATGAGCCTTCACGCACTTCAGCCCCTTCCTGCTGGCCCAGACACGCGCTGGCCTTCAGAGGATCCAGGTCTTCCCTCCCACTCCATCCAGCACCACCACCACCCCGCCCTAACTCCATACACCAAGATCTGGATCTGCTTTGCAAGATCCCTCCAGGATTCCAGACCACAATCCTCTTGTCCAAGAGACACACACCCACAGTGCACATGAGAAATGACAATGAGGAATGAGCATTATGGAGCTCAGCCAGTCAAGTCACATGTCCACCATCAATTTCCATTCTGCCAGCTGCTGAACCTTCACTGACTGCTTGGGTGGAGGAGAATTAACTGGGGAGGCACTTCTTCCAGCACGATGAGACCTCTATTACCCAACAGATTTGCACATCAAGAGCAAGACTACAACTTCTACAAAAGCCATCTGGAAATGTGCAGGGAGATCGGGTGAAGGAGGACCCCTCCATTTGGTTATAATCATTCTTCTGTGTCCAAGGAGAGGCAGACAATGGAAATAGACAGATGCTTCCGGAGGCAAAGCCTGGCACTTGAGCTCTGTGTGCTCTCGGGGTAGGAGCAGCTGTGCCCCACGCCCCCCTCCTCCTTAAGGCTGGCTGGGAGAATGAGACCACAAACCAAAGCGAATTGGGGACACAGGCCCCCAAACTGTTAGAATTTCAGCTATCATAAACCTACTTGACCTTGTGTAATTACTGGTGGCAGCAGAGACACACAAGTTCAGAACCCAGACATTTTAACTCCTGCTAATTGCAGGAGGGGAACAGCCATTGCCACTACCCAGAAACCCCACCTGGTGACCTGGCACCAAGAAAACCAACTTCACCCAGCATGGCAGGACATGCCAGGGCCTGTGGCTGAGGACGAGGATGTCAGAGCTAGGAGGACACACAGCGTTAAGAGCCTACAGGTGTTCTGACATGGCTGGGTAGAATCATCCAAGCAGAGAATCATGCTCTGCTCAGCTCAGACCTTCTGAAACAGACTTGCCAAGGCTGGGTCTGGGAATCTGAACTTTAAAGATCCCTCCCAGGAGCCGGGCACGGTGGCTTATGCCTGTAATCCCAGCACTTTGGGAAGCTGAGGCAGGAGGATCACTTCAGGCCAGAAGTTCGAGACCAGCCTGAGCAACATAGTGAGACCCCATCTCTACAAAAACTAAAAAATTAGCCAGGTATGGTGATGCATGCCTGTAGTCTCAGCTACTCAGGAGGCTGAAGTGGGAGGACTGCTTGAACCCAGGAGTCCGAGGTTGCCGTAGGCTATGATTGGGCCACTGCACTCCAGCCTGGGCGACAGAGTGAGACCCTGACTCCAATAAATAAACAAATAAGAAAAAAATATAATAAAATTAAAATCCCTCCCAGGTGACTGGGCTGCTCTCGAAACTGGAGCAGTCCAGCCTGCTGGGTTTATCTGTGGGAGATGTGAGACCATACGGTTGTTAGTGGTTCATTCATTCCAGGGTTGCGTATGTGTCTGGCTCTAAGAAGACACAGCTCCAGCCCTACAGGGATGCAGAATGTTCTAAGCAGCTGAGTTCACCTGGGGAATTGCTCAGAAATGCAGATGTCTAGGCTTTACTACCTAGAATTGGAGTTCCAAGGGGCTCAGAATCCAGTAGGGAAACAAAAGCAAAGCCTGACAAGAGGAGAAATCAGAAACTATGATGGCTGGGAAGGCAATTCCAACAGAGAAACTAGCTCTGGGGGAATGGAGGGTGGCTTCTTGGCACAAGAAGGGAAAGATGTGCCCCTGCCCAGCACCCACTAGGTGCAGCCCCCTGACTGCTGTCAGCATCGTCCACATTCGCAGGACCCTGCAAGGGCACTACATTAATCCCCATCTTACAGATGAGGATAGTGAGGGTCAGGGATTGACAGCAACAACTGCAGGGGCTGGGATGTGAGCCCTGGCAGCCAGAGGACTTGCTCTTTCCACTCTCAGCCCCTCTCCTCCTGAGGCTCAGGCTCAGAACACCCTTATCCACCCAGATTTTGAATCCAGAGACCTGCAAGGTGTCCTCCATCCTTCTCTCATCTTACCCTGTAGGTCCAATCAGCAACTAAGGCCTGACCCTTCTCCTTCCACTCCCTTCTCTCAGCCCCTGCTGCTAACACGTTCTCCATTACCACCTGCAGTATTGAAAATACAAGCCCAATCGGCCAAGTCATTCCTTGGCTTAAACCTCTGCAAGGGTTTCCCACAACCCTAAAAATACAAATCTTCCTCCCAAGTTTGCCTCAGGGCCTTCCCACAGGTTGTTCCCTCCCCTAAATGCTGTTCTTCTCACTCTCTACTCTCAGGACTATCAAAACTAAATTGGGTTTCCTGCTTCCACCCTGGAAGGCCAAGGCCACAGAGCAGGGCAGCTCTATGCTGCCTATGGCTGAGCCCCAGGGCACACAGTACAGGGGTAGTGGGGAGAAAGATAAAGAAAGAGAGAAAGAGAGAGAACTGGGGGGATGAATTGGGGGGTCAGTTGTTGACTGACTGAGGGACACTACAGGTGGTCTGAGGTCCAAGTATAATGGTGGGGGAAAAGCCACCATGGTTAGAGGCTGGGCAGACAGGCTGGGGCCAGAGTGGGAAGGAAAGGCTGTGAACACCACAGAAGGGAGCAAGGATGTAAGCCCCAGGGCCATGAATAGCTGTGGACAACTATGGACAACTGTGGTCAGCTGTGGAGACTCTTGAAAGCCAGGGAGTAACACGATCAACTTCACACATACAGTATTGATGGAACTGTGCTCATCTCTTTGAAAGGCAATCTATCAATAACCACCAAAGTTTTAAATCTGCATGTCTGTGAACCCAGCAATTCAAGTCTACCAAGGATACTCACTGCAGCATCCTTCCCTATTAGCAAAAGCAAGAAGTGGCCTCAATGGCCATCCAGAGAATGAATTATGGCAGACAAGTCCACAGTCCCTTTTCCAACCCTTGGTGCTGGACATATTTCGGAATTCATAACCTGTTTGCATTTGAGAAAGGTAGTATGGAGTATGTACAGGATGCTATATCAAACCCCAGCAGGGCCAGGCACAGCACCCCAAAATCCAGTACATAAGTATTTCTACAGCTGAATGTGTAACTACTTCTGGTACATACTATGAGTAATCTCCTACTAACTCAAGCCAGGTTTGGTCATTAAATGAGTTTGCACCAAACTTTTTTTATTTAAAAAAGTGTGGTTTTCTGAGGTGGGCGGATAACCTGAGGTCAGGAGTTCGAGACCAGCCTGACCAACATGGAGAAACCCCATCTCTACTAAAAATACAAAATTAGCCAGGTGTGGTGGTGCATGCCTGTAATCCCAGCTACTTGGGAGGCTGAGGCAGGAGAATGGCTTGAACCCGTGAGGCGGAGTTTGAAGTGAGCCAAGATTGCGCCACTGCATTCCAGCCTGGGCAACAAGAGTGAAACTCCACCTCAAAAAAAATAAAAAATGTGGTTTTCTTGATTTTGTAATTACAGATAAGGGTTGGATGAAGGAATAATAAAAATAATAACACCAGTGAACATTTACTGAGCCCTCATATGTGCAGGTACTGCTCTTGGTGCTTTGCACAAACTGGCTCACTAGCCCACCACAGGCACTGATGCACTTCATTTTTCTAGCACACCAGGCCAGGCACGGTGGCTCACGCCTGTAATCTCGGCACTTTGGGAGGCCGAGGTGGGTGGATCACCTGAGGTCAGGAGTTTGAGACCAGCCTGGCCAACATGGTGAAACCCTGTCTCTATTAAAAATAGAAAAATTAGCCAGGTGTGGTGGCGGGAGCCTGTAATCCCAGCTACTTGGGAGGCTGAGACAGGAGAATCGCTTGAACTGGGGAGACAAGGTTGCAGTAAGCCAAGATCGTGCCACTGCACTCTAGCCTGGGTGACAGAGTAAGAGTCTGCCTCAAAAAAAAAAAAGTACCCTTCATCATTGCCACTACCACCACCATCTACTGAGTATCAACTGTATGCTAGGCACTCTTCTAAGTGCTTTATGGTAATTATCACACTAAAGCCACACAACAACCCAAAGGGTGACACTGTTACTATGCTCGTGTTGTCCAGATTTATCCCTAATTTATTCTTGATCACCCAATAAAGAAACGGAGGCACACCTTGCCCAAGGCCGCCAGCCAGCGTGCCGCTTGTTCTTGTGCCTCTCACCCTCACATCCTGCGGTGCCTGTATATTAGCTGATCCAATGTCACACCTGAGAACTCAGGCATTCTGGCTCCAGAGCCTACATTCTTTTCTTTTTCAGACGGAGTCTCCTTCTGTCACCCAGGCTGGAGTGCAGTGGTGTGATCTTGGCTCACTGCAACCTCCACCTCCCGGGTTCAAGCAATTCTCCTGCCTCAGCCTCCCGAGTAACTGGGATTACAGGCAACCACCACCATGCCCGGCTAATTTTTGTATTTTTAGTAGAGACAGGGTTTCACCAAGTTGGCCAGGGTGGTCTCGAACTCCTGACCTCAAGTGATCTGCCCACTTCAGCCTCCCAAAGTGCTGGGATTACAGGCGTGAGCCACCCCACTCAGCCAGAGCCTACATTCTTAACCCTTACACTTTCCTCATCTTCTCTAGATAAAGTGGCTTAAAGCTTTTATGGAACACGGCAAGACACAAAGACATAAATAAATAAAATTCACAGTATGCTTGCATTTAGATCTACAGCCAGAGCACTCGGGCTGTCCCAAGGCAGCCAGCACACAGGCCTGGAATCGAAGTGCGTCCTTCTCCTGTCAGAAGGACACCCAGCAGGAGTACCCAAGCAGAAAGCCAGAGACCATCTAGAGCACAAACCACCCCCAGGGCACCATGGCCCATCCAGCTTGGAGATCTGCCCCAGCAGACTGACAGGGCTGCCCCAGGCCATCAAGAGAAACAGGCTTTAATTTGCCGTGGAGCAGCCCAGGGTGTGGGTGCAGGTGATGTGCCCAGGCAAACAGAAGCAGATTTGCCCTCCTCACTGGGTCCCCTCCACCCTACCCACCACCACCATTTAATCCTCGGCTTCATGCAAAGCTGCCTGCTAGGCAGGTTCCCATATGGGAAAATCCAAGGAGTGCAAATTCTGGAAGCACCAGATAAATGCACCCCTTCCTTAAACAGCACCAGAATTAAGAAAGGCCACCCTCCCTCTCAAGCGCCTGCTCTCTTTAGGATAAGGATTGTGCCAGGGACGGGTGATGGTTAGCGAGCGCTCACTGCCAAAGGACACGTGGGTAGGAGAGGGCAGGGAGGGACACACAGGAGCAATCACCGCTGCCCACACCTGGGGCAGGGAGGAGCTCCATGGCAGGAAAAACACCTGCCTCTTCCCAGCCCTCTACCTCACCTTCCCCTCCAGCCTGCCCTGCCTCTGGCTTTGTTTCATCTCCCCAACCTTCTTCCAAGGACTCTGGAAAAGTTTCTATGTGTTCTTTGTTTCCCCAATATACACACCAATAAAGTAGTTTGCAACATCCATAAAACGCATCAATCTTAAGTATACAACTCAATAACATTTTTAGATATTTATACCCCAATGTGATCACCAACCAAATCAAAACATATAAAACAGTTCCTGTCTCCTAGAAAGAAGGCTTCCTTATGTTCCTTCCCAAGTAATTGCCTACCCCAAAGGTAACTGCTATCTTGACTTCTAGTGGCATGGATTCATTTGCCTGTGTCTGAAATGTACATAAATGGAATCATACAGTATGGACTCCCTGTCCCTGGCTTCTTCCAGTCATCACTGTGTTAGAAGTTTTATCCGCGTTGTGGCATGCAGCAGTGGTTCCTTCTTTCTCATTGCTGAGTGTATCCCATTGTATGGATATACCAAATTTACTTATATATATGGCTGCTGACGGGCATTTGGATTGTTTCCACCTTTTGGTAATTATGGATAAAGTGGCTATGAACATTTGTGTACAAGTCTTTTGGTGCTCAGATGCATTCACTTCTCTTGGGTATATATCTAAAAGTGGAATTGCTGCAGCATAGGTAGGCATCTGTTAAGTTTGGGTAGATGTTATCAAAATGATTTTCCAAAATGGTTGTACCAATTCATACTCCCACTAGCAGTGTGTGTGAGTTCCAGTTGCACCATATCTTCACCAACACTTTGAGTCTTTTTAATTTTAGTCATTCTGGTGGGTATATAGTAGTATCTTTGTGTACTTACATTTTCATTTCTCTGGTGACTCCTGAGGTTAAGCATCTTTCCAAATGTTTTTGTGGTCATTTGGATATTCATTTTGATGATATGCTTGCTCAAGTCTTTTATCCTTTTAAAATTGGGTTGTCAGGTAGGTACGGTGGCTCACACCTATAATCCCAGCACTCTGGGAGGCCAAGGTGGGCTGATCGCTTGAGCCCAGGAGTTCAAGACCAGCCTGGGCAGCATGGTGAAACCCTATCTCTACAAAAAATACGAAAAAAAAAAAAAAAGTCGGGCATGATGGTGCATGCCTGTGGTACCAGCGACTCGGGAGGCTGAGGTGGGAGGATTGCTTGAGCCCAGCAGGGTGGAGGCTGAAGTGAGGCAACATCACACCACTGCACTCCAGCCTGGGTGACAGAGTGAGACCCCATCTCAAAAATTTTTTTTTTTTTTTTTTTGAGATGGAGTCTCACTCTGTCACCAGGCTGGAGTGCAGTAGTGCAGTGGCGCAATCTCAGCTCACTGCAACCTCTGACTCCCTGGTTCAAGGATTCTCCTGCCTTAGCCTCCCGAGTAGCTGGGATTATAGGCATACGCCACCATGCCTGGCTAATTTTTGTATTTTTAGTAGAGACGGGGTTTCACCATGTTGGCCAGTATGATCTCAATCTCCTGACCTCATGATCTGCCCACCCTGGCCTCCCAAAATGCTGGGATTACAGGCGTGAGCCATCGCACCCAGCAAAAAAAATTTTTTTGTAAATAAAATTGTGTTGTCTATTTCCTATTGATTTGTAGAAGTTCTTTATATATTCTGGATGTAAATCCTTTGTTGAACATATGTATTTTAAATATCTTTTCCCAGACTGCAGCTTGCCTTTTCCCTCTCTTAATGGTGTCTCTTGAAGAAGAGTTCTTATTTTTAATGAAATATGATTTATAAGCTTTTCTCTTTATGCTTTTTTTTTTTTTTTTGAGACGAAGTCCAACTCTGTTGCCCAGACTGGAGAGCAGTGGCGTGATCTCAGCTCACGGCAACTTCTGCCTCCCAGGTTCAAGCGATTCTCCTGCCTCAGCCTCCTGAGTAGCTGGGACTACAGGCGCATGCCACCAAGCCTGGCTAATTTTCGTATTTTTAGAAGAGACGGGGTTCCACTATGTTGACCAGGCTGGTCTCAAATGCCTGACCTCAGGTGATCTGCCCGCCTCGGCCTCCCAGAGTGCCAGGATTACAGGCCTGAGTCACCCCGCCTGGCCCCTTTATGCTTTTTGTGACTTATTTAAGAAACCTGTGCCTAGCCTCATCTCATGTAGAAATTCTTCTTTATTATCTTCTAGAAACTCCATTGATTTGCCTTGCACATTTAGGTTCTCAATCCATCTTGAATTATTTTTGTGTATGGTGTGAGGTAGAAGTGAGGTAGGATATACTTTTAGGGTAAAGTCCTGTCAGCTATGACCACAAACCAGGCACACAAAAAGACCAATCTCTGTTACCTCCAGAGGAAGGTGCAGCTTCCCTGACACCCAATCCTTTATCTGTATCCTCCAGAAGCCTCTGATTCCTCCTCGCCCCTGAAGCCCAACAGAATTCCAATGCACATCCCTACTGTTTGAGAGAATTTTAGGACACAAACTTCCACCTTATATAAAGCTTCCACAACTTTCCATAAGTCCATTTTGACAACTGCACATGAGTCAAAATCCTTCTAAAATGCAAAATGATTAAGTAGGAATGTGAATAGGGAAAAGGTAAGACAGCATCTGGCTGTCAGATCTGCTGGGCACTGTGTGCCTCTATGGGCTAGGAATTAGGGAGGCCACAGAATATGAGCAGACATAGCCCCTACTGTCACCATGCTCACAGCCTGGAGAAGAGACCAATAAAAAATGGGAGCAGAGGCCGGGTGCGGTGGCTCACACCTGTAATCCTAGAACTTTGGGAGGCTGAGGTGGGCAGATCCCGAGATCAGAAGATCGAGACCATCCTGGCTAACATGGTGAAACCCCATCTCTGCTAAAAATACAAAAAATTAGCCAGGTGTGACAGCACACACCTGTAATTCCAGCTACTCGGGAGGCTGAGGCAGGAGAATCTCTTGAACCTGGGAGGCGGAGGTTGCAGTGAGCCAAGATTGTGCCACTGCACTCCAGCCTGGGCGACAGAGCAAGACTCCATCAAAAAAAAAAAAAAAAAAAGAAGCAGAGCAAGTATGCAGGGAAAAGTGATCATGGGGAGCCTCCCTGCAATGTTTGAGCCAAACTAGATATGGGAGGGAGCTGGCCCTAAGAGAAGGGGCAAAAGTGTTCTGGACAGGAGGACCAGCAGACTCAGAGGCTGAGCAAGCAAAGGGATTGGGACATAGCTGGAACATCCATGAGACCAGGAGGCATGACGAGGAGTGGAAAGGGCATGTTAGTTAAGGCAAGAAGAGATGTGGATTTTTTTCTAAGCAGAATCGGTTATCGTTTCTTTTTCTTTCTTTTTAGTTTTTTGTAGAGACAGGATGTAGCTATGTTGCCTCATGTTGGGCATGGTCTCAAACTCCCGGTCTCTGTTATCTTGAACATATACCACAAGGTCCTCTATGAGGTTGATGCACCACAAAAGACTATGGGATTGAAGGGCATTCAGTCAACTGGTCCACCCTGAAATCCTTCTATCCCACCATGGTTCAAGCAGGCGACAAAACACAAAGGCTCCTCTTGGCCTTGACCATGCAGGTCTATACACACACACACACCCCACACACCCCTGCCCCCTGCCCCCTTCCATCTTTTCCTTTAGGTCTAAACACAAGCAGGCTGTCACTCCACCTGCCCCCTTGGTAGTACCTCCAGCTGTAGTCCCGTTATGATCCTGGGTAAAATGGGGTCTACACTGCAGGTTTCTGCATTTTTTAATTTTCATTATTATTATTTTTTGAGATGGAGTTTCACTTTGTTGCTCAGGCTGGGGTGCAGCAGCATGATATCGGCTCACTGCAACCTCTGCCTCCTGAGTTCAAGTGATTCTCCTGCCTCAGCCTCCCAAGTAGCTGGGATTACAGGTGCGTGCCACCACACTTGGCTAATTTTTGTATTTTTAGTAGAGAGCGGTTTTGCCATGTTGGCCAGGCTGGTCTCGAACTCCTGACCTCAAGTGATCCGACTGCCTTGGCCTCCCAAAATGCTGGGATTAGCTGTGAGCCACCGCGCCCGTCCAGGTTTCTGCATTTCTGTTCATGATTTCTCAGCACTTATCCCAACTATAATTTTACTTGCATTCATGTGACTATTTGATTAGTATCTGTTTCCTGAGTGAGTCTTGTCTGTTGACTCTGGTAGGGTAGAGTCTGAGCCGGTCTTAGCCACCAAGACTTCCTCAGCACCTAGCACAGGGCCTGGCCCAGGGTAAGTCACACCCACACCCACACCCCCACACAAGCTTTTTTAAAATGTAAAAGTTTAAATACAAACGGAGAAAGAATATAATGTACCCTCTGTGCCACACATCATACAATTTGAGTGGTCAACTCATTCCTAATATTATTTCTTCTACACTCAACCCAGTGAAGCGAACTCCAGCCATCGTATCACTTGATACATACTTGAGTGATATAGAGTAAGTGAATGAATGACTGCCTCCTACTATAACAGACAAACTGGGGGGCTTAATTCTTGCTCTCACTGATTTTACTGTCCATACTAGACAGACAAGGGAGAGTTGAGGAGGGGCCACTTAAATGAGTCAGTCAGTTTTGCCACCAAGTTAGCAACTCTGATAAAATTTCAGATGAAACTAAAACTATTGTCCAAAGTGAATTTCCTTTTCCTCATATTGACTGGGCTTTAACCCTTCAGTCGTGTCCTTGCCATGGCCACATTCACCAAAAGCCGACTGTAAAGGAAGGGAGGGTTACCTATTTCCCACAATCTCTTTCAATTAAAAGTCCTGAAAGAACAAGTTTCTTTCCATAAAATAAGCCATGTGGCCTTTTACACAGAAAAATAAGGAATGCCTGGAAATTAGTATTACCACTTGCTCCCTCAAGGGCCAATCTACATTACACCTATTTTCTCTATTTTCACATTTATGAGAACTTGTTCCAAATCAGTCTGGTCTTTTTGAAATGCCATTACAGTTTTACATACATTGGACAAAACTGTCATAGACTGTGATGCTCTCGGCGTCCAGCAAAATGAGTGATACTTGTACCCAATGGGTTTGTTTCATGTCACCTGCCCTTCAAGGTCCCAAAAGTGTGCATAAAAATAACAACTTGAAATGCTCACATGCCAGGAAACAACAGGTGCTGGAGAGGATGTGGAGAAATAGGAAAACTTTTACACTGTTGGTGGGACTGTAAACTAGTTCAACCATTGTGGAAGTCGGTGTAGCGATTCCTCAGGGATCTAGAACTAGAAATACCATTTGACCCAGCCATCCCACTACTGGGTATATACCCAAAGGATTATAAATCATGCTGCTATAAAGACACATGCACACGTATGTTTATTGCGGCACTATTCACAATAGCAAAGACTTGGAACCAACCCAATGTCCAACAATGATAGACTGGATTAAGAAAATGTGGCACATATACACCATGGAATACTATGCAGCCATAAAAAATGATGAGTTCATGTCCTTTGTAGGGACATGGATGAAGCTGGAAACTATCATTCTCAGCAAACTATCGCAAGGACAAGAAACCAAACACCGCATGTTCTCACTCATAGGTGGGAATTGAACAATGAGAACACATGGACGTAAGAAGGGGAACATCACACACCAGGGACTGTTGTGGGGTGGGGGGAGGGGGGAGGGATAGCATTAGGAGATATACCTAATGTAAATGATGAGTTAATGGGTGCAGCACGCCAACATGGCACATGTATAGATATGTAACAAACCTGCACGTTGTGCACATGTACCCTAAAACTTAAAGTATAATAATAATAAAAAAAAGAAATGCTGACATGCAATCATACTTAACTATGCCTTTTTTTACTATAAAATATATTCATTACTTGTATTTTCTAAATTTTTTCATAAGCACAGGGAAAAAATTTTAAGCCTTGTCTTTAAGCCTAGAGCAAGGGTGTCCAATTTTTTGGCTTCTCTGGGACACACTGGAAGAAGAATTGTCTTGGGCCACACATAAAATACACTAACACTAACAATAGCTGATGAACTAAAAAAAAAACTCATAATGTTTTTTAAAAGTTTATGAATTTGTATTGGGCCACATGTTAGACAAGCTTGGCCTAAAGATAAGTCACATTTTGGAGTCTGTTCTTCCCCGTGTGTGTATGAGTTGGGGGTGGGGGGAGGGAGGGTGGTGAGCAGCATGATTACAAGTCCAGGCTCCTTAATCAGTGATAGGTTCAAATCTGGCTCTGCTATCTGCCACCCACATAGCCTCAGGCAAGTTGCTTCCCTCCATAAGCACATTTCCTCTTCTGCAAAGTAGGACTGAAATGACTGCCTGATGGGGTGACAATGAGGCTTTAAAAAGACGAAGAGGGGCTGGGTATGGTGGCTCACGCCTGTAATCACAGCACTTTGGGAGGCCAAGTTGGGCAGATCACCTAAGGTCCAGAGTTCAAGACCAGCCTGACAAACATGGAGAAACCCCATCTCTACTAAAAATACAAAAGTAGCCAGGCATGGTGGCACATGCCTGTAATCCCAGCTACTCGGGAGGCTGAGGCAGGAGAATCGCTTGAACCTGGGAAGCAGAGGTTGCAGTCAGCGGAGATCACGCCATTGCACTCCAGCCTGGGCAACAAGAGTGAAACTCTATCTCAAAAATAAAAATAAAAATAAAAATAAATAGATGAAGTGAGGGACAAGGCATGGTGGCTCACACCTGTAATCCCAGCACTTTGGGAGGCCAAGGCGGGAGGATCACTTGAGCCTAGGAGTTCAAGAGCTGACTGGACAACATAGCGAGACCCCATCTCTATAAAAAATTTTAAAATTAGCTGGGTGTGTGACATGTACCTACAGTCCCTGTGGGAGGATCTCTTGAGCCTGGGAGGTCAAGGCTGCAGGGAGCCGTGATTGTGCCACGGCACTCCAGCCTGGGCGACAGAGCTGAGATTCTGTCTCAAAAAAAAAAAAAAAAGGAACTTAGCCCAGGGCCCGTATGCAGCAAGCACTTAAATGGTATAGCTGCTGCTACTCGGGTTATCAAAAAGGAGCTGCAAAAAAGTCTAGGTTCTGCAGGAGAGCCCTTCCAAGAACCTGCCCAGGAAGTGGGTACACCTGTCCCCACCCCCACAGTAGGAGTCAGAATCAGGGACTGGAAGGGATGGGGTTCCTGGAGGAAGCTCACAGCAGCAGCAGCCTCTGAGTCACAACTCAGCCCCTCCCTGGCATATCCCTTTGTTTGCTGGGAGTTGAGCTGTGACTCACAAAGGCTCTGGTCCCGGGCTGGGCCCATGTGACCCAGGGTCCTGACTGCCCTGCCCACAGTCACTGAGAAAATTCTTTGTGCAGGCTCACCTTCCCCTCATCTCCCCCACTCTTCCTGATCCTGCAGCGTCAGATCCCAGCCTGCAGTATCAGACCTCAAAAGGAGCCTCTGGTGTCTTGTGAGTAGTTTACCTGCCGCCCCACCCCCACCCCGAAACACACACACACACATGGGCACACACCACCACCACTTCTTTTTTGGCCTGTGCCTGTTTTTTCACTGTGCTACATTTTGACATAAGTTCAATCTATAAAGAAAAAGTCCAGGAGAGTCCAACTCCTCTTATACTCTTTTTTATTGTGGTAAAATATAATATAAAACATACCACTTTAACCATTTTTAAGTGTACAGTTCAGTGACATCTAGCACATTCACCATATTGTACAACTCTTACCATTATCCATTTCCAGAACTTTGTTGTCATTCTAAACAGAAACTGTGTACCCATTCAGCGGTAACTCCTCCTGCACCTGCCCCTCTCCCAGCCCCTACTGTATTAATACTTCTCTCTCTAAACTTGCTATTCCAGGTACCCCCTGTAAGTGTCCTTTTGTGACTGACTTTTCTCATGTAGCATAATACTTTCATGGATCAGCATGTTGTAGCATGTGTCAAAAATTCCTTTATTTATTATTATTTTTTTTTTTGCAATGGGGTCTGGCCCTGTCATCCAGGCAGGAGTACAGTGGCACGATCATAACTCACTGCAGCCTCAAACTCCTGGGCTCAAGAGATCCTCCTATCTTGGCCTCCCAAAGTGCCAGCATTACAGGTGTGAGCCATCTCACTCAACCAGAAATTCCTTCCTTTTTAAGGCTAAATAATATTCCATTGTATGTACATACCACATTTTGTTTATCCATTCATCTGTCAATAGACATTTGTATTATTTTTACCTTTTGGCTATTGTGAATAACGCTGCTGGGAACATGGGAATGCAAGTATCTGTTTGGATCTCTGCTTTCATTTCTTTGGGTATATACCCAGATTTGGAATTGCTGGACTATATGATACCTCTATGTTTAACTCCTGTTACACTTTTAGGATTCTGGCAGCCACCACAGCTAACTCTCAGTGAGCAGTCTCTCATCCTGTGTTACTCACCACTCTAAGAATTTTTATTAACTCATTTAGTCCTGAGGTGTGGTATAATTATTTTCATCCCCATTTTACAGACAAAGAACCTGAGGTGAGAGAGGTCCTCCTTCTCAGATGGCAGCATCAGTATCTGAGCCCGCATAGGTTCAGATTTAAATTGTTTCTCCGGTTGTGACAAAAACAAGGTGCTGCTCTGCCTACAAGCATTTTCTGCCCTGAATAATGCCTTTGGGAGGGTTTCCACATCTTTCCTTGCTCTGGACTAAGGATCAAGTAAAAAAAGAGAGTGGGGCAGGGATGCTCCACTGGATTGGATCTGTCTAGACTCACTGCTAGCAGTGAGAAATCCAACTCCATCTAGATGGGTGAGAAGGGGGATTTGTAGGAAGATCCCTGGAG
Organism: Homo sapiens; assembly: GCF_000001405.40. Classification (NCBI taxonomy): domain Eukaryota; kingdom Metazoa; phylum Chordata; class Mammalia; order Primates; family Hominidae; genus Homo; species Homo sapiens. The sequence continues at coordinate 57,062,166 of NC_000003.12, forward strand.
CAGCTCAGTCATGTGACTAGATCCAAAGGCAATGTGCCCAACCCTCCCCTCGCAGCTCCACACTCTGGGCCTGTCCTCACTGCTCTAGCGCTGGGTGAGTGCCTTCAAGCACCTTCTCTGCCACTTCTGAGTGGGTTAGGATGACCCTGAGGAAGCCCACAGCCTGGCAAGGGTGGCTTGTGTCTAGCTCCAGACCGGCTACCACAGCCGAGGGGAGGGGAACCATGATAGGCCCAGCCAGGACCACAGCCCCCACTCGGGCTCAGGCTAGGCTCAGGAGCACGGCGGCGGGGGCGGGGGGTGCTCAGGAGCATGGGGAAGCCTTTCAGAGAAGAGGGAAGGAAGCAGGGCAAGTGCCCAGCACAGATGCTGCATAATCTACAATAGCAAAAGATTGGAAGCTGCCCAGTAGTACTGAACAAAACAAGGTTAAATAAAGCTGCTCTAGCCACTCAGCAAAACACTATGTAGCTGTTTAACAAGCAGGAATATCTGGTGGGAATGACAGGACTCGCTGTTTCTCTGTCTACACACATGCACACACACACACACACAACAAACATGCACACACACATACATACACATATGTAATAATTCACAGGTAAGAAAAATATAGGCAAGAATTATATCATAATAGAAGAATCAAATGGCTTTTAATCTGTTTACCAAACTTTTCTTTACGGGTTCAACAAATTATTGTCTGTACCAGGCAAGGCACTGGGGACATGACAGGGAACACAATAGAAGAAAAATCCCTGCCCTCATGGAATTTACATTCTAGTGGGGGAGGCAGATGACAAGATAAATAAGCAAAATACACCTTATATTGGATAACGATAGTGTAAGGAGAAAAAGCAATGAAGGCAAAGGGGAAGTTGGGATGCAGTGGTAACGGTTTAGACACGATGACCAGGGAAGGCTGAAGGAAATGAGGGACCAAGCTCTGCAGATATTGGGAGAGGTGCATTTTGGGCAGCGGGAATAGCAGGTGCAAAGGCCCTGAGGTGCCCACGCAGGGAACAGCATGGAGGTGATGTGGCTAGAGTGCGGTTATGAGGGGGAAGGGCAAACTAAGAGAGGAGTCAGAGAGGAAATGCAGCCAGATCACATGGGGCCTTGCAGCCAGCCACCCTAAAGGCTTTGGCTTTGTTGCAGTGAAATGAGAGCTATTTGAGGGCTTTGAGCAGAGAAGTAGCCAACCCTTCAGAAGGTTCCCTCTGACTCTGAGTTGAGAACAAGCTGAAAGGAGGTAAAGGCAGAGGCTTGGAGGCCGCAGTCATTCAGGTGAGAGGGGAGAATGACCTGGAGGGTGGTAGGAGCGGGAGGGGAGCAGTGGCCACTCTACAAGTAGAGTCTTTTGACAAGTGAAGAGAAGAGAGATACAAAAGTCAAAGATGACGCCCCAGGCTTTGGGCCTGAGCAACCAGGAGGTTGGGGTGCTCCTTAACAGAGATGTGGGAAGAGGATCAGGAGAGTCGGGCATCCTAGAAGCCAGGTGAGACAAGGCTTCGAGGAAGAGAAAGTGACCAACTCCATCACACGCTGCTGGTAGTCAGGAAGGATGGCAACAGAGAACAGGCCATTGGGATGAGCAACCAGGCACTCACTGTAGACCTTGGTAAGAGATATCTGGGGAGAGGGGAGTGGAAGCCAAGCCTGCCTGAAATGAGGGGCTCAAAAGAGAATGGGATAGCAGCATCATTCACAATAGACAAAAGGTGGAAGCAACTCAGTGTCCATGACAGATGAATGGTAGAACAAAATGTGGCAAATGCATAGAATTGAATAATATTCTGCCTTAAAAAGGAGGGAAATTCCATGCCAGCTGTGCTGGCTCACGCCTGTAATCCCAGCACTTTGGGAGGCCCAGGGAGGGGGACTGCCTGAGCTCAGGGGCTCGAGACCAGCCTGGGCAACATGGCAAAACCCTGTCTCTACCAAAAATACAAAAAAATTAATTGGGCATAGTGGTGCATGCCTGTAGTCCCAGCTAACCCGGAAGCTGAGGTCAGAGGATTGCTTGAGCCTGGGGGGTAGAGGTTGCAGTGAGCTGAGATTGTGCCACTGCAGCAATCAGTGACAGAGTGAGGCCCCGTCTCAAAAAACAAAACAGAAAACCAAAAACCAAGAAGGAAATTCTTTCTTTTTTTTTTCTTTCTTTTTTTTTCTTTTTTTGGAGACAGGGTTTCCCTCTGTTATCCAGGCTGGGATGCAGCGGCAAGATCACGGCTCACTGCAGCCTCAACTTCCCTGACTCAAGTGATCCTCCCATCTCAGCCCCCAAGTAGCTGAGATTACAGGTGCATGCCACCACGCCCAGCAAATTGCTGTATTTTTTGTAGACAGGGTATCACCATGTTGCCAAGGCTGGTTTTGAACCCCTGGGCTCAACATCCGCCTCCTCGGTGCTGGGATTACAGGCATGAGCCACCATACCCAGCCCAAAGGAAGGAAATTCTGACACATGTTACAACATGGGTGAACCTTGAGCACATTATGCTGAGTGAAATAAGCCAGTCACAAAAGGACAAATATGGCATGATTCCACTTATATGAGGTATCTAGAACAGTCAAATTCAGAGACAGAAAGTAGAATGCTGGTCTCCAGGGACTAGGGGCAGGGGGGAATGGGAGTTGCTGTTTAATGGATACAGTGTTTCAGTGTCACAAGATGAAAAGCTCTGCAGATTGGTTGCACAATAATATCAGTATACGCAACACTACTGACCTGAAAACTTAAAAATAGTCAACACAGTAAATTTTACGTTATGTGTGTTTTATCACAATTTTTTGAGACACAATAGAAGGCAAAAAATTAGTAAGTCCAGAAAATTATTTCAAAAAGTTTTGCTCTAAACTGAAGAGAAATGGGTGTATAACTGTAGGGAGAAGTAGGGTGGAGAGAGGGTTCTGCTGTTTTTAAGTTGGGAGAAATAACTGCATGTTTATTTGCTGATGGGACCAATCCAGTAGGCCATGGTCTTAAATGTTGAAATTACTTGCAAAAGGCCGGGCGCAGTGGCTCACGCCTCACGCCTGTAATCCCAGCACTTCGGGAGGCCGAGGCGGGCAGATAACTTGAGGTCAGGAGTTCGACACCAGCCTGGCCAACATGGTGAAACCCTATCTCTACGAAAAATACAAAATTAGCCGGGTGTGATGGTGTGCACCTGTAGTCCCAGCTACTAAGGAGGATGAGGCAGGAGAATCACTTGAGCCCAGGAGGCAGAGGTTGCAGTAAGCTGAGATTATGTCACTGCACTCCAGCCTGGGCAACAGAGCAGGACTCCATCACAAAACAAAAAAAAAAGAAATTACTTGCAAAAGAAAAACTGTATTTTAGGATGATAAATATTCTGGAACTAGTGGTGATATCTGCACTACCGTATGCATGTGCTAAAAAACAGACTGGGTACTTGAAAAGGGTCAATTTTGTGGTATGTTAATTATACCTCAATAAAAATAAAAGCTATAATAAATGTTTAATGTCTTCCAAATACCATGTTCTCATACAGGCTGAGTTCCCACCCAGGCAGCCCCAGATACCTACAGTTTCTGTGGCCAGTGACCCACCACAGCTAGGTGGTAGCCTGCGGAACAGGAGAGGCAAGGTCATCCTCATTACGGCTGAGTCACAAATGCTGCATTAGCACACACAGCCCCCTACAGCTAGATCTACGGAGCATGCACCAATTTGTTGCAGATAAATGGCACCTTTTACTTAGGCCCATGAACTCTCAGGTCTTCAGTCTTAAAATGAAATCTAAGAGCTGGGCACAGTAATTCACATCTGTAATCCCAGCTACTCAGGAGGCTGAGGCAGGAGGATCACTTGAGGCCAGGAGGGCAACACAGTGAGACTCTGTCTCCAAAACAAAAAAAAAAAACCCTAAAATGTAAGAAAAAATCCTTTCAATCAGAACAAGAAACTCTGCACCCCCACTGCCAATCTGCCCACCCATCTGGTCCACCTGTAATTGCAAGAGAACAAGGGAGGGACTTATTTTGCAGTCAATCAAAGGGGAGGGAATTCTTTCCGAAATGTTCTCCTATCTGTACCAACAGCACACTTCCACTTCCAACCATTACACTTTTCCTTTCTTTCTTTTTTTTTTTTTCTGAAACAGAGTCTGACTCTGTCACCCAGGTACAGTGGCATGATCTTGGCTCACCGCAACCTCCGCCTCCCAGGTTCAAGCGATTCACCTGCCTCAGCCTCCCAAGTAGCTGGGATTGCAGGCACCCGCCACCATGCCTGGCTTAATTTTTGTATTTTTAGTAGAGACGGGGTTTCACCATGTTGGCTAGGCTGGTCTTGAACTCCTGACCTCAAGTGATCCATCCGCCTCGGCCTCCCAAAGTGCTGGGACTATTGGCGTGAGCCACCGCGCCCAGGCTTTTGCCTTTTTCCTTTCTTCTGAACAACCTCAAACAGTATTTTACCCACTGTGATGATTAATTTTATGTGTCAACTTGGCTAGACCATGGTAACCAGCTATTTGGTCAAACATTCTAGACATTTCTGTGAAGGTATTTTTTAGATGAGATTAACATTTAAATCAGTGGACTTAGAGTAAAGCAGATTATTCTCCATGATGTGGTGGGCTTTATCCAATCAGCTATAAGCCTTAATAGAAAAAGACCGACCTCCCAGAGCAGGAAGAATTCTACCCAGAGAGCCTTTGGGCTCACTGCAACTCTTCCCTGGGTCTCCGGCCTGCCAGTCTACCTTGCTGATTTTTGACTCACCTGGCCTCCACAATCACATGAGCCAATTCCTAAAAATCAACCTCTCAATAGATAGATGAGCGATTGATTGACACACATCCTGTTGGTTCTGTTTCTCTCCAAACCCTAATACACACCCAAAATAAGTGATTTTCCAATAGAAATTGTCTGTAAGGACCTGTACTTGCATGAAATTTCAAGTCACCAGATAAATGAATAAAAATATATTTTTTAAAAACCACAAAATATGGCAACCCAGAAAGAATAACATTTGTCGGCCAGGCGCGGTGGCTCACGCCTGTAATCCCAGTACTTTGGGAGGCCAAGGCGGGTGGATCACAAGGTCAGGAGATCGAGACTATCCTGGCTAACACGGTGAAACCCTGTCTCTTCTAAAAATACAAAAACAAAATTAGCCGGGCGTGGTGGCGGGCGCCTGTACTCCCAGTTACTCGGGAGGCTGAGGCGGGAGAATGGCGTGAACCCAGGAGGCAGAGCTTATAGTGAGCCAAGATTGCGCCACTGCACTCCAGCCTGGGTGACAGCAAGACTCTGTCTCAAAATAATAATAATAATAATAATAATAATAATAATAATATTTGTCTATATACTGATCAAAGCTATCATAGTAGATATATTTGTTTTCAAATGCAACTTTAGGGTGGGTGCAGTGGCTCACACCTGTAATCCCAGCACACTGGGAGGCTGAGGCCAGAAAATCACATGAGGCCAGGAGTTTGAGACCAGCCTGGGTAATACAGAGAGACCCAGTCTCTACAAAAAATTTAAAAAATTAGCCGGCGTGAGACCAGGCACGGTGGCTCATGCCTGTAATCCCAGCACTTTGAGAGGCCGAGGCGGGCGGATCATGAGGTCAGGAGATCGAGACCATTGGCTAACACGGTGAAACCCCGTCTCTACTAAAAAAAAAAAACAAAACAAAAAAATTAGCCAGGCAAAGTGGCGGGCTCCTGTGGTCCCAGCTACTCAGAAGGCTGAGGTAGGAGAATGGCGTGAACCTGGGAGGCAGAGCTTGCAGTGAGCCAAGATCACACCACTGCACTCCAGCCTGGGCGACAGAGCAAGACTCCGTCTCAAAAAAAACAAAAACAAACAAACAACAACAAAAAATTAGCCGGTGTGGTGGCATGCACCTGTAGTCCCAGTTACTCTGGAGGCCAAGGCAAGAGGATCACTTGAGCCCAGAGGACACTAGACACGCATAGGGTAACTATTGTTTCACCAAATAATTCAGATATGCGCGCACACACACATACACACACACACACACACACACCAGGTTACCAGGTTGCAGTCTATGTTTTACAATAGGTCACAGTCAAAAACATGGGAGAAGCCACCATACTCCACCACACAATAAATGCTTAATAAAATTTGGTAGCATCATCATTCTTATCTCACTCTAAAAGGTAATACGTTCATTTTCTTCATTAGCATTTATTATCACAATAAAATAGAGCTTCTAACACATTTATCAATGCTGCCACTCACTGCAGTGCTGTTTAAGAGTCATTGCACCTCCCTAAATTAACTTGCCAATTCTCTCGCCTCAAAAGGACTCAGGCAATCATTTAAATAATTTCTGACTCACAAAGCTGGCCAAGGATTAGCGAGGCCCTGCCCAGCCCAGAACACATGAAATGTGAGTGATTTGTTAAGAAAACCATTTGAGTTTGCAAGACTGCACAGGGCTTTTATAAAACTAAAGCCATGCTGGAGAGAAACAGTCCTCCCCACCCCCTTGGGAGATGTGTCATAGAGATAGGTCACACAAGGTCAGCCAAGCTGTACCTTCTGAGACTGGGCAGGAACTGAAGCGCCAAACCTCAACTGTGTAACGTGCTTCCTTGTTTTGGGGTTAGGTTATATCATTGTGTTTTTCCCCTAACTTTCCATGTGCACACACACGCACACACCCCCCTCACTAAAGGATGGAAACAAAATCCCTATGAACTGCCGGTTCCAACAACTTAAATAAGGGAATCTGCTAAGGCAAAAGATCTGATTTTTTTTTTTTTTTTTTCTGAGACCGAGTCTCGCTGTATCACCCAAGCTGGAGTGCTATGACGTGATCTTGGCTCACCGTAACCTCTGCCTCCCAGGTTCAAGCAATTCTCTGCCTCAGCCTCTCTCTAGTAACTGGGATTACAGGCACTCACCACCACGTCTGGATAATTTTTGTATTTTTAGCAGAGACGGGGTTTCACCATCTTGGCCAGGCTGGTCTTGAACTCCTGACCTCGTGATCCACTTGCCTCAGCCTCCCAAAGTGCTAGGATTACAGGCGTGAGCCACCACGCCTGGCCTAGATCTGAGATTTTGAAGACCTCAAAACATATATTCTATTGCATGTAAGTTTCTCTTCTCCCAGAAACAAACTAAAAACACAGTCCAAATTCATGCTTTTTTAAATTGCTTTTTTGAAACAACTGCAATAAATAACTCTAATCTCTGTCTCTCAAACACACACACACACACACACACACACACACACACATTGTTTGTTTAAAATGAGAGCTCCTCACCCCAGATGAGTTGAGGTATGAATGGATTTGAAGTTTCAAATGTAGTTTCCCAGGTTGTTCTTTAAGTTTAGAAAACAAGGTTCCAAGTGATACAAATATAGGCACTCCATTTTTTATTATTTCTTTCTTGAAAATAAAATCATGTATTTGTGCTGTGCCAAAGCATTACATCTGGAACACATAAGTACATGTCAGGGTGTAAACTAAGCTTTTTTTTTTCTTTTGAGACAGGGTCTTGCTCTGTCGCCAAGCTGGAGTGCATTAGTGTGAGCACAGCTCATTGCAGCGTCAAACAACGGGGCTCAAGCTATCCTCCCACCTTAGCCTTCCAAGTATGTGGGACTACAGACATGTGCCGTCACACCCAACTAATTTTTAATTGTTTTATAGAAATAGAGTCTCGCTTTGCTGCCCAGGCGGGTCTCAAACTCCTAGCCTGAGGCAATGCTCCCACTTCAACCTCCCAAAGTGCTGGGATTACAGGCATGAGCCACTGCGCCTGGCCTAAACTAAACTTTTAATATGTGATATTACTCCCTTTTTATTTTTATTCCATTCTTCAAACTATGATGTGAGTGAATTGGGGGTGAGGGGCTAAGATTGTTTTAGCAGCAGAACTCTTTCCTCAAATGAAATTGTACCCCTTTGCCCAACAGATAAAACAAGATAAAATGGAGCCTGGCTTCAATTCTCCTATCACCACCTGGTGCCTCCAGGGCTGTGGGGTCTCCCAGTTCCCACCACACTTCTCCAGGCATGAAGCAAGGGGTTATGGGAGTATCTTAGAGATCTCCATCCCATCCTTAGCATGAAGGAAAGCCAGATCTGTCATATGTGTGTCCAGGTGCCAGATGCACTCCCATTTCACAAATTCAGGAGTTAAATGTCTTACCCAAGCCTTAAATTAGACACTACAGTATACTGTGTTACTTTCTTCAAAAAGGAAAGAGACATTTACATCGCTGGAGTTTTGTCTGTGCAGTTTGATGGATGGGTCTCAGAGTGCCTACTCAGCAGACTCAATGACTAGGGAAGCTGAGTGAGCAGTGCCACCAGCAAAAAGGAATTTAGGTTCCACAGTTAATATTGTTAAGATGGCAAAACTCCCCAAGTGATCTACAGAGTCAATGTAACCCCTGTCAAAATCTCAGGTCTCTTTTTGCAGAAACTAACAAGCTGATCCTAAAATTCATAGGGAGATCCAGAACAGCCAAAATAATCTAGAAAAAGAAGGTCAGGCTGGGCACAGTGGCTAACACCTATAATCCCAGCACTTTGGCAGGCCAAGGTGGGAGGACTACTTGAGCCCAGGAGTTTGAGACCAGCCTGGGTAACACAGCCAGACCCAGTCTCTACCAAAAATAAATAAATAAAAATTAAAAATTAGCTGGGTATGGTTGCACACATCTGTAGTCCCAGCTACTTGGGAGGCTGAGGTGGGAGGATTGCTTGAGCCCAGGAGGTCGAGGCTACAGTGAGCAGTGATCATGCCACTGCACTTCAGCCTGGGTGACAGAGCAAGACTCTGTCACAAAAAAAAAAAAAAAAGAAAGAAAGAAAGAAAAAAGAAAAAGAAGGACAAAGTTGGAGGATTCATACTTCCTGATTTCAAAACTTACTACAAAGCTATAGTAGTCAAGACAGTATAGACAGCAATACTGGCATAAGGATAGACATATAGATGAATGGACTAGAATTGAGAATGCAGAAATAAATGCTTACATTTATAGTAAATTGATTTTTGACAAGAGTGTCAAAACAATTTAATGGGGAAGAAGAGTCTTTTCAACACATGGTTCTGGGACAACAGGATTTCCATATGCAAAAAATGAAGCTAGACCCCTACCTCACACCACATACAAACATCAAATCAAAACAGATCAAAGTTCTAAATCTAAGAGCTAAAACTATAAAACTCTTATAAGAATATATAGGCATATGGCTGGGCGTGGTGGCTCATGCCTGTAATCCCAGCACTTTGGGAGGCTAAGGTGGGCAGATCATGAGGTCAGGAGTTCCAGACCAGCCTGGCCAACATGGTGAAACCCCGTCTCTACTAAAAATACAAAAATCAGCTGGGTGTGATGATGCACACCTGTAGTCCCAGCTACTTGAGAGGCTGAGGCAGGAGAATCATTTGAAACCGGAAGGTGGAGGTTGTAGTGAGCCGAGATCATGCCACTATACTCCAGCCTGGGTGAAAGAGCAAAACTCCATCTCAAAAAAAAAAAAAAAAATATGCCTTAGGCATAAGTTTTCATGACCTTGCATCAGGCAAAGGTTTCTTACGTATGACACCAAAAGCACAGGAAACCCAAGAAAAATAGATAAATTGAACTTCACCAAAATTAAAACCTGGCACTTCAAAGAACACCATCAAGAAAGTGAAAAAATAACCCACAGAATGGGCAAAAAATACTTTAAAATCATAGCTGATAAGGAACTGAACTCAGAATATATAAAGAACACTTACAACTCAATAATAAAGAGACATATAATCCAATTTAAAAATAGATAAAAGACCAAATATACATTTCTCCAAAGAAGATACACAAATGGCCAATAAGCACATGAAAGAAGGCACAACATCATTAGCCATCTGGGAAATGCAAATCAAAGTCACAATGAGATGCCACTTCATACCCACTTAGGATGGCAATAATCACAAGATGGATAATAACAAGAGTTGATGAAGATGTGGAGAAACTGGAACCCTCGTGCACTGCTGGTGGGATTTTAAAACAGTGCAGCCACTTTGGAAACAGTTTGGCAGTTCCTCAAAATGTTAAGAGTTACCATATACCTAGCAATTCCACTGCTAGATATATATTCAAGAGAAATAAAACCATATGTCCACAGAAGTTTGTATATTCTTCCCTGAGGAATGGAAGAGCCAGGGCAGGTAAAAGAGAGGAGAAATGTATACGGTCAAAGAAAACACTCTTGGACATAACTAAATGGGAAAACATTAGTTGTTAGCACTGTCCAGGCCAAATAAAGAATTAAAAAAAAAAAAATAGGCCAGGTGCGGTGGCTCATGTCCGTAATCCCAGCACTTCAGGAGGCCGAGGTGGGAGGATTGCTTGAGCTCAGGGGTTCAAGACCAGCCTGGGCAACATGGCAAAACCCTGTCTCTACTAAAAATACAAAAAATTAGCCAGGCGTGGTGGCACATGCCTGTAGTCCCAGCTACTAGGGAGGCTGAGGCATGAGAATCACGTGAACCCGGGGGGCAGAGGTTGCAGTGAGCTGAGATACCACCCTGGGCAACAGAACGAGACTCTGTCAAAAAAAAAAAAAAAAAGAATAAAAATAAATAAAAACAAGCCAGGCGTGGTGGCTCACTCCTGTAATCCCAGCACTTTGGGAGGCCAAGGCGGGTGGATCACGAGGTCAGGAGTTCAAGACCAGCCTGGCCAAGATGGTGAAACCCCATCTCTACTAAAAAATACAAAAATTAGCAAGGCGCAGTGGCAGGCGCCTGTAATCCCAGCTACTCGGGAGGCTGAAGCAGGAGAATCACTTGAACCTGGGTGGCAGAGGTTGCAGTGAGCCAAGGTCATGCCAGTGCACTCCAGCCTGGGTGACAGAGTGAGACTCTGTCTCAAAATAAATAAATAAAAGAAAAAACATTAGTTGGTAAGCAATACATACAAAATGAGCCCATTATGTTGGTTTTCAAAGATACTCACAGGTACCCATGCCTGTGTGAGTAAACAAAAGCAAGAGAAATCTATGCCCAGTTGATCACAAACATTCTCTCTGGAAGCAAGCTTGGGATGGGGAAGGTGGAATTTTATTTTTTACTTTTTTTTTTAATATCTCAGCATATTATACCTGTAATTACTTTTAACTCTACAACTTCTGATATGTTTACGTTTATGTTCAATAAGAATATAATCAGGATTTCTTATTTATGTTTCTAGCCAAAAGGGAAGGAAAGAGAGAGAAAGCCACTGGAGTTGGGCAGCGTGGGAAGCTGTGAAAGTGGACAAGCGTGAAAGAGCTTCCAAGTAGTGGAAACAGCAGAAGCAAAGATGTGAACATGGGAAAACCTCTGCAGTATCTGGGTGACTGTGGGGTTTGGCTCTGTTTGAGCACCCCGGGATGATTGGTGGTGGGGTGTGGCTGAAGGTGAATTGGAACAGTGCACTCAGAGCCAGGTTGCAAGAGTGCTGCATGCTCCTCAGGGATTGGCTCCGGCCAAGTGCCCCAGCCTCCTTTTCTGGAGAATTCTGTTTTTGACTTGGGCCCCATGTCCAGTTCTGCTCTGACTTGTGGGTCCACCTTAGAAAAGTCAGGAGACACCTGGGAAATGAAGGCACTAGACTCTTCCAGACTCGTTCCATGGCCACCCAGAGGCCTTGGGTCATCCACCCAACATCCCAACAAACCCCACTGTGCACTGGCATCATGCCAGGGTCCAGGTGTCCTGCCAGGAGCAGCCTCTGCCCTCCCAGAGCTGACATTTCAGGGGGATGTGTGCCAAAGTGAGACCTGTCAGAGATATTTACAAGCAGCCATCTCTCTTGACATCGCTGTATCCCAAATAAATCTTCTGGGAAGACCCTCTTCACCTCCAGCTCTCCTGATACAGCAAGGCAGTTGTGAGCAAGTTATTCATAACTCTACACCTCAATTTCTTGGTATGGAAGATGGGGATAATGAGAGGACCACAGGATGGTTGTGGAGACTGTGTGAGGATATAGATGCCGAGCCCAGTAGCACAGGGTGCAGCCGTTCAAACCAACTGACATTTACTGAGGGCTGCTTTGTCAGGTCCCTCTCTACAGTATACTCCAACACACACATACACACACATCTGTAATCAATAATAATCCTGCAACATCTGAGAGTCTGGCAGCTGTTTGTCTGGGCCTTTGCACATGCTATGCCCTCCCTTCCATCCCCCACCCCCACCAGGGGTGACTCGTAGCCATCCCTTTCTGCATCTTCTTAGATATCACTTTTTCCAAGAAGCCTCCCTGTCACACTTCCCCAATATCACAGATGAAGAAATCAAGATTCAGAAAGGTTAAGTTACTGGCACAAGGTCACACAATCCAGATCTCATACTCTTAGCCCCCGGGGAACCTTCACTGTATTAAATGACATCAATTGATCAATCAATCGATCAATCAATGAAAGAGTGGGAGGCATGCATCTCCTGATCCCCGATCCTATACATTTTCATCTCTTTATTGTTTCTATCAAAGCCTGCTAAGTAATTACTTTCCCTCTGGGTAAGTGCCACTAGGTGATGAGGTGAGGTAATCAAATGACATAGAAGAGGAAGGAGTCCACTGCCAGGGTAGGTGCAGTGGAGCAAGTCTTACAATGTGCAGGATTATAACTCCAGCAATGACCCCTAGGCTCATGCTCATTCCCCAGGTGGCAGTTTCAGAACACATTGCTCAGGTCTCACCCTGTAAATGTAGGTACCAGCCTTCTAGTTGACCATCAGAACACACAACGCCAAGATCTTACTCCAGCCACCTGCCAGGACCTGGAGGGCAGGAGGAGAGTTCTGCCTACATTGTCTCATTTTCCCTCCCCTTCTGCAGTGAGATAGACCATGTCCAGTGCTCAGGAGTTGACTGGCCACACTGGGGAGTTTGACCACAACATTGGGCTCCATATGCATGGAATGAGGTTGCATGCAATTGTCCATGAGGCTGCTCCCTCATTTGTCTGGGTTTCTGCTCCAATGCTATCTCCTCAGAAAGACCTTCTCTGACTGAAGCCAGCTCTGCCTCCATCCCATCACTCTGGATCTCCTTCCCCAGCTTCATCTCCATTACACTGGCCACTCTCCCTCACATCTTATTACTGATCTAGTTGTCTACTGTCCATCTCCACCACTGGGATGTAAACTCCACAAGGGAGGAATGCTGTCAGTTTCTTTGACTGCTGTGTGGTCAGTACCAGGGCAATGCCTCGCACAGAGTAGCCCTCTCTCCCTAAATGTTTTTGAATAAATGAAATAAATGAGCTAAGTGGCTAAGACATGTGTAAATACAACCTCAATTAGGAACAGTCTTGCCAGTCCTCTTTTTTTTTCTTCTTTTTTTAAGAAAAAAAAAAAAATGGGCCCGGCATGGTGGCTCATGCCTGTAATCCCAGCACTTTGGGAGGCCAAGGCAGATGATCACTTGAGCTCAGGTATTCAAGACCAGCCTGGGCAACATGGTGAAACCCCATCTCTACAAAAAATACATAAATTAGCTAGGCATGGTGGTGCATGCCCATAGTCCCAGTTACTCAGGAGGCTGAGGTGGGAGGATTGCTTGAGCCTGAGAGGCAGATGTTGCAGTGAGCCAAGATCACGCCACTGCATGCCAGCCTGGGCAAGAAAGCAAGACCCTATCTCTAAAAAAGAAAAAAGAAAAAGAAATGTGTACCCATTTTCATAACTGAATAAACAATTTTCATCAAAGTAAAGAAGAAAGCAAAGCTTGTCACCAAACCTCTCCACAGCAGACCTCACTCCACCCATCATGCTGATACTATCCCATGAAGAAACTGACTCAATAGATTAGAATTATATATTAAAAAACTTATTTTCAGTTGACTTTCAACCTGTGCAAGCGAAGTGATATGAATTAAAGAATATTTGTACAAACCATTAAGAAAATGGGTCCAAGGATTAATTTTCTTTTAAATATAGCTAGGGTTGCTTTAATAAATTGATTAAGGAATGATACAGAAAAATCCAGGAAAAGAACAAAAGAGAGACAGCCCCTACCCACCCCCACCTCCAACCCAATGAGTTACAGGAGCCTGAACAATACATAACTTGGCCTTGAAGGGTTACTAAACTATGGCAATGGCCTTTCTGCTTCATGCTTCTTTGCCTCAGACCCCCTCTGGTGAGACATGACTGGGCAGCATACTAAGTTCTGGTCAGGGGCTCAGGGACCTTAGTTATGGCAGAGAACTTTAGAGATGGATATTGATGAATGCAGGATAGTCAGAACACGAAGCAGACCATAAGGACTAGAATGATAGCATGCAGGAGGCCACATCTCGTCCTCAACAGTGTGGTACAGGGACTACATCTGGTTCTCTGCCCCCTCTCCTCCAATGGTTCTCTGTCCCCTCTCCTCCAGTGGAACAGGCTATTGCAGGAGATGACAAGTTCCCTGTGCCTAGAGGATTCAAGCTTAGGTTAAACAGTAACTAGGAAGAGGTGTTGCAGAGGTGATTTAATCTGGAGGTGAAAGTATGCTACATTAATGGTCACTTTCAACCCTGAGCTCCTGACAAGCAACCAGTTCCTTTGCATTTCACTACTCTCTAGACTCACCTCACTTCAGTCAATGGGTGTTCATTCACTCAGGACAGTTATTGTGCACCCGCTGTATGCCATGGAGCAGGAGTCAGTAGTCAACAGGACAACACACCTCTGTCCTCTTGAATCCTACATTCTCCTTGGTGGATGCACACAATAAACCTATAAATCAATGTATGAATAAGATCATCCCGGGCAAGCTCTATGAATAAAATACAAGAAAGAGTGTGATAGAAACTAATGGGGGAGGGGCTGCTTTGGACAGAGTGGTCAGAAAAACCATCTGTACAGGGGAGACATCTGAGCAAAATGGCAAGAAAGTGCCTGGCATGGAAGAAGTGATGCTAGGTTGAGGGAACAGCGTGTGCAAAGGCCCTGAGAAGTCTTCTGAAAACTTGAACTCAAATGTTCATGAATTGCATCCCAGCCTAAAGGTCTCACCACAGGCCAACAGTCCCTAACCTCACAGCCTGCCTCTCTTTCCCCTAATTGACCAAGTCAAGGCTGACCTGTATTGCCCACTGAAAAGTGTGTTCTGGGAGGGGGCACAAAGGGCAGCCCCCAGTTTGTAGGGAATTGAGATGTAACGGGGCAAGAACCTCCACTTTCCTACCAGAAGTTCAGAGTCCACTTTTCTGGGGCACAGGCCTCATGGAAAATACAATGTAAGGGGAAACCTCTGGAAAAATAACTGTGCTTCAAGTGCCTCGTGTAGATTTCAGGACGTTCAGTGGGGCTCCAGGTTCAGAGCTCTTATCTGTGGAGATTCAGAAGACAGAAACTAAATTGCCAAGAAGAAAGATACCAAATGGGTGCAGACCAGGAAAACTCTACAGATGGAGGGGGCAATCTGCTAGAAATGAATGAATGTGGGAGAAGGTGACAAGATCAGGTCCCTGGACCCTTAAATAGACTCCCACACTCACAGAGACTAGACAATGTCAGACTGTCAGGAGACCCAAGGCTTAAAAGAATCAAGTGAAATCTACCCACCCTCCCCCCAACCAAGAGGCAAACATTCAATCACACCCCAGAGCTTCCAGAGAAGGTCCAAGACCCCATTTCCCAACAGTGTCCTTGACAAAGTTCATCTCTAATCCCACATTCTGAGATATACTTTGCACAAGGCTAGTTAGCCATAGGAGGTGTTACAGCAAAGCTCAAATTTCCCAGTGCGGAAGGGAACACCATGGCTACTGTGTAAGCACCACCAGCTCCTTACCAGAATAAGGGGAAGGAGCAACTGCCTGCACACCCACCTCATTGAGAAGCTAGGGCTGTGCACGCGCTGTTAGATGTCAGTGATAATAATCACAAGAGCAGCTAACACAGAGGATTTACCCTGCCCCAGTCAGTATTTTAAGCACTTTATCCCTATACAACTCTTTAAGGTTTGTACTGTTATCATCCCCACTTTACAGATGAGAAAACTGAGGCATAGGTAAGCGAAGTAACTTGCCTAGGACTACACAGCTAAGACAAAGACCTAGCAAAGCTCCCCTTCTCCACACCCCAGGGAAGAAAGTGGTTATACCTGGGTAGTGCATGGAACGCTTAAAAATAAGTTTCTACCGGTACATTCAGGGCAACTACCGTCTGGCAGTTCTCGCGTCCTCGCCCAGTGCGGGAAGCAAGCCTGGGCCAGGCAATAAATCCAGCAAGCCGAGTCCTCTAAGAACAAGGCGCTCTGTTTCCGCAACATTCAAGCCCGTGATGGGGCTGCTGATAGTGCAAGAGCAGCTCTCCACCACCGCAAAGCCCAAGGGAACCCGTTTCCACTCGGCTCAATCAGCTTCCAGCCTCAGAAAACGCTCACCCGTCTCTGGCTGCGAGGCACCCACGCTGACCTTAACCCCTTGGCGTCCTCCACCCTGGTGTCCTATCTCGGGATTTTCTGGCTGCTCGGTTTACAAGATGCAGCCGCCGGGACAAGGGCCTCAGGCAGGCTGGGACGGCGCCCGCCGCCCGGAGCGCCCTGAGCCCGGCTCCCCCGCCGCGAAGTGACCCGCGGCCCTGTGAGCCGCCACCAGCAGCGCCCGACGCGACGCTGACCTGCGGGTGCCCCGCGGGGCTGGAGAAGAAAGTTGAGCGAAAGGGGCGCGTCCCAGGACAGGTGGCACCTCCCTCCCCGGAAGTGGCTCCGGGAATTTTCGCTCAAGGGGCTACCCGGGGAACAGAGTCAGGGTCCCCAGCAGGAGCGACGGCTAGTCGAGGCTGGCGGTGGCACTGCCCACCTGCGCTGCGCCCAGTGCGCCCCCGTGCGCTGGGCATACCCCAGACCAGGGAGCGCTCAGGGCCCGCCGGGGACGCCGAGACCTAGCAGGGTAACTCGGAGGTGGGAGTGGGGGTCCAGCTCGGGGACCAGGGCAAAGGAGGGACTAGACCGGAAGACGGTCTCACTCCGGGAGACCTAGCGGGGGTGTCCCGCCAAAGGGGTGTCTAGCCGGGGAGGGTCTAGCGCGGGAGCGGGTTTCCCGACTGCTTCCCGCACTCACCTCGACCCCCGCGCTGGTTCGGCCTCTCCAGGCTGGAAAACTCACCGCGGCGGCGGCGGCTGCGGCGGCGGCTCCCCTGGGCTGGGCGGGGCCGGGGGCGGGGAGGCCGGGCCGGCCACGTGGGCGGGAGGCGGGCCGGGGACCCCCGCGGGCGCCGGAGCCGGGCGACGCAGGACTTGGACGTGGCCACGCCCGGCCACCGCTCGACACCCCAGCTCCCCATGCACGGCCTAGGTCTACAGGGAGGCTAGAAAGAGGAGAGCGGAGGCCCCAGGACATCCCTCCCCCGCCGCCACCTAAATCAGACTCAGGCGGAGAGAATTGACCGAGTCGGAGGAGGGGTAAACAGCCCTGCCCCTCGCTCCCACTGTCCCGCCAGAGAACGCGCCGCGGAAACCCCGAGGGCGGGTCAAGGGCCAGGTACCCGAGTGGGAGTGGACTCTCGTGCCGGGGTGGTAGGGGCTACCCTAGCGGTCCAGGGCCAGAGCCTGCACGCGGCGCCCCCACCCCCACCGCTGGGCTGATCTTGGGTGTGTCAGATCTTGCCCAAGCCTCACTTTCCTCCACGGTGGAGGTGAGAATGAGGACGAGCCTGGAGCTGCGTGAACCCCGGCGCCCAGCAAGCTCTCAGGAATCGCCGGCCTGTAGGTGGACGCAGAGCCTGAAAGTGAGGGGCCTGGGTCGTGCATACGGAAATAAATATGGGACTCTAAATAAAGCGAGTTTCTGCAGGCATTCATTCATTCAACAGATGAACGCCTACGGTCTTCACCACCTCTTAAAATCAGAAATAAAGAATGCCCCAGACTGTAGTTACTGGGCTCAAGAAAGTGTAAACTCTGATGCTAAAAATAAAAAATTCATCGGTTCCCCCCATGTGCCAGCGGTGCATTTTAGGTGCTTGATCGAAGTTAACATTAACGACAGCCTTTAAGGTGGAGGGCCTGTGCGGGCCCGCTTCTCAAATGAAGAAATCGAAGCTTAGCAAGGTGAAGCCAGCCCCCAGAGCCAGAGGATCACAGTCTGGCCCCTGTTTACAGAGGAAAGAGCATCAGCCCAAAGTACTAAGACTCTTGCGCAGGTGCAGGAAGGGTGTGAGGGTTGAGAGCTCCCTGGGAGACCACCTGTAGTGACAGCAGCAGCTGGGATGCAGATCTTCCAGACTTACTTCACAGCAACCTCTGCCTTCTGTTGCAAGTGCTCAGCCTTGCAGTGCTGGGTGGCCTCTTCCTGGCCTGCAGCCCACCTTTTGGGCCAGAAACTGGGCATCTTGAGCAAACCAACTTCTGTTCCAACAGCTGCAACTTCATCCCACTACAGCTTCTGGGGGTTCCTTGACCCCAGACTCAATGCGTTATGACCCACCAGTTTCCTATTCAGGGAACACACTCTCTCCAGTACTCCGTTTCCAAGGACAACTCCTGTGTCCAGACCCCTAGTCCTCAACCTTTTCCCCAAGAACCCTTTTGTCATTCTCCTTCCTCCCTAAAGCAGAAGATCCCTACGACAACCAGGCGTGTTTATCAAGTAATTACATTTACTAAGCAAAGGGCTTCTCCTCTCTCTGAAGAGCCTGCTCCCTCATCTGAGCCCAGCAGTCCCTTCAGATCCGCCAGCCAACACCTGGTGTTCTACCCAGGCAAGCTTGTCAAAGAGAAAAGTTTTCTTTGCATGAGATTCAATTTAACAATTATTTGAGCATCTACTACATGCCACACACTGTGCTAGGCTCTGGGGACAGTAGTGACTGGATACCAAGATAGACACTATCCCTGACCTTATGGAGCTTATGAGCTGATGAGGGAGATAGTCGACTGACCCCTCACCAGGCAGCAAGGGATCAGGATGTGGTGACAGACACCTGGAAGAAGTACTGGCCCAGGCAGAGCACAGGTCACACTGCTGGAAGTCCATGGACGGGGGAGGTAAGGGGAGAAAGAGGCTGGAGGGGCCTTGATGGACAAAGTGAGACATTAGACCTTGTCCACCGAAAGGTTCAGACAGAGACATGATGGGATGTGAGCTACAGTTTGAAGACATCACACTGGCTGCTGAGTGAAAGATGATGTGGCAAGTGAGTCTCCTATATACAGCCAAAGGCAATGTGCCTTTTTATTATTACTAAAGGCAAATGCCTTGACTTCCTCTGTTTTATAATTCAGGATTTCCGGAAAGCAGGACACATCTGCAAGTAGGATATTTAGATTAGCAACACAGCAATTTAACCCACAAGGTTTCTATGTGCAGCTCTCCCACCCTCTCCTATCCATGCTGTGCTTGGCCCTGAGGTGGGCTTAGGGTTGGGGAGGACTTCGTTCCTAGACTCAGACTGAGAGTCTGTGGGGGGAGAGGTGATACACCCAAAGACAGTCCTTTATGGGGTGAGAGAGAAGATAGGCAGGAAATGTGGATGTCTATCCACAAAGTTTGGAAACTGGTGAAGACTCCAGAAGCCTCTGATGGTCAGTCATCTCTTCTCCTTGAAATAGTCAGTTTATTCATAAGGGCCCGTTCTTAAGTTCAGTTCCCTCTCCCCAAACTACAAGACAGGATGAGAAGGCCATGTACGGTGGCTCACACCTGTAATCCCAGCACTTTGGGAGGCCAAAGTGGGAGGATCACTTGAAGCCAGGAGTTTAAGACCAGCCTGGGCAACAAAGTGAGATCCCTGTCTCTACCAAAAATTTAAAAATTAGCTCGGCGTGGTGGTGTGTTTCTGTAGTCCCAGCTACTCAGGAGGCTGAGGCAGGAGGATTGTTTGAACCCAGTTTGGGGTTGCAGTAAGCCATGATCACACCACTGTACTCCAACCCGGGCTAACAGAGAAACCTTATCTCAAAAAAAAAAAAAAAAAAAAAATCAGGCTAGGGTGGGATCAGGGCAGTTACTTAACAAAATCATCAATTGGGGAAGCCAGGGTTTCTGCAAGAAACCCCCACCTGGATGGGCAAAGGATGAGCTGTGACTGACACCAGGCAGAAAAGCAATGGAGAGGGGCCAGGGCAAGGGGCTGGGTAGCACCTTCAGGGAAAGCAGCCGCAGGAGAAGGCACAACCAGGGTCAAGGGTGGGACTCTGAGATGACTGGCCCCAGCCACCTAGTAACCACTGGGTACCTTGAACACTTGCTGAGTGTCTGTTGTGTGTAACCTTACATTTAAAACCCTCTGCTTATGTAACACTACTCACTGTAAAGCAATATAGAAAATAGCAGAGGTACAAAGAATAAGAAAACCCACCCACAATCACACCATCCAGCAGTAACCACTGTTAATCTGTGTCCTTTATTTTTCATTTAACATATTGTGAATGCTTTCCTTTGTCGTGAAATATTCTCCCACAACATGATTGCTAAAGGCCATTTGGTCCATTGTATGCATGTGCCCTCTTATAATCAATTCCGACTGGTACTTGGTTTGTTCCTCATTTCTCGTTATCAGGATAATGCTTAGTAATGAATTTTTTGTTTGTTTGTTTTTTGAGGCAGAACCTCACTCTGTTGCGCAGGCTGGAATACAGTGATGTGATCTCACTGCAACCTTCACCTCCCAGGTTCAAGTGATTCTCGTGCCTCAGCTTCCCGAGTAGCTGGAATCACAGGCACCCACCACCATGCCCAGCTAATTTTTTTTTTTAATTAGAAATGGGGTTTTGCCATGTTGGCCAGGCTGGTCTCAAACTCCTGGCCTCAAGTGATCCACCCACCTTGGCCTCCCAAAGCGGGGATTACAGGTGTGAGCCACCACTTCCGGCCTGAAAATCTTTTTTTTTTTTTTTTTTTTTTTTTTTTTTTTTTTTTTTTTGAGGCAGGGTCTCGGTGTCTTGCCCAGGCTGGAGTGCAGTGGCACAATCTCAGCTCAGTACAACCTTGACCTCCCAGGCTCAAGTGATCCTCTCACCTCAGTCTCCCAAGTAGCTGGGACTACAGGCGTGCACCACCATACCCAGCTAATTTTTGTATTTTTTTGTAGAGACAGGTTCTCACTATGTTGCCAAAGCTGGTCACCAACTCCTAAACTCAAGCAATCTACCCGCCTCAGCCTCCCAAAGTGCTGGGATTATAGGCATGAGCCACCATATCCAGCCTCAAAAATCTTTGCACAACAAATGTAAGCACGCATTTTTAGTTACTTACTAAAGATAAAACCCCAGAAGTGGAATTACTGGAAGAGACATTTAACTCTCTGCCTGTAGCAATGCACTGTATAGATGCTCCCCCTCCCCCACTTTTTGGCATTTGAAAGGTGTGCCGTGTCCGGTTGCAGTCTTCACCCAGGGGATGGTGATGTGTCTGGGTATCGGTCTTTTTTTTTTTTTTGAGACAAGAGTCTCACTGTATCACCCAGGCTGCAGTGCAATGGCGCGATCTCGGCTCACTGCAGCCTCTGCCTCCCGGGCTCAAGTGATTCTCCTGCCTCAGCCTACTGAGTAGCTGGGATTACAGGCCCACGCCACCACACCCGGCTAATTTTTGTATTTTCAGTAGAGACGGGGTTTCACCATGTTGGTCAGGCTGGTTTCACACTCCTGACCTCGTGATCCGCCCGCCTCGGCCTTCCAAAGTGCTGGGATTACAGGTGTGAGTCACTGCGCCTGGCCTGGGTGTCAGTCTTATTGTTCAGGCCTAAGCAATGCTCTTCAAGTGCTACTAAAAGCCTTCTTTGGAAGCAAGTCCTTTCTGCTTTCATAATCTGGGTTAGAAAACCTGAGGAGCAAGGCTGAGCTGGGGAGTGGGAAGACAGAGAGAGGCTGTGGAGTGGGAAATACCTGAGTTCAAATACAACTTGAGCCCTGTCCTGAGGTGGGACATGGGCTCCAAAGTCCCTTTGGGAGGCTGAGGGGAGCTCAGGCACTATGCAATGCATGGCATAGTAGCAGGCATCCAACACACATTGGTAATTCTGATACGGCTCGTGTCGCTAACCAAACCTGTGTCTATAGCAAGCTATTATCCAGTCTGAGGACAGGAACCACAGGGTGTAAAACCTTGAGATAACAGAGCCTTGTGGGGGAAATACATAAAACAGCCCAGTCGTTCTCCACTCTGGGATCATGGTAAATGGATGGGAGCCATGTTCCAATTTGCAAAGTGAGGCACAGATGCAGTTTTCTCTTCTAGGGAGCCTTTTAAATTTACTAATAACTGTTATTTCTCAGCCGGGCACATGGCTCATGCCTGTAATCCTAGCGCTTTGAGAGGCCAAAGCAGGTAGATTGCTTGAGCCCAGGAGTTCAAGACCAGCCTGGGCAACATGGTGAAACCCCATCTCTACAAAAAAACACAAAAATCAGTGGGGCATGGTGGCGCAGGCCTATAGTCCCAGCTACTCAGGAGGCTAAAGTGGGAGGATCGCTTGAGCCTGGGAGGTTGAGGCTGTAGTGAGTGGATCTGCAGCTTGGGGTGACACAGTGAGACCCTGTTAAATAAATAATAAAAATAATAAAGAAAGAAAAGAAAAAAACACTATTATTCCCTATCTTGATGACAGCTAAAACAGATAGTAATGTTTTTGAGCACTTGTCATGTGCCAGGCACTGAGCGGGCTATCCCCTCCCATCCCCTGCTTTATCCTCACAACAACCCCATGAGGCAGGTACATTTTTTTACCTTCGTCTGACTGATGAGGAAACTGAGAACCAGGGAGATGAGGTGACTTGCCCCAGTGACTACTCAGTGGTAGGGTGGGGTGCAAGCTGGTTAAAGCAGTAAAACAAGAGTCCAGTCCAGATGGAAGGCCTCCGCAAGGGATACGGCCTCCCCTCATGAAGCAACATTCTAGTGAGCAAGAGGTTCCTGAAGACACATGTCAGGACCTAGACTAGAGGTGGACAGTAGACAGGGAAGGTCTCATTGCAAAGGAGGGATGGAGACTGAGAAAGGGTGATTCAGGTAGAAGAAACAGCACATGCAAAGAACCCGGGGCAGGAACACAGGAGTGAGGAATTTCAACAGTCTGGTATGATCAGAGAAAGAAGGGACACAGAGAGGAGAAGTCAGCAAGGCATCACATAAGAGATTCGGTATTCACTTCCAGGGCCACTAGTGGTTTTCAGCAGAAAGTGACATCTGATCAAGTACCCATCTCCCTTGAAGACCATTCCCAGCTGCCCTGTGGAACTGAGACCTCCAGGAGGCAGGGATTCCATTTCAGTTAGCTACGCCATCAGCTACCCAGGCCAGGGCCAAGGGAGACATTCAGGAGAAATCCCATTTCGTAACTGTACACCTCCTAACCTGCCCCCATGACTCATCCCTATAGGAACAGGGGCTTTCTGCGTGCCATCCTTTGTGCCCAGAATTTCACCCAGCCTCAAAATAGACCCATTAGGTACTGAATTATTAACTGTTTTTTTGTTTTGTTTTGTTGTTTTGAGACAGAGTTTTGCTCTGTCGCCCAGGCTGGAGTGCAGTGGTGCGATCTCGGCTCACTGCAACCTCCACTTCCCAGGCTCAAGTGATCCTCCCACCTCAGCCTCCTGAGTCGCTGAGACTACAGGCACATGCCACCATGCCCAGCTGATTTTTGTATTTTTAGTAGAGACGGGGTTTCAACATGTTGGCCAGGCTGGTCTCGAACTCCTGACCTCAGGTGATCCGCCCACCTCGGCCTCCCAAAGTGCTGGGGTTACAGGTATGAGCCACTGTGCCTGGCCCTATTATTAACTGTTTTCTAGATGGAGAAAATAAGTCCTAAACAGGGCAAGGCACCTGCTTAGGGAAACACAGAAAATGGCAAACTGAGATCTAAGTTCAAGATGCCTCAGACCAAAGCCTGCCTCAACTTTAATCACAATGCTAATTTTCATCTCATGAATAATAACACACAATTATACACAGGTGTGCAAGATACTGAAGCATATCTACCTCCAGAGATACAGAACCAAAGGCAGGACCTGACTGTATTTGCATTCAGCTGCCAGGCATGCTCCTGCCTTTCTTTTCTACAAGTTTCCTCTGGCCTGGCCTTGCCCAACCTGGTAGGAAGTCTATGGTTTGTTTTGAGGCTGATGTCTGCCCACTCCCCAGAATGTCTCTGACCAGCAAGAGTGAAAAAGACCAGGCAGAGCCATCTCATTCTGGAAGACTGTTATTTGATCTCCTCCCACCTCCCTCCACTAATTTCTAAAACTTGGGAAATTGCCCTGACCTTGTGCTGATGGTTTGAGAAACAACCCCTGCCTTTGTTCACATTCAGAGTGGAGAGTGGTCATCTGCCTGGCACAGAGACCTTACAGCAGCAAGTCCAGAAAAATGTATCTCTATCAGGATTAAATGGCAACCAGGAAAAAAGGAGTCTGGGGAATGGAACATCAGCAGATCTCAAGGTGCACAGTCAACTGTCACAGGCTATGTGTGGTCAGCTATTGGGAACCCCAGAGCTAATGTCTTAATTTTGCCAAATTAAGTTCCTCTTCAACCCTCACCTCTGCAACAGCCAGGCATGGACCCACCCTTTTCTTTTAGGGGATAGAAATGATACAACTTATCACCTGACAAAGCACTTGGCCTAAAGTTCCTTGTGGGCATGGAACTGTCTCCCACCCATCCCGATATGGCCCCCAAAAAGCCCAAGACCTGCTCTTCCATTATATAATTAATAGCTACTATTCACCAAGTACCTGGCATTTGCTGAGCACAGCCTTGGGTACTTTATATACTCCATCTCATTTAATCCTCACAATAACCCTTTGTGGTGAGTATTAGGCCCATCTTACAGATGAAGAAACTGAGTTTCAGAACACTTAGATGACTTGCCCTCAACTCTATACATAGGAAGAGGTGGAGTCAGGAGGGCAGGAGTACTGTGTACCATGTCCATCACTATGTCTGTTTCCCAGCACACACTTTGGAATTAACCCTGTTAAGGCAGTTGTAGCATGTATAAATGTGAAAGATGGTGCAAGGTCCCTTCCAGAAAGAGGCCAGGGAGCCAAGCTCACTGATCTTGCATTTCTTTTCTTTAATCCCAAGGGCCCCATTTGAATTTTCTCATTGCAAAAGTTCTTATGCCGTGTTTGTGTCCATCTCTCCCCTTCATTGCATCCTCTAACTTATCCTATTCTTGGGCCTCTTATGATTTCATTCCTTGTGGACAGTGAGGACAGAATATGCTGAGGGAGCAGTGGGAAACACATTTATTGGGGACCCACTGTGCCCAGGACTGCAAAGATAGATTTTATGTCTCCTCCCTCCTCCACCTGCTTAGCTTATCACCTGTAGTTCTTATTCAACTAAAGCAACAATTTTTTTTTTTTTTTTGTAGTTAGAGCCTGTAAGAGGAAGCTGGTCTTTGCTCCTCTAATACTGGTATTTCTAAAACAAAGCAAAGCCAGTGGCAGGGCCCCACAGATGTTGGGGACTGCAAGAACCCTAGGCAGCTGTAAAAACAGAGAGCTTTCTAATATCATGGTAAAAATGAGGGCTTCTCATGCTGTCCCAAGAGAACATTAATAGAAAGTACTAGCTGCAATGTTTTTTTTTTCTTTTTTAACTTTTTAATTTTAACTTAAAATTTTTTGAGACAGGATCTTGCTCTGTTGCCCAGGCTGCAGTGAAGTGGTGTGATCATATAGTTCACTGCAGCCTCAAACTCCTGGGCTCAAGTGATCCTTTCACCTCAGCCTCCTGAATACCTAGGACTACTAGCACACACCACCATGCCCAGCTAATTTTTAAATTTTTTTGTAAAGATGGGGTCTTGCTATGTTGCCCAGGCTGGTCTTAGACTTCTGGTCTGAAGTGATTCTCCTGTCTTGGCCTCCCAAAGTGCTGAGATTACAGGTGTAAGTCACCATGCCTGAACTATTTGTACTTTTTGAGGCCTCAGCCTGCTAAGTAGGTGAGTCTATAGGTGCGCACTGCCAAGCCCAGCTGTAACTTTTATTTTAATGAAAGAAAAGGAAAGAGAAATTCATGTATTGCAGTATCTGCCTAACGAGATCCATTTGCTTCAACTCTGAACCAGATTTACACTCAGAATTTGCAAGAGAAAGGAACCAAGTCACTCAAGATTCTTCCTTCCGCTTAAACTGTTACTGAGGGACAGAGCAGCCTATTGATCAGGAGTGGTGATGCTTCAATCAGACTTCAACTCCAGTGCTGCCAATTTCTTGTTTGTGCCCTTGGCAAAGCTATAGAATTTCTAGACATCAGAATCTCAAAATTGAGGCTGCTGATAGTACCCCCCATAGGGGGTCATGGTGAGAAAAAACATGAAGAGCACTAAGAGCAGGAACCAGCCCTACTGACATTCAGAGGTTGGCAATCATCACTTCCTCTCTGCCACTCATTTTACGGGAAAGCTCTCTATTGCCTTTGACCACACATTTTTGAGTCCATCCCTACCTGGCTGGCTTGACCTTTACCAAGGGGTTACCTGAGCAGTCTAGGTAGGGTTTGCCTCAGCTCATATCCTGGCTCTGCCACTAGCCAGCTATGGGATCACAAGTCAGTTATAGCCTCTCTGAGCCTCAGTTTCCTCATCTGTATAATGGGAACAGTACGATTGGCCACCTCACAGAGCAGCCGTGAAGATGAATGAGATGATGTGTGTAAAGCACTTAGCACTCCTGGAACTAAAAAGAATTGACAGAGTGTGGGGGAAAAGGAAATCAATGGGAGAAATGACAAGGAGCCTCCTGGGTGACTCTACCCAGGAGAAACGAAGGCTATGCGAAGGTCAGGAGGCAAGAATGTGTGAGAATTTCCTCCTCTCAGAAACAACAGTGCTTCCCTCAGAGCTGTTTTCTTTGAGGGGGTTTTGTTTTTTACCACTCCTTCTGTTTTCCTTGGGTTCCCCAGAGTAGGTTGTAGGCCCTGAGCACATTAACATCCCAGTGAAGTATGAGAAGGAACAAGTAAATAAGGAAGATCCAGTTTTTAAAATCTATTATGGTCCCAAGACCCCAAACTTAGACTATATCCTGCTCGGGCAATGGTCAAAAGCTTGTATTCTATGTCCTTGCTATTTGTTAACCCTCACTGTTCTCCTGTGGACACTGTCATTTACTGAGCATGGACTATGAGCCAGGAATGCGCAGGTGGCACTTTACATTCACCATGCAGTTTAATTCACTGCCCTCTAAAGTAGGACCTCTTTACGGGTGAGAGGCTGAGGGGCAGAGTCTGACAGTCACTGGGGCACAGCAACAGTAGCAGAGGCCAGGCATAGTGGCTCACACCTGTAGTCCCAGCACTTTGGGAGACTGAGACGGGAGGATCGCCTGAGCTCAGGAGCTCAAGAGCAGCCTGGGCAAATTAGGGAGAGCCTACCTCTTTAAAAAAAAAAAAAAAAAATTCAGCAGAGCTGGGACCTGACCCTGAAGGTGATGGACACCAAGAAGTTAACTCACAGAGCATGGGGGTCACAGGAGGGGAGGATGTCCATGGAAGACTGAGCAGGCATCTCTTTTTCTGAGTGACAAAAAAAATTTGCGTGCAGCCCCCAAATCTCAGTGGCTTTTTTCAAATTTCTAAAAAGAAAGTCCATTTGTTCTGAGAAGTCAAATTTCTTTCTGACATAAGTAACCCTGTTGCAACAGGGAAGCCTCCTGATGCCACACGGGTAATGGGCGACTGATTGCCTGTGGAGCCGAGCTGAAGGTCTAGGGCAGCAGGGTCCTGTTCTCTAAAGGGCAAGGAAGACTGGCCACCCCTGGCCTCCTCGTCCTGAGGCAGAGCCCTCTGAAAACTGGGCTGGGAACCCCAGACAGTCAGGAAACAAGAAAGATGTGCTGAAAAATGAGCCACTACAACCTTAAAACAAAACATTTTATTTAATGCAGAAATTCTAAGGTACAAAAACATTTTGTAAATGTCAGCTGTGATCTACTTTCACCTAGTTACAGAGTTATGTACAAATCAAGTCATTAACATTTTCAATGTCAAAAATACAGCACGCTGTTAAGAGTTCTGTCAGTGCTCATTATCCCACTAGATCCCACAAAGGGCAAACTCAAAGATGAAACAAAGGCAACGCCATCAATAACCACCATATTCCACAGGCTTTCTCCCCTAGGACGTACTAACAGGGAGTTTCCACAGGGAAAAATTCTCTTTTAAAAAATTAACAGTAAAAATAGGAGTTACTTACTATCTAGATGAACACAATTGGTTTTCACAAAAGCTTTTGCTGCTGTCTGGACTCACCATGCTTTTTTCTTGAGAGAAACATACCAAACTTTTTGTTGTTGTTGTTGAGACGGAGTTTCGCTCTTGTTGCCCAGGCTAGAGTGCAATGGCGTGATCTCAGCTCACTGCAACCTCTGCCTCCCGGATTCAAGCGATTCTCCTGCCTCAGCCTCTCGAGTAGCTGGGATTACAGGCACACACAACCACGCCTGATTAATTTTGTATTTTTAGTAGAGACAGGGTTTCACCATGTTGGTCAGGCTGGTCTTGAACTCTGGACCTCAGGTGATCCGCCCACCTTGGCCTCCCAAAATGCTGGGATTACAGGCGTGAGCCACCGTGCCCCGCCTGATACCAAACTTTTAAAACAACAGATGAGCACATTAGTGTAATCCAATGGCAATTTTTTGTCTAACAATTGGAGCAGCTAATTTTGTCTACATCATGTACAAATAGAAGATTGACTCTGAATCTTCCTGAAATTTTATAGGATATAAACATCAGATATGCAGTCATAACTGTTTGCTTTTGTGAGACTTCTGATTGTGCAAAACGCAGTGCTTGGTCAATTGAGAGCAGAACATAAACAAGATCCTGGAGGTGTCTATGGTCCAAGCTGAATTTTAAAGAACAAAAGGGCAAGAGGGAAGACAACTGGCCAAAATTCCCCAGACATCTTCACTGGGAGATTCAAATGTCTTTGCAAATTAGCCCTCAAACAGCAATGGGAAGGTGGTACTTAGCAACTACTGCTGTTACCACACCAGTGGTTAAACTGAAGTCTGTACCATTTAATATTGTGAGTCATGAAATAAAGGTGATATCTATAGAGATGTGTAAAAATAGGATCTAAAATTGGGAGGGAGGGGTAGCTGCCACTCAGAAGGTAAGAGCTGGTCTCAGAGTATACATCAGGAATAAGCACCAAGTGTTTGATCTCAGGAGGAAAACAAACACAAGTTATGATAGATGACTATCATCAGGGGAAAAATGTGGCAGTCAAATAATTCTCAATGAATATAGGTGACATATCATTTTGTGAAAGTGCCATTATATTTTTAAGTGGTAAGAGGAGCTGGGTGTGCAAGAATTTCCCCATAATCCCCATCCTGAGCCTCGTCTTCACAAGGCACCAATGTGAGTAAGGCACCAACATTGTTTGGGCAACTAAACTAAGTGTGAAGCTGAGAAACATTACAGCAGTGAAAATTATTAGGCCCCTGGAAAACAAGAGCCATGAAGAATGGTTTAAGTGGGTGGAATTATTTATCACTGAAATAAAAACACCAGGGGGATGACTTCACTGTGGTTTTTGAATACATGGAAGGTGACCAGCTGTTCTTTCTCCACTACAAGCCGAACAAAAGGAAGCTGGCTTGAATTTCTCTAAGACATACAAAGAACTATCTGATCAGCAGGGTAGGTTACAGAATCTCCTTCTTATAAAATAAAGAATACCATCTACAGCCATATGTCTGGAATAATTCAGGCACAGCCCTGTCTGACACCAGGGGGAGAATATGCTAGATAATCTAAACTCTCTCCTAGTCCCTAAACTCTGAAACTGGAATCAAAGCCACTGGCTTGCAGTCAGATTTCCTTTTGTCTATTTTCACTCTGAGCCTGGAAAGGAGGTGATATGGCAAGGATGACCCAACACCCCATTTGGACTCCTAACTGATATCTCAGTATCAGGAAAAGCTTTTCTCTGTATACTGTTTCACACCTCCAAAACACAGTCAATTCACAGACCACTTAAAACGGAAGATAATGCAAATACCTGGCTCTAATGGACGCTAGGAGGTTCCTTGCCTTACTCTCTACAACTGCCTGCTTTCCTAATCATGTCTTGGCCTATGCTCAGAATTGCACACCACCTGAAAAAAATTATGCCAAGAGCTAAAACTATAAACAAAGCCCTTTAGGTTGTGGAGTTTAAATGAAATTGTTAGGCCGGGCGCAGTGGCTCACGCCTGTAATCCCAGCACTTTGGGAGGCCGAGGCAAGCGGATCACCAGGTCAGGAGATCGAGATCATCCTGGCTAACACAGTGAAACCCCGTCTCTACTAAAAATACAAAAAAATTAGCCAGGCGTGGTGGTGGGCGCCTGTAGTCCCAGCTACTCAGGAGGCTGAGGCAGGAGAATGGCGTGAACCCGGGAGGTGGAGCTTGCAGTGAGCCGAGATCACGCCACTGCACTCCAGCCTGGGCAACAGAGCAAGACTCCATCTCAAAAAAAAAAAAATGAAATTGTTCCCAGCATTTTTTAAATTGAGAGAGCATAAATCTGATTCTGAAATTAACAACTGGCTTGCCTTTCTTTTAAGACACTGTGAAATGTAAAGACGCAATCAAGACATGTCCAGTGCATTCAGAATCACGTCAAATTTCTTTGCGGGGGAGACTGGAGAAAGAAGCAATCTAACTACTGGCTGCATTTAGCAAGAGCATTTTCTGGTGGCACCGTCTGTAATTACCATGAATGCCTTTCCTTCAAATCTTATAAAGCACAGGTTAACAAACTGGTAGTCAGTGGACCAAATCAGGTCCATCCATGTCTTCTGCTGGGTCTAAATTCACTTGAATTTTAACTTAGTTGCCAATATTTTTTAAAATCAGAATTTTTCATATAAAAATCCAGATTGTCAGCTTTTCTTGAAAAATGGGAAGATCAGGAAGTACTTCATGGCCACAGTCGACTGGAAAATTACCCACTGTGGGTGGAACAGGGGCGCTTCAGTTTGCCACAGTCCCCACCATTCCCTATTGCTGACACAGACAAAGTATATTAATTACCATTTATCATCACACTGCTGTTTTCCTTATACCTCACCTGCTATACTGGTGACCACTGAAGGTATAAGATCTGCTAAATAAGAGCAGTAGTAGTCTTCACCAATAGAAAATAAAAAAGACTAGTAACCTTCACATTGGCATTGCCCATTTCTCTTCAATAAAGACAGAAATAATATTTTCTCTCTTCTTCAGGGAGCCAAATTAGTGTTGAAGTTGGGGGGCCAGAGAGTTTTCTTTCTTTTGGGAGAAGGGTGTGTCATTTTTCCTCAAGGAATAAAATTGGTCCTCTTGCCCCTTATTTCTTTTAAAAGAAAAGATGCTCAACTCTGAAAAAAAGGCTCTGAAAATCATGTAACCCCACATTTTTTGAAGGACAGTCTTCCTGCTTATTTGCACTCAAGATACTATTATTTGCTCAAGATACTATTATCTGGCTGGGTCACCATCTGAATACCTGGGCCTGGACTGGAATGACTTCTGACTCTTTCTGGAGATCAATTGCCTCAAAGGCCCAAGACAGCCCTCTGGAGGAGCTTTGGCACCTTGTATGGCTGGGCTGAGTCTGTTGAGGTGGTCTCTGTTGAGGTGGTCTCTGTTGCTTGTAGCCAATCTCTGAGAAGGCACACCTTTACCTGAGCTTTAACCTCCTTGATCACTCTCCTGGCAAAGCTGATGACATCAGATGCTAAGTCCTTTCTGTAGCTCATTGGTAAGTTAAGATGAACAACTAGCACTCTACCTTCAGCTACCCGCAGGCTTCTTGGTTTTCCTGGAAACCTGGACTTATCCCTGGTCTCTTTTCTAGAGGACGTTGTCTAACCTATCTACACAAGCCTTTTACTCTCAGGATCAAGGCCTCTCATGGAGATCATCCTGTTTTCCATTTCTTGTTTCCATAATATCTAAAAGCCTGTGACTTGGCAGAACGTTTTTCTGAATTTCATCTTATATCCACCGTCTGGGACAATTTCTGAGTCAAAAAATGCAGCTTTGCTTAAAACAGATGTTTTGCCGTAATCTGCAGGGCAACGATTCCCATTTCTAGCATACTGGGGAGAGTAGAAAAAGTGAAACTAATTAAACAAAACTAGGAAGTTGGACTTCTCAATTTATTCTGAGGCAATCACACTATGGTTTCATTACTCGGTATATTAAGAGTTTGATTTTATTGATCAGAAACATTAGTATTTCAACATAAGTATCAAAACCCTAAATCCAAACTAAAACATCCCGATTTTTTAACTAGCACTCTCTTTTTCTCTTCCATTTTCTTAAGGAGTGAGTTCACATAGCAAGCTCTCTGCCCACACACCCTTGGAGCTCAGTTAATGCTTCTCCTCCCAGTCCTCCATTCTCTCCCTGGGGCCACTTTCTCAGAGATGCCTTATTTCATGAACAAAGCTGAATACCCTAAAAGCGACTCCTAATGGTTCCTCTGGGACAGGAAACATCTCTTGGCCTCAATAAGAAATCTCTCATCATGTTCCAAGTGAATTTTCGTATGTTAGCAAGTTTGGACTAACCAATCTCCTTCACAGAATGCCTAGGATGAAATGGCGGGGCAGTCATGTGTGGGTAGGAGCTCTGCACTCATTCCAGATTCCATAGGAACAACATAAAATGACTCTTCTCTGAGTTGCCTGTTGTTATGGGGAGGCAGTCTTGCAGCTCACTGTCTCTCCCTCAGAGCAGCTGCAAGAAACTTGATGCCAGAGAACAGACGAGCACGTTCTTTTCCCAAAAAGCTGCCAGCTGCCTTTACAGAGCAGTGAGTATGACATTTGCATCAGAAATATACACAAACCTTTTCTTTCCAGCAGGGGTGCAAGCCCCCCTTTCCCCACCTGCCATGCATGTGCTTGGAAGGGAAAGTCCTGCCCCATCCCACCTCCCACCTTGCCTCAGGATGTTTCT
Source organism: Homo sapiens (assembly GCF_000001405.40). Classification (NCBI taxonomy): domain Eukaryota; kingdom Metazoa; phylum Chordata; class Mammalia; order Primates; family Hominidae; genus Homo; species Homo sapiens. The sequence goes on from NC_000003.12 coordinate 57,095,067, forward strand.
CAACATACCCCTTCATGTTGGTCTTATCTGACGAAGAAGTGAAAACCACATTCCCTGGGCTGAATGCTGAGAAAACGGGTGCCAAAATCTAACAGCACCCATGAGAAAGGTAGTGAGAGATGTACACACCTGCTCTAAGGCACAGGGAGAAGGGTTTCCACAGGGGAGACCAAGACAGCATTCATTACACACATGCTAATCATCAGATGGGATGTGAACAATTGTTTTTTCTTTAGAAATAGAAACTCTGTAGAAAGTCATTCATAAAAATGGAACATTTACTTTTGTGACTATCACCTCCATTCTACCATCTTAAAAAGAGGTTTGTCATTAGTCAAAACCAGTTCAGCAGATTAACTGGCCATCACCTCCACACACTGCTGTATTTCAGTGAATTGTGATCCCTAATATTCAGGACACAGCTTTAGACCAGAAGGCCAACCAAAGCACGAACTGCAACTTCCAATAATACAGACCAGCTGGGTAGCAGTCTCTTAAGAATAAACTTCCAGACACCAACATCTGAGATACAGCACAGTAAATGTAACCCATGGAAACAGCAGGCAGATCTGGCCCCCACATGATGCCTACTCAGACCAAGAGGAGGCTGTGTGTGCTGAGGTCCTGGGGCCTTCTGCACGATGACCAACCTATCTCAAGTGGAACGGTCAAGACGGTCAGCCTGGCCCCGTGAGCTTCACCTCAATCAGTCATGCCACCCAGTAACACAGAGACTCATTTCATAAAAGGTGACTGTATATTCAGTCACTTTCTTGACTTTTGACTCAAAGCTTATTTAACACCCATGGCAATGTAAATTCTACATCAAAAATAAATGAGAACATTATCTGCAATACAACATGGATTCCAGATAGACTGGCACTTGATTTCTGTGGCTATGATGTTAAAAGTGCCTTTTTTCACAAAGCATTTCAAATCAAGGTAGCCAATAGCAAACAGGCAAAGTTTGCAGAGCTCAATGAAGTCTGAATGATTAGTGCAGGTATCTTCCTGTTTTTCTTTACATATTTCCTCCCTACCTCCCACAACAGGCTCTGATCCAAGGACTAACCAAATTTGGCAAGCTGTTGTCAGACCTTATGGACATGCCTTTCAGAGCTCCATATCATTTTAGAAAATTGGAGAGTTTGTCAAGATATCCGGTAAAGGGTTGGGGCAAGGGAGAACAAGTACTGGCCAGCATTTCACTCCAAATATCCTTGTATGAGACCTCAGCTCCAAGTGGGCCATGCAACCAGGGAGATGAGCTGGGGAATCAGAGGGAGGCAGCAGCTAAAGTGGCAATGCTTAGACTCTTTCGTTTTGTTACAAAGGGGCGACCGCGTGGAGTTCATCAGTGTAGCTGCGGCAACCAAGATCTGCTTTGCATGACCCAGAAGAGAGGAGCTTGGAAGGAAGGGCAGGAGGTTCCTCCTCACCTAAGGAGAGAAGAGAGTACAGAGTCACACTGTCATTGCATTTCACTGGGCTGGGCAGGTGCTCATGGCAGAATGTGACTGGATCTGGGTTTGGACTATGGGCTCTGTATAAACGAGGCAAGAATCCCAACCAACTCAAGATGGGGCACTCTCATCCTCCTAACAGGTTCTAGTTCCCTTAGTTGAGGAAGGAAGAGATATTTCTTAAAAGTCAAGCGTTTAGGCCGGGCGCAGTGGCTCACGCCTGTAATCCCAGCACTTTGGGAGGCCGAGGTTGAGGGATCACTTGAGGTCAGGAGTTTGAGACCAGCCTGGCCAACATGGTGAAACCCAATCTCTACTAAAGATACAAAAATTTAGCTGGGCATGGTGGCGCATGCTTGTAATCCCAGCTATTCGGGAGGCTGGGCAGAAGAATCGCTTGAACCCAGGAGGCAGAGGTTGCAGTGAGCTGAGATCATGCCATTGCAGCCTGGGCGACAGGGTGAGACTCCATCTCAAAAAAAAAAAAAAAAAGTCAAGGGTTTGTATGCATGACTCCAACTAGTTACAGACATGGTAAGGGACAGCCTGAGATGGCATCTACCTGATGCTCCCTGCAGAAGTAGGCCTTCCTAGAGAGCCCTCATACCTGGGACCCTATGCTGAAGGATAGAAAGAATACTGTACCCATGAATCCCAGACTCAATGAATGTAGCTTTAAAGACAATGGGGGCGGGGGGTGTGAACATTACAGGTCTAAAAAAGACGCATCCACAAACTGTTACCCAAGACCCTTGGGGCCCAATGTGTTTTCGTGTCTGATGTTTTTGGAGTTTAGAAAAGTGATACAGTGCATAGTCTGTATGTGGCACAACACCCCTTGCAGGGTCTGGGCAGCTCACTATAATTTAGCATTAGTATTTCTGCAACTCAAACATGTGAGTACTCCCATCACCTGGTATAAATCAAGACTACCAAACGAGCTGTGTTCTCATCAGGTTTCATTGCCCAATAAGTTGGCACCAAAAGTGGAAAAACGCTTTGACTGATTTCAGAAGCATGGTCAAAGGCTGCGGCCTGTTAGGACCCGGCCCCAAAGGCACCTTACCCAGGCCTGAAGAGGAGGACACGCTCTCCGTCAGGGAAGACGTTTCTGTCTGGTCCGTCGAGAGTCCTTCCATCAGTGGCAGAGACAGCTCGGATGAGGGCACAGACGAGTCATAGATGCCTGAGTCCCGCGGCATGTCCGAGGGGCTGCCGGCTTTCACCGTGTGCAGCAGGGGTTGCAGGGCGGCGCTACCGTCAAGGGCAGGCCGGGCCTCCCCGTCTTGGTCCAGGCCCCCATGCTGACTCTCGTGCTGGGAGTCGGCTGGTCCGGTTGCCCCAAGAACAGCCGCCTCTACCTTTAGGCAGAAGTCACTCTCAGGCCCTGGTTTGCACATGACATCATTTAAAACCAAGCCCGAATCAAATTTCTCCAAGACTGGCTCCCGGTAGCGCAGTGGAGGAGGATGGAAGGGAACGAACTGCTTTTCGAACCAGTCGGGCTCCTCGTCAATAAACTGGTGCATGTTGCAAATGGCGACGTATAGGGACCGGCCTGACTTGCTCCGGAAGTAGTTCCTTCTGCTGCCCTGTCGCGTGTGCTGCCCCGGCTCCTGGAGGCCGTGGTCTCGGGAGTGCAAGTGGGAACAGAGCTGAGGAAGATTGTCCATGAGTCTGTACTTGGTACTCAGGTCTAGGATACCGGGGACGTCTCCCTCGCAGGAATAATCAAAGTAGACGGCGATAAACTTGCTGAGCGCCGCGGACGAACTCTGCTTGGCCTGGCGGAGCTTTTCGGCAATGGCTGACACCGCCACCAGGAAGAGCTCTCCTTTCCCCGAGCCTCGGCCACCTCCTTTGTGTTTGTAGTTCTTCTTGTCCACAAAGTACTTCATACCTTTGGAACAAACCACAATGATGAACTGGGACTCGTGGATCTTCTGGATGACCCATTCTCTCTGCCCTTCTCTACAGAGGCTGAAGTCTTCCCACAGGTCCAGAGCCACCTGGAAAGAGAACAAGGCACCTCACCCATACAGAAGGCTCGGGAAGAGGCTCGGGAAGTGAGTAACAGGAAGGGAAATGTCAGAAGGAGGCCATCTCATCTGCCCCTTAACCCTTATTAGCACAGCTATGTGCAGGCTCCAGGTTACACCATACCAAGGAACAGCTAAAGTTCCGTGGGTGATGGTCACACCCTAGTCCCTCTGCAAAAACTTGCCATCCATCCATTTTTGTATCACATGGAGTCATTACCACTCCTGCCCTACAAGTGAGGGGACAGAAGCGCAGTGCTTTTGGCACCTTGCCCAAGTCACACCCTACATAGGATATCCTCAAGGAAGCAACAGGTGGTAGAGAGCACAGGACAGAGAAACTGAGGTTGGTTGATCTGGTGAGTGAGGTGCCTAGATTGGAGGGGCAGATTCTGGAGAGAAGGCTGGCAGGCTCTGAGAGGAGGATGTGGATGAGTGACTCCAAAGTGAGCTGGGAGATGGGGCTCAGGCCTGGATGCCAGTCACCCACAATTATAGGTGACTCACATCCAGACAGTGACTGACAAAGGGGACCTATCTCGACACTCTCATAGCCTCAGGCTCACCTATGTTGTTTACTAGTTGGTCCATGGCTGGAGAGGAGGCTAGTGAACTGCATTAACATGGTCATTCTGAGTAACTCACTCAGGACTGGCTAGCACCTTCCTCTATGGCTTCACACAGGTATACAAGGCTACATCTCTACAAGGCTGGTAATTGACAAAGCTTTACCCCCAAAGGCGGTCTGGTAGAGAGACTGTGGGCGTGGCTGACAAAGGAGAGAAAAATCAGACATGTGTGGCCCCTTAGAGGACTTCACCTTCTCAGACCACTTTTACCTAATTCTACCAGAAACATCTCTTGGTTATTGTGTTGATGTCTTTCCTTCTGTAGTTATTAATTCCCAATGGCTATGACGAAACACAGCAGCCACACTATCTTACAGGGAAGGGCATTCTGAAACGACTTTGTTCTCCTCTTCTGCTCTAAGATGTTACCAATGGGGAAAAAGCCCCAACATCCATCCACTTGCTGAAAATAACCCTGAATTGTCTTATACTTTCCTTAATTCTTGTTAACATTACACATGCTAAAAGCTCAGTGGGAGTATATACCAAGCATTTTTTAAATGTTTCTATCTTTGACCCAGCAATTCCATTTCCAGGCATCTTTCTTGGGAAATCATCACAAATGGGACAATATTGAACCACTGAGATGTTTAATATTTGTATTAACTCAGTTATGGCAAATCAATATGGAGGATCATGTAGCTATTTAAAATTGCAGTTGACATATAACTACTAATAGTGTAAAAAATTATTAAGAGACTGCAAAAAATCATTTCAATCAGCCCCAAAGGCAAAACTGTACGTGTGAGTTCACCTATATGGAAAAAGACTGGAAGGAAATAAACCACACATGAAATATGAGTTCCTCTTTCTAAGATTTTCCTTAATCAGTTTGGGATTCCAGACAATGTTTTATTTATCATCCTTTTCTAGTTCCAAATTTTCTACAATAACTATTACACTAATAACTGGAAGAGCGTTTTCCCCAGAGGCTAAATACTTGTGAAGTAGAGCAAACTTGGTTGCCCGTGGTATCTGAAAACTGTGTGCCATTGGCTAGAGTGTAGTTATTTTTCAGCACGTGCTGATCCACCAACCTCACGCTTTCATGCAGAGGGAAACTAGGCTAGCGTAGTATGTTATGTTGACACTAGGGGGCAGCCTCACCACATGGAGAGATTCTGAAAAACATGCCAATGGGCAGTTTCAAAGCAAAAACAACTTCCAATCACACAGTTATTGTACAGTTCTTGCATTTTCAAGAAACAGGGTATGTCTTGCATGAGAGTTTCAGACTTCACTCTAAAAATGTACATTCTGACATTATAGAAAAGCATATTAATAAGATATTAATAACTCAAGAGAACAGCTAAGAAACCAGAGCAGATCATTTCAGTGCTTGACAAAATATTGTTTTCTGGGAGTGCTCCCTTCCTACCTCCCTGTTCTCTCTGGCCAGTGCCGTCTCCTGCATCATGAGTTTCTCCCTGTCTATGATTCCACCAGTCAATGGTCAAACAGCTTCACAGAGCCCTTCGTTTATCACTTCTCCCTGGACCTCAAGATCCCCTCTAATGGCAGCCCCGTCCTTCATTCCCCTTCTCAGCAGAACTCCTCCAAACAATTGTGCGAACTCACTGCTTTACTTGCCACTCTCTCTTTGACTCTCCAAGTGGGGCTTCTGTCCTGAACATGCTCACTAGGATGTCATGAGTGACACCCCTCAACTCCAATTGCATGTTTCCACGGAAGCTACTGGTCTTCTTAATGCTTACAAAACTTCCTGCCAGGTGGGTGCCACTCAAAGCTTTAGAGCAGGAGTTTGTCAGAGTTAGAACTAAGTATTATGAAATATTTAGTGCTGGTGATGGGTAAGACAGACTGAAAAAAGAGTGCGAGACTATCCCCAGTTTGAAAGCTGTGGCACTAGTCAAGGGCAGGTGTCACCACAGGAGGCCCAGAAGAGAGGAGAAGGCAGCGGGGAGAGAGTACAGGGCAAGTGTCCTGGCCAGGGTAGGAGAAGGAACTTTAGATTCCGCACCTCACAGCCACAGAAGTCCTGGAGGAAGTAGGCGAAACACTGGACGACATTCATGTGATTCTGGCCATCTTTACTGGAATAGCAGAGAAAGACCTTCGGCCGCGGCCGGAGCCTCTCTCTTGGGAGTGCTGCAGTGTATGTGGAAGACTCAGAGCTCTCTTCATCTAAATGTGAATATATATTTTCTAAATTGGAAAAGAAGATAAGGTTGATACTTGCAAGCAACGCTTTGTTCTATTTCCTAAGAATTGAAACCCAGTGCTATCTTCAAGAAAGAACACGTCTACCTAGAGCAGTCCCATTCCCCAACTCCATCAGCCCCCTCTGATCATCACTTGGAATGGGACAGCTGATTTCCGCAGTGGAGCAACGAATGGTCAAAAATTGTTCTTTACCTGAAATTGATCTTGGATAAACTAAGAAATGCTGCAGGGGTCACCCTGGTTAGCAGAGCGCTACCTTAGTTAGCAGAGTGCCCAGAACTGGCTCTTGCAGCCAAGTGCACCTAGTAGACCAATTAAGCACAGGCAGAGCTGATTTTTTTTAAAAGTTTTTATCGATGTAAAATTTACAAAAGTAAAGTACATAAATCTTAAGTGTACATCTCAGTGAATTTTTATGGAAGTATATAACTGTGTAATCCTCACCCAGACCAAGCTATGGATCATTTCCAACTCCTCAGAAGGCTGTCTCATGGTGACTTTTGTAAATGACCAAGCCCTACCTATATCCTTACTTATACTTCAGGCTTCCTTTATGACCCTGAATTTACTCTCCTATCATTGAAAATAGAATTATGGGCCAGATGCAGTGTCTCATGCCTGTAATCCCAGCATGAGAGGGAGGCTGAGGCAGGAGGAATGCTTGAGCTTAGGAGTTCAAGACCAGCCTAGGCAACATAGTGAGACCCCATGACTACAAAAAAAATTTTTTTTTAAAATTAGCCAGGCATGGTGGTGCATGCCTGTAGTCCCCAGCTACCTCAGGGGGCTGAAGTGGGAGGATGGCCTAAGCCTGGGAAGTCGAGCCTGCAGTGAGCTATGACTGTGCCACTGCACTCTAGCCTGGGCAACAGAGCGAGACCCTGTCCCAAGAAACAGATATATAATGATACCTGTTTTTTTTAGTGGCTCCTGAGGTTAAAAGCCAAATATTTTAATTCTGGGAACTGAATAGTAGGAGCTATGAGGCTTCCCAGGCGCCATCCTGGAGGACCCAGGTACTCCCAGTCTCTCTTTCTCTTGGCAGCACCCCCTGGCCTGCCCCTTGTTGTGGGGAGACACAGCACACAAAGAGATACCTTGTTGCTTCTTGCGGCACATCACAGTGAAGAGCGTCGCGAATGCCGATATGACTACCAGTGGCACTGTGATGGCCACGGCTCTGATGGGCCCGGCCCACGGGGAGTGCACTGGGAAATTTCAAAGGGAAAGTTTTTAAACTTAAGCAGTGTAAAGGTTCAAAGAGAAACAACTTTTTTTCTTTTTAAACATAAGCCGCATAACAGGTTCTAGGACCATGCAACCACCTTTCTCTAGTGTGGTTTGGTGATTTAAAAAGGATTCAAAGGTTCATATTTAAAGAGTTGCAAAGAACAATTCAACAGTTAAGAGTCAGGCTGGGACATAAAATACCTTTGAGTGAGAATTTTGCCTAAGGAAATCTCCCCTCCCACCACTTTTCTTCAGAGGACAATTGACTATTTATCTAGTCCGAGCTACACACACCAAACTGGCTTTAATCTTCCAGGTTATAAACATTAGAATGGAAGAAAAGTCAGATTTGATGGAACATCATTTAAGAGAGAGGAGCCAAATTTTGTTTTGTTTCTGTAAATCATGAAGTACAGAGAGTATCACATACCTTGGTCTATAGTAGTCTAGAGCCAAATTTCAAACAAAAAAGCACCTACCTGGCTTTAAGGCATAATGCATCACTTTTCTTGTTGTGTTAGTGTCATCCACCAGCTGCAAAACAGAGGATGCTGCATTATTTTTTTTTAAAGTGATATATACCAGGTAAGTGGAAAAAAATGGTAATTTCATTCATCTTTTCCATCAGTGGGCAGTGCGGGAAGGGGTGGGAAGCAAGCAGTGGAGAATGGCTGAGTTTTGGAAAAGAATGGCTGAGACTAGGCATCATGTGTACTCAGGTTCATCTCTGCTTTACCAACTCGAAACTCTAAGTTCATCATGTTTTCTTTTATTAATCAAAAGGCTGTGTATTCATTGAAGAAGTCAGCTGGTGAGTCCCACGTTCTAATAATGCTCAATTAAACTGGCATCCTTCCACTGATTTTACTGGGCCTCCATTAATGCTTTAAGAAGGTGTATCAGTCAAAAACCACACACTGCTTCCAAGGAGTGCAAGAACTAGGTGTTTCTACCAAAATGTTAAGACATGTTGGTTGTCTTTGAATGGTGGCACTATGGACAAATTGTTAATTTCCTTTTCTATTTTCCTTATACTCTTATTATTTGTAGTACCAATTTGATACAGGAAAAGGTAATCTTAAAAAGGAAATGAAACATTACTTTTTTTTTTGAGAGGGAGTTTCACTCTTTCACCCAGGCTGGAGTGCAGTGGCGCAATTTCAGCTCACTGCAACCTCCACCTTCCAGTTTCAAGTGATGCTCCTGCCTCAGCCTCCTGAGTAGCTGGGATTACAGGCGCCCACCACCACGCCCAGCTAATTTTTGTATTTTTAGAAGAGACGGGGTTTCACTGAAACATTACATTTACATGTTCTTTGAAGTGGTGTTTAGAATTCATTTATACATACATAGAAGAATAGCAACAGAAACTTAGAGAAGTATAGGCAAAATGGGCATAACTTATTTTGCTGTTTTCATACTAAAACAAAAAAAATTTAAGCTAAAATCTTAAAAATATATCTTTGTAGTATTAAGGAATACTAGAGATTTTAAACCATGGTTATATATGGACCATATGATTACATAAAAATATTTGTTTGAAATATTTAATGAAGAGATCAAAAATCAATTATATATAAACTTTTTTTAAAAGCATGTTAAGAACCATATAAAAATATAACTGTGCACACCTTCAATAGCTTGAAATTTTAGTGTTGTAAACAGTTGGAATTCTATATGAACTGGGTTCATTCTATAGCATTAATAGGGCTTTCTTGTGTTATGCATACCTCAATTATATAATCCCCTGGAGAAACATTTTGAAGGAGGCAGCTGGTCGTCTCTGTAGTTTGCTCCTGCAACAGACCAAAGAACACTTTAAAAACTCACTTCTTGGGCAAAGGTCTTCAGGACACCTCTTCTCCCCCAGAGCTGAAGGAGACTTGCCACCAGTCTCAACCACAGTTTTCAGAAAATGTGATTAGATCGAAAAGCAACTGTGTTTATCTGCCACATGTTATCTGAACTTCCCTTTGATAAAAGGCCCAGGACAGCCCAGGACCCTTGCCATAGTCTATGCTTAGCTGGTGGCACCCTCAGCAGGAATATTTGATTTGAAGACAAAGAAACTGGTTTGAACAACCTTTACTTAATAAAAGGGTGAGGAAAGAAATTACCAGTCTGTGTTTATACATATTTTATTTGCCATAATTTTAACATGAGCAGGAGGTCAAAGACCTTGATAGAGATGAGAGCCAGCAAGGAGAGCAAACTATGACAGAACCTGACATACACAGGAGCATGTCTAAGGAGGTACTGGGCTTTGCCACCACGACCAAAAACTTTCTTGGTATCCACAGAGGCAATCAGACAGTCCTGTGAACATCCATGAAACGGTTTCCACTCTTCTGACCACTCCCAGTTTAAAGGCTGGGTTACTTAGTTTCTATTTAACCTTGGCCTATTTGTAAAATCAGTAGCCACTGAGTTATCAGTGGCTTGGCTCCTAGATCTGATTTTTCCACTTACTAGCTGTGCGGCCTTGAGCAAGCCAGGTGACATCCCTGAGCCTCAGCTTTCTCATCTGTAAAATGGGGATGACAGCAGCCTCTGTTTCATAGAGTGGTATGGATTCAAGGAGCATAAAGCTCAGGGCCTGCCACACAAGAGAGCACATGATGAATGCTGAAAATATAAAAGGACAGGCCAGGTGTGGTGGCTCAGGCCTGTAATCCCAGCACTTTGGGAGGCCAAGGTGGGTAGATCACTTGAGGTCAGGAGTCTAAGACCAGCCTGGGCAACATGGTGAACCCCGTCTCTACTAAAAATACAAAAATTAGTTGGGTGTGGTGGCATGCGCCTATAATCCTAGCTACTCCAGAGGCTGAGGCAGGAGAATCGTTTGAACCCAGGAGGCGGAGGCTGCAGCGAGCCAAGATCACACCACTGCACTCCAGCCTGGGCAACAGAGCAAGACTCCATCTCAAAAAAAAAAAAAAAAATATATATATATATATATTTGTTCATACATATATATGAACAAATGAGAAATACTTCTTGTTTATTCCTTGGCAATACTGTTACCAGGCTATATCACCACCAGGACAGCTGGGTTACAGATAACTAGGGAATGAAGGACAGTGGCAAGATGGCCCTGAGACATGCCCAATGATTACATTCTCAAGTATCTACCAACCACTGAGAGCCAACAAAGCCTAATGCTCACATTGAGCAACCCAAATTCCAGTGGCCTGGGGGTCGCTTTGAAACACGCAGTGTTCCTTTATATACACCCAGCAGCTCACCTGCTTACAGGTCTTTCGCTTGAAAGGTCCTTCGTGCTTGAGCTTGTAGTGAAGATAGAAGAAACGGAAGCCGAAGTTGTGCGGTGCATGGTCGAAGGACACCTGCATGTCCGAGCCATGCTGGCTGATGTTCAGGTTCCGAGGCTTCCAGACTGGAAGAAGGTAGGACCCAGAGTGAGCAACCAGAGGCTACCCTAACACCATCATAGTGGCGATACTTTGAGACTTGATAGATAAGAACACTATTACTTACAGGGTTTACAAGCTAGATTGTCCGGCTGTAACAACAGGTCACAGGCTATTAAGAGAATAAAGATACATGTTTTTAGTTTTAGGACAGTTAGACATTTTCCTCTCCCAACAACCCAATGAAATATAAAGATACTGTGCCGGGTGATGCTAGAAAAGGTATAAAATACATCAATTCAATGAGGATTTTCACTACTGTGCAGTTGTATCTTATGAAAATTTAAATGGTATAATATAAAAATATTAATGCAGTTCACTTTATGCCACATAAATGGTAACAATGTAAAGTCACCCAGATTTTAAAAGCTTGTCAGGCATTACATAATTTCAAGGCTGGTAGCCAAGGGCAGCAGAGCTATGTTCATGCTACAGTCACATGGAGGCTCTGTTTCAGCTGTAAACAGAAATGATGCTGGCCCCTACCCCACTGTGGAGATGTTTAGACACAAGAGAACTTTGGAGTGGTCCTGGTAACTGCTGCAGGATTATTTTAACCTTCACTAGTATTCTAATTTAAGATGCTTTTGATGGTTTCTTGAAATTACATGCAGGCATATAAGTAGTAGTGTCAGCACTGAAAACCAGGTACCAAAGCCAATAGCTTTGAAACAGAATCTAAACGCAATAAAAACACAATGAGAGAGGCCAAACAGCTAGTCCACTGTGCCATGCTGCTTGCTAACCCAGGGAGAGTCTCCATATAATGCCAAGAAAACTGAAGGCAGCATCAAAACCACAGTGCACTGAAATGGTTATAAATGTTTGCATTCCAGGAACACACCCCCTGCCTCCACCTTACCCCCAAAAAGATACATTGATTCTATGCCAACGGGAAAAATTCATCTTAAATTACACTAATTTTGATTTAGGTGAGGCTTTCATAAACACATTCTTTGAATCTTCTATCTGGTTATTATGTGCAAGTCATCTAGAGATGATGTGACATACACATGGTCTTTGCCGTATGGAATTTTATTTTAAGAATTATGAGGGCCGGGCGCGGTGGCTCATGCCTGTAATCCCAGCACTTTGGGAGGCTGAGGCGGGTGGATCATGAGATCAGGAGATCAAGACCATCCTGGCTAACATGGTGAAACCCCGTTTCTACTAAAAATACAAAAAAATTAGCTGGACATGGTGGCGGGCACCTGTAGTCCCAGCTACTCAGGAGGCTGAGTCAGGAGAATGGCGTGAACCCCGGAGGCGGAGCTTGCAGTGAGCCGAGATCATGCCACTGCACTCCAGCCTGGGCGACAGAGCGAAACTCCATCTCGAAAAAAAAAAAAAAAATTATGAAATCAATTGTTAAAATAACTGCTGCGTAGAAAACAACCACAATAAGAATTCTGCAGAGGGAAACATTGATGTAGGCTGGAGTTGTGAACAGAAACATCACAATGGATGAGGGCTGCAACCAGACCTCACAGGAGGGGATGTTGGACAGGACTGACCATCCAAGGCCTTGAATGACAGAAAGACTGATCAGGAAGGCAAGAAGGAGCTGCTGCCTGTTCCAGGGCGACCAGCCACCAAAGTTTGAAAGCAGCAACTCAGGAAGATTAAAGAGATAACCTGTACAGAACAGAAGGTGAACAGACCCAGCACAGTGGGTGGTTGAGTTCAGAGCATGGATTCCAGAGTCAGACTTCTGGGGTTCAAATCCAACTCCCGGCAAGCCCTTCACCTTCTCTGTGTGGGATTCGGCATCTAGTAAGTGGGGATGGTACGACTAAATTCTTTGTAGGGTTGTCACAGAGGGTATTTGGAGTTAATATTTGGAATGCCTTTAGAACAGGGCCTGGCACATGGACATTAAATAAACAGAACTTTCTAGAAAATAATTTTCTTAATCTAGTCCTGAAAATGACAGGCCACCCTCCTGATAACAGGTAAAAGATGGAATCATTTCATGCTCCTACCTTTACCACAAAATCAACTTACACTTTTTATTCCTTTTTTTTTTTTTCTTTTTGAGATGGAGTCTTGCTCTGTGGCCCAGGCTGGAGTGCAGCGGCATGATCTCAGCTCACTGCAACCTCCGCCTCCCGAGTTCAAGTGATTCTCCTGCCTCAGCCTCCTGAGAAGCTGAGATTACAGGCACATGCCACCACACCCGGCTAATTTTTGTATTTTTAGTAGAGACAGGGACCATGTTGACCAGGTTGGTCTCGAACTCCTGACTTCGTGATCTGCCTGCCTCGGCCTCCCAAATTGCTGGGATTACAAGCATGAGCCACTGCCCCAGGCCAGCTGTCTTTTTTAACTAGAAATGGGGTCTTGCTATGTTGCCCAGGCTGGCCTCAAACTCCTAGGCTCAAGCAATCCTCCTGCCTCAGGATTACAGGCATGAGCCACCGAGCCAGGCCAATTTTTTTTCTTTAATCTAATCGTTTTGATACATGGCTTTTTTTTTTTTTTTTTTTTTTTTTAGATGGAGGTTTGCTCTTTCACCCAGGCTGGAGTACAGTGGCTTGATCTCAGCTCACTGCAACCTCCACCTCCTGGGTTCAAGCAATTTTCCTGTCGCAGCCTCCTGAGTAGCTGGGACTACAGGCGCACACCATGACGCCCGGCTAATTTTTGTATTTTTAGTACAGACGGGGTTTCACCATATTTTTCAGGCTGGTCTCGAACTACTGACCTCAGGTGATTCACCCATCTTGGCCTCCCAAAGTGTTGGGATTACAGGCATGAGCCACCGCGCCTGGCCATCTGTCTTTTTTAACTAGAAATGGGGTCTTGCTATGTTGCCCAGGCTAGCCTCAAACTCGTGGGCTCAAGTGATCCTGCTGCCTCAGCATCCCAAATAGCCGAGAGCATAGGCATGTGCTGTGCCTGGTAATGCAGACTGTCTTAGCGGTGGTCACAGCACCCTCAAAAATATCAACTGTCAGGTCTGTTCTAGAACAAGCCAGGAGTGGGTCTATCCGGTTAGATGAGCAGTGTCTATACCTAACCTTAATTCTAAAAAGTGTTTTTCTGGATGCTTTTCTCCTTGCCATGCTTGTTTCATACCAGTATTTGGCATGTTTTTTGTTTGTTTGTTTGTTTGTTTCCCCCTGAGATGGAATCTTGCTCTATCACTCAGGCTAGAGTGCAGTGGCCCAATCTTGGCTCACTGAAACCTCTGTCTCCCAGGTTCAAGCAATTCTCCTGCCTTAGCCTCCCGAGTAGTGGGATTACAGGCGCCTGCCACCACGCCTGGCTAATTTTTGTATTTTTAGAGAGACAGGGTTTCACCATGTTGGCCAGGCTGGTCTCGAACTCCTGACCTTGTGATCTGCCTGCCTCGGCCTCCCAAAGTGCTGGGATTAGAGGTGTGAGCCACCGCGCCCGGCCTTGGCACGTTCTTGAACACATTTCTGTAGAAAAATCATTAAAAGCGGAGAAAAGTCTTCTCATGGGAACCAGGCAGGAAAGGCCATACTCACCTCGGGTTCTAAAGAAGAAAGGGTGGTAATTGCTTTCGTTTTTAATGGAAGGAAAAGGGACAACCTTTACGAAATAATCCGTTTCAAATTTCATATTCAGGAAAGGTTGAGATTCCATTCCCTAAAAGGGAACAAAAACACAGTGACATCATGGAGAAATTACCCACCCCTCCACCTTCATAAGGTCTTCGCTCCTACCCCAACTGCCACCCAGACACAACTCCAGAGCTGCAGGACATGTTCCAGGGAAGCAGGAAGTCAGGTCTAGTTTCTGGACTAACTTGAGATTTGGATCGCTTAACCATGAAGATGGACAATGCGGTCTGTTTTTTGGCAAAGAACCCATGGCTTGTTAATACTGAACCTCAGAGTTGGGGCGCAGGGTGAGCCCACATACACTCTTTGGAGCACAAAGACACCTTCCAGGATCACTGCTCCAGCAGTAACCCGAGAGGCATGTTTACACAGGGAGGTGCTGAAGAATTTCCCTGGGAGCGTGGAGCAGGCTCAAGGTGCTGCTGTACCATTCTTGCCCACCTTGGCGGGTGGGGTGGACCCCATAGCCCCTCCTTCTCCAATTTCAGACTTTGAATACACTATTCAGGACCCTGGAACAATGGCATGTCTTCAGGAGCACGTTCCCCAGTGTGACTTACAGTTCTTTTGAAGCTACTGTTGAGCTGCTTCGGATCCTTTAGAATCAGTTGTTGGCACTGTCTTCCCTCCGACTTCAGCTCCTCCAGTATTACCCGAAATCCTTTCAGGAATTCGATGCCTAAGCAAAGCAGAATGCTTTTATTAATAGTGAACCTAATTACTTCTGAACACACTCTTCTTCCTCCAAGATTACCATCTTCTCTACCTACACACCAGAGTTAAAGGAATTCTAACTGTGGCCAGGGTATCTGAGTCTATAGAATGGAAAAAACACACCCCCTGCATTCCTCTGGTAAAGACCAGGTGATTTTCTCCATCCCACCATTACTAATTAATCCCTAATCCAGCCAGCTATTTCATAAATACCTATTGCCTCTCTGGCATTAGGGTTCAAATATTTAGACTCCAGTTACAATTGGTCATAAAAAGTCTGAAGTGGAATATATAATTTCTAGGTCATTACACAGAATACATTTGGCTGATGATAATTTCCAGTGTTGACTAGGGAATCCCCCAAAACCATGTTTCCACTTTAAGTTTTAGCTCTACATTTTTTGGCACATCTCACTGAGCAACATACAAAATTCCCAACAAATTGTGTCTGCACCCAAGGGGTTCTGAGGCTTGAGATTAAATAGCTTAGGGGAATGCCTGTGTGATTTACAAAGCGGTTCTTGCTCTAATCATGCCTGAAAGGCAGACACCCAAGGGTTGCCCAGTGTGTGCTCTTCATACAGCCTCCGAGGCCCCGAGACACCCACAGCGCCGCTGAAAGACACCAGCCCAGCCTCCTGCCACCTGAGCTCCCCCCACTGCACGTCCGACTAGATGCTTTCAAAAGGATTAAGCTCTGACGGTCACAAGCGCCAGCACCGGGTTTGTGTATCCCACGGAGACTGAAGTGGTCCAGCTGCAGCTGGAGAGCCCCAAAGCCTGCCGCAATGGCGAGATATCGATTTCACATTCCTTCTGAACATTTTCAACCCTTCCCCTCCCAGGACAAAAGTAATTACACAGGATGCAATTAACCAGGTGGGAAATTTATTGATGATAAAGGCCAGGAAAATCTTTTTCTCTTTCAAATAGGTTCTCCAATCCTATAATTATTTGATGAAGAATACATATTTCTTGGTGAGTAGGGAAGAGGAGCAACAATTACAGCTTCACATTTTAGGGTTTCAGAGTATTACTGTGCACAGGTATCGACTCTGCCATGCTGTATTTCAATTACAAAGCTTCCTGTGGGGGTGAAAGCCAGCTGAGCAACCACCAGAGATTCAGACAAGGTGATGACAAAGTCATTAGACCAACAACTATTTTAGATCTCGCAGGACTTGCCTTTTGAGATCCAAAAAAACTTTTTAAAACAAATCCTTAGTATTAATACTAAGATTTAATTTACGCAACATTCCCAGAATGACTAGTTAACGAAAGCCAAGTGATTAATACCATTAACAGCCATACATCTCACAATTACATAAAAATTCATCGTTGGGGCCGGGCGCGGTGACTCACGCCTGTAATCCCAGCACTTTGGAAGGCCGAGGCGGGCGAATCACAAGGTCAGGAGATTGAGACCACGGTGAAACCCTGTCTCTGCTAAAAATACAAAAAAAAAATCAGCTGGGCACAGTGGTGGGCGCCTGTAGTCCCAGCTACTCGGAAGGCTGAGTCAGGAGAATGGTGTGAACCTGGGAGGCGGAGCTTGCAGTGAGCTGAGATCATGCCACTGCACTCCAGCCTGGGCGACAGAGTGAGACTCTGTCTCAAAAAAAAAAAAAGAAAGAAAGAAAAAAAAATTCATCAGTTGGGGTGGCAAGCGGTGGTTCTTGTTCTTATTTTTAAAAGATTAGCCTAAAAACCGCTACACCAAGGTTCTGAGGCCGAGGGAAGAGGCAGCAAACGTAATTCCTTTATCCCTGTGACACATTACAGTACTATTAACACCTTGTAGTTATGTAATGATTAGTAATTTTATAGAGCAGCTTCCCAGGAAAGAACTTATTTGCTCTCTCTCCCATCATTTAAACTCATCAAATCCTCCCAACAACCACAGAAGGAAGGTGTTATTATCCCCATTTTACAGATGAGGAAACTGAGGTTTATAGTAGCTAACTGGCTTGCCCAGGGTCACACAGGAATAAAATGACAGAGGTGAGATTCGAACCCAGGAAGTGTCTGGCTCTCAGCCAGCGCTCTTAACTCACATGCTTTTCTACCTTCCAAGAAGTGTCCTTGATAGAACCTAACAGAAACTCTCCAGCCACCCCCACCCATAAATCAGCATCCAGGAAAAGCGCAGACTTCTGCCCCTACTGGTCGATGTTCAGTTTTCCTGTCACCAGCTCACATCTCTTACTTTCATTCTAACAAGGGGGCCTGCAATTCGTCAGGCCAACCCCTTAACCATTTAAGCCTTACATGGAATGACCACTTCCTTTTTATCTACAGAAAATGTTTTTAATCTTTAAATGTTAAGATAATATTATTTTTGGAAACCCCAGTAGGTTAAAACCCAGAAGTACTGATGTGGAGAAGTGGTTCGGCCCATGGGTCTGCTTTATCCTCCCTCTCCTGCAATCTGGTTCTTCTGAGATTTATCCTGTTCCGATTAAGAAATTCAGACTTTACTTCTCCCTTGGCCAGGTTTTCACAAACTTGTAACATCAGGTGGCAGTGTCAAAGCGGCAGTCCTGAGAACCAGGTTCTGATCATGGTAATAGCAGCCACTATTCTTTGAGAGTTCTCTCTGAAAATGTACCATGTGTGTCTCTAACCATGAGGCAGTTCTCATCTCCCCTCTACAGATTGGGAAGCTGGGGTTCAGTGAGGTTCAATGCCTCATGTGAAAGATCAATTCTGGGGGTTCAAACCCAGGCCCACCTGAACAAATGGTCCCCTTCCTACATCTCACACTTGGCTAACCCATTCTTTCCTGTGTATCTTCAATTCATTCAAGAGGACAAGCAGATTTAGCCCCAACCCGAATCTAGCCATATAATACAGGTTTGCTTTTTTCTTTTAGTTTTTTCTTTTGTTTTTTATTTATTTATTTATTTTTGAGACAGAGTTTCCCTCTTGTTGTCCAGGCTGGAGCGCAATGGTGCGATCTCGGCTCACCGCAACCTCTGCCTTGTGGGTTCAAGTGATTCTCCTGCCTCAGCCCCCTAAGTAACTGGGATTACAGGCATGCGACACCACACCCAGCTGATTTTGTATTTTTAGTGGAGACGGGGTTTCACCATGTTGGTCAGGCTAGTCTCAAACTCCTGACCTCAGGTGATCCACCTGCCTCGGCCTCCCTAAGTGCTGGAATTACAGGCATGAGCCACCACGCCCAGCCTGTTTTGTTTTATAAAGAGACAGGGTCTCTCACTCTATAGCTCAGGCTTGAGTGCAGTGGCACGATAATCATAGCTAACTGTAGCATCAAATGCTGGGCTCAACTGATCCTCCTGCCTCGGCCGTCCAAGTAGCTAAGACTACAGACTTGTGCCACCATGCCCGGATAATTTTTTAATCTTTTTGTAGAAATGGGGGGGTCTCACTTTGTTGCCCAGGCTAGTCTCGAACTCCTGGCCTCAAATGATCCTCCCATCTCGGCCTCCCAAAGTGCTGAGATTACAGGTGTAAGCCACCATGCTTGGCCTCCTTTTTTTTGTTCTTTTCCATTTGGTTTTTTTGGCTTATACAGTTTAAATAAAAATTAAAGCTGGGCGCAGTGGCTCACGCCTGTAATCCCAGCACTTTTGGAGGCCGAGGCGGGCGGATCACGAGGTCAGGAGTTTGAGACCAGCCTGGCCAACATGGTGAAACCCCATCTCTACTAAAAATACAAAAATTAGCTGGGTGTGGTGGTGGGCACTTATAATCCCAGCTACTCGGGCAGCTGAGGCAGGAGAATCGCTTGAAACTGGAAGGCGGAAGTTGCAGTGAGCCGAGATCGCACCATTGCACTCCAGCCTGGGTGAAAGAGCGAAACTATGTCTCAAAAAAAAAAAAAAAATTCAATTTGTTGCCAACATTTAAAAATGAATTGATTTCATTGTCTTTCATGAACACTGGGATTTTCCTGAAAAATCACAACATGTGCCAATGCTGGGCTGGCATGTCTCTGTGTCCGCGGAGACTGCTAATGCTGGATGGCCATTACGCCCTTGGATGGGCCATGGGCTTTCTTGGCACTGCTGCCCTCCCACCGCTGACTAGGGCTGAGACAGAGGCCAAGACATCAGTGCCATTTATTACTCACACAATATTACTTTTCAAGCCCATGTGAATAACAATAACAGTAGAAGAAACAAAAGACCATAGGGCACAGCCTCAAGCCATGTGTACGCCCAGCAAATATATGCAACAAAGTGTATCTGTGCCCAATCCAACATAAGCCTCACTCACATCAAGACCTGCCTGGTTCCTGGAGACCATCATGTGGGACCTTTGCACTGGGCCCTATCCACCCAGGTTATCACCATGCACTCGATTTTTGACCACTCACCGAGGGCCCCTGGGGACCAAAGAATGGTGACTGCCACTTGGTCATGGCAAGCATACTGGCTGATGGTGATATTCTGGGCGTCAGCAATCACATGCTTCCCCACTGGATTCAAGTAGGTGGTACAATCTAGAGAGTAGGGAGAATGAGAACAGTTAAATTTAAAATTTCATTTTTATTTTCAGGTTCATCTTATCAAAATAAACAGGGCATGTCTGAAGGTGGCCAAATCCATTCTGTTAAAGATGTGTCCCTCAAAAGCCCAAAATAAGACATGAGAGGTTGACTACTGCTTGGAAAACTGTAAGATGTTACAGAGGAATGATTTGTAGCACCACCACCACCACCCACTCATCCCATGTTAAATTCCAGGGCAATGTTGGGAGGATCTTATACAGTGTGGAGTTTGTGTGTGTACCTGGCATTAACTTTTTTTAGACCTAAATCAGTAATTATTTACATCAATTCAACCAATTTTCAGCATTAAAGAGTGATATGAAACAAAACAATCGCTAAATAACTTGGGCATTGTTTGTTTTTAGAAAAAACCTAGAGGGCCAGGTGATTGGGGGAAAGGAACTAACACTCAGATGTGAATTCATAGGGGAGAGATTCTCAGCAAGATTCTTAACCCAGTTAGCACAGGCTACTAACTCAGTGACAAGTGATAAAGATGTTAACTAGCATTGGTCAAAGGTAAAATTTTTGTTCTTAGACACCATGTGTCATCAAAGACACCAGCAACCCCCAGTAAATCCAAGGCACCCCACATTACTCAAAAAACAGAAGCCACACCAATCTTTGATTTTGCCTGAGGAGTTTACTCACTGCCACCTGTCAATGTAGCCATAGCAGCTGCACCACCTGGTCTTGCTAAATACACCTTCAAAATCGGCAAGTTTCCTAAAAAGCTGCCAAAACCTTCCGGCCAGAATCAGGCTGCGACTTCAGAGAATGGCCATGAGCTGTCTGGCCACTCTTGCAGGGAGAACCATTCACCATCCCCAGCAGGCACCACTTGTAATTCTTATGCTGCTTCATCCCCATTTCTTTCTCAATGATCAGACTTGAACACCCTCTCTTTTAGTATCTGCTGCAAAAGATCATCAGTTCCATCAAACATCCAAACCTGTCCATTACCCCTCTGAAGCCAGGGTGTTTTTATTTGGGATAAAGCATTCCAGGGGACTTTGTAAGAAGCTCTGTGAGTCTCCCTTTTTCTCCCTGTAGAGTCTCCCTGCACATTTCCCATTTTTATGACTAAAAATGTTCATTGCAGACATTGAAAAACCACAAAAGACTATAAGAAAAATATAAAAGGCATTCATAACCTCTTACCACACAGAGGTGCAATGAACATTCTAATGAATACCCTTCCAAGCCTTGTTTTAACATGCACATAATATTCCTCTTTTTAAATGTATTAAAGCATAACATACACACACTAAAACACAACCCCCATACTTGTAAAACTCCATCCTTCATGCTGCCTGTATTCTGCTTTATTGCCTGACTACATTAGGCACACTCCCTTCCTCCACTCAACTCCGTCAGCTTCAAAAGCAGTCATATTTACATTTCTTTTTTTCTTTTCTTTTTTTTTTTTTTTTTTGAGACAGAGTTTCGCTCTTGTTGCCCGGGCTGGAGTGCAATGGCGCAATCTCGGCTCATGGCAACCTCTGCCTCCTGAGTTGAAGCGATTCTCCTGCCTCAGCCTCCCGAGTAGCTGGGATTACAGGCATGCGCCACCACACCCGGCTAATTTTTGTATTTTTTAGTAGAGACGAGGTTTCTCCATGTTGGTCAGGCTGGTCTCGAACTCCCGACCTCAGGTGATCCACCCACCTTGGCCTCCCAAGGTGCTGAGATTAGAGGCGTGAGCCACCATGCCTGGCCCATATTTACATTTCAATATTACTTCTTTCAAAGGATGTTAATAAAACCAAATTCTACTTCTAGTGAATATTCACTCTTAAAGCAATCAACATATGTTCTCTGGGTAAAGAAGAGATTTTAGAATAGGAAAAAATTTATAACATCTGGTTTAACATCCTCACTATACAAATGAGGAAACTGCAGCTATGAGAGATCAGCTCTTACCACTTCTATCACAGCACAGAGCTTATTGCTACCAACATGAGTTCTGAATCAGAGGTATTCAGCCTGTAAAAATCCTGGCTGAGACCAGCTTCCCAAAATATTAAAAAAAAAAAAAAAAAAGCAAGATCCTGTCATACTTGTAAAGTTCAAATATTTTGATTTATTGTGGTCCATAATGAAAGAGAATCAAACAGCTCTGAAAAGATGCATGAACAAGAGCAAATAATGGTTGTTGTTGTCATTGTTTTCTTTGTTCATTCCTAATGCCAAAATTAATACTGTTTGGGTTTCTGTAAATATAGTTATGCAATATAAAGTTTAAGAATTTTTTTTTTTTTTTTTTGAGACAGAGTCTCGCTCTGTCACCCAGGCTGGAGTGCAGTGGCATAATCTCAGCTCACTGCAACCTCCGCCTCCTGGGTTCAAGCAATTCTCCTGTCTCAGCCTCCTGAGTAGCTGGGACTACAGGCACATGCCACCACGCCCAGCTAATTTTTGTATTTTTAGTAGAGACAGAGTTTCACCTTATTGGTTAGGTTGGTCTCGAACTCCTGACCTCAGGTGATCCACCCGCTTTGGCCTCCCAAAGTGCTGGGATTACAGGCATGAGCCACTGTGCCCAGCCAATATAAAGTCTAAGAATTAAGAAAATTTAATATAACCTACTTGGGCATACCACCTCAGAATGTAAAGGAAAAAACATGGAATTCAAGGCCAAAGGAGGCAGAGAGACTTATAAAATTTAATTTTGACTTAATGGCAAGACATTTTCTTCCTGTATAACATTAAATGACAAAGGAATAGAAAAATACGATTTTTAGTAATTTTGTTGAAAACCCAGTAATTGTTTCTTAGTTATTTCAAACAAGTTATTTCAGTTGACTAGTAACCAGTCAACTGAGCAGTAACAGGAACTTCCCTGTGGAAGACAGAAATATCTTTTTCAATGGAAAATATGGAATAAGTTTTTCTACACAGCCTGGATCCAATTACTAGCAAGTCCAAAGTGTTGGATTCTGGTTGCAAAAAATTTATGTCCAAATGACATTTTCCCAAAATGCAACTGAACTTCAAACGTCTCAGGAGTCAATACAAGCTGTGAATTAAATTTTAATTAAATGTTGAAGAATTAAAAAGAAAGTAATGACTAAGAGACAGGCATAGGTATGTGGGCCAAATATTTGGTATTATTAAAAAAACAGCAAGATACTTTAAAGTTTTACACGGAGAGATCCTCCTTCACAAACCCCATATTAAATTAGAGATACAAATGTTTGTTTGCAGCTGACGGGAAAATTCTGAACTCTTGAATGTAATACAAGATCTGCTAGGACCAAGAGCACATATTAGAAATTCACTTTGTAACTCAAAGAAAGATCCCTTCCACGTCTTTACTTAGCTGAACCAAGTATCATGGATGTGCAAATCTTTCATTAGCATCTACCCAGCATTTACCCAGAACATATATACACCACCAATGTGAGCTCCCTGAGTTGCACGTGTAAGTCCTCACTGGTTAGCCTAAAATAGCCATGCCAGCAACTGTGGGTGTGAATCTGACACACATATTTGTATCTTAAAATTGTTAGATTGTAACCGCAACTTTTACAATCCTGCTTTAGCAGTGATTATGCATTGAGAGGCCTCAATGCAACCTAAGCCCTTTACTTACATTGATTCATAACCCTGTCCAAGAGATTAATCAGATGCCAGACGTCACTAAATATGAGTCAAGTTCCTTCTTGTCATTTTTACTTAAATTATGGCTGATAAAGCTAAAATGATCACAATTCTATACAACTACCTTCTTATGAATGAAAGGAGCTGCTTAGAAAAAGCACCCCCCACATGCCCTTAGAAAACAGTTCAGTCAGAAAGAGTCACCCTTTTTTGAGAGAAAGGGCAAAAAAGTGGTGCTTGCATTCCAACTCCAGTTGGACTGGCTTCTATATTAATAGATATCAATTTAATGAATGTACATTGCAGTCAGCTCCCAAGTTGAGCAGTTATAAGCATTACCTCATTTAAACCTCAAAATGATGCTAGAAGAAGGAAACTAAGTTTTATTTTAAAAGAGAAAACTGAAGCCTGGAGAAGTCAAATCACTAGCCACAGCTCACAGAACTGATAGGTGGGGCCAGGCACAGTGGCTCACACCTGTAATCCCAGCACTTTGGGAGGCAGAGGCGGGCAGATAACTTGAGGCCAGGAGTTCAAGACCAGCCTGGCTAACATGGCAAAACCCAGTCTCTACTAAAAATACAAAAACTAACTGGGTGTGTGGCCGGGCGCGGTGGCTCACTCCTGTAATCCCAGCACTTTGGGAGGCCGAGGCAGGAGGATAACAAGGTCAGGAGATCAAGACCATCCTGGCTAACACAGTGAAACCCCATCTCTACTAAAAATACAAAAAATTAGCCTGGCGTGGTGGCAGGCGCCTGTAGTCCCAGCTACTCGGGAGGCTGAGGCAGGAGAATGGCACGGACCCGGGAGGTGGAGCTTGCAGTGAGCCAAGATCGTGCCACTGCACTCCAGCCTGGGCGACAGAGCGAGACTCCATCTCAAAAAAAACAAAAACAAAAACAAAAAACAAAACTAGGTGTGGTGGCATGCACCTGTAATCCCAGCTGCTCAGGAGGCTGAGGCATGAGAATCGCTTGAACCCAGGAGGTGGAGGTTGCAGTGAGCAGAGATCACGCCACTACACTCCAGCCTGGGTGACAGAGTGAGACTCTATCTCAAAAAAGAAAAAGAAAAGAAAAGAGAAAAGAACTGATAGATGGGGTACTGCGGTTGGTGCCCAGGCCTGGTCAGCGATGGCCAACCAACTGCAGACTGCAGATCCCTGGCCCATCTGGAACCCAGTTTCACACAGATTCACCTTGTGTGAATTTCACACAGATTCACCTTGTGTGAATTTCACACAGATTCACTCTGTGTGAAATTTTAAAAATAACTGCCATTATTAAAAAATGTTTACACAAAAAGCACAAATTTCTCACTATTCTTGGAAATCAATTTGCTACCTTCAGTGGGAATTCCTCATGGCCACCATATTTGGAATTAAGGAGTCAAGGCTCCCCTCAGACTAGACATGAGCTATCCAGTTTGCCATACTGTCCACCATTCCCTAGCACCCTGCACTGGGGCAACTTTGTTTATGTGTTCCTTGCTGGGCCATACTGGCAGCTATGTCCTTAACAACACATGCAGATAAACCCCAAGGAACACAGGGAAAGTCTCCTTACACAACTTTTCTGAACACTATGGAAGACACTTGACCTGGTCAAGCTCCCAAATACTTGAGTGGCCTAATTGAGACTGAGCTGCTTTAGCTGTTGACAAACCTGAACAGGTTCAGAAAATTCGTCAACCCCAAGACTGCAGAGTCCTTGATTAAGCATGGCTATGTAATCTCTAGATGACTCAAAGGGCTCCATTCTTCAGCAATAAAGGCGGTTACTTACTGTCATATTTGAAGGTGATGTTGTACAGCCCACTGTTTCTGCTGGCTGGCCCCACTCCCTGTGGGAAAACAAGAGAACATGATGCAGAGTGAAGCCAATTTGCTCTTCCAACACAAAGCCCCATGGAGTCCAAATGCAAGCAGCACTGCTGAGACCCAGGGTCATGCCAGTCCCCGGACATCATCCACCACTCTTTCTGCCCGCTTCATGGCCCCCCACAGCTGTCAAACTCCCGCCAGCCCAGGAGATTCCTAACTGCCAGGCCATAGGGATCATGAGCACTCACTTCCCCTAAAACAATAAGGGCAGGCTGTTCTATGTTTAGGGGTTAAATAATAATTCATTAACAGTAAAATTGGGAGAGAGACCAAGAGCTGCCAGCTGGAGCCCTTCCAGTTAGATCCACTTTGAGCACTGATTGGTTATAAAATTCATCTACTCCAGACGCCCTCATCCGCAAGCTCTATTAAGCCACGACAGATAGGCAATTCCTCAACTCTAAGGAAACTGGTTTCTCATTTCAAGACTGGGAATGAGTATGGGAATAAGCTGTTACTTTTAATGAGAAAATTATTCACTGCATCCATACCTATGCTTGGAATACATAGTGTGGGTCATAAAAGAAAAAGAAAAAAGACTTTAAAAGGCCTAACTCTTACTCTTGGTGATGTGGCCGTCAGCCATCTGCACTCAATACCAGGGCTAACAACTGTGCCAGACTTCCCACTTTAATTATAGCATCCACAGAGTGAGCCCCGGAATCCTCCCGTTGACCCCGCCTTTTCCACCACTTATGCATCATGAGAAAGAGCAGCTACAGATCTACCAACTCCAATTTAACTGTTTCTGTAATACTCTGCAAATGTGCCGTTCAGCATTAATCACAGAATTCTCCAAAATATGTTAATTCTGAAATGCTAAATGATGGGAAAATATTCCAGCCACACACCTGAAGTTTCCACTCAACAAGAAGGATGTTGGAGGGAACCATATGCGGGCAGCCTGGCATTTAATGGGTAATTGTTACACCAAAACAAAATGTGGAGAACACTTCTGATGGAGCCCAGGGTTTTCAGCCACAACCACATGACATCCATATGCCACAGGCATCTTCACGCTGCTTATCCTGAAGCCAGGCACACCCACTGAAAGTGTATCCCTGAACTCAGATATACATGGGCCTTGGGAAAGCACAATTGGGCAGAGAGGGGCACATGGACACACCACCCACCCCCCACTCTAAGGTGAGGAATAAGTAACAGAAAACCTAAATCCACATGACACACCAGCCCACAATCTACTGAAGCTCCCCTTCTTCATAGTTCACCTTCCTTCTCCAGCTTTCCTCCTTCTAGCCTCTCTTCCCCACATATACAAGATTCCAGAACTCCTCACCTGAACTAAAACACTTTGGAAAGTGTTGTGAACTTATTAAAATCCTAAGAGTGTCTACAACTGCTTAGGGACAAGACCACAGTTTGTGCAACTAAAGGCTGCTCAACCTGCAGATGGCAGACACCACAGTAACACAACCAGGTAGGAGACCAGGAACGAGACAATCCAATCCCCCAAGACCAAAGCCCAAGATCCCCAAATCACACTGTTCTGTGCTCTTATAAGCCCCCAAGACATAAACTCACTCCCCATCTATTAGGAGCCAGACATTATGCTAGCTATGCTGGCAAACAAAACAGCCACTGTCCCCGCCCTCATGAAATGAATTAACATGGGGTTCATTATTTCAAAGAAGATTAACTGGGTAGGTAGATTATGTCCTAGGCATGCAGATAAATTTCAAATCACACCCTGGCCCTCCAAGAATGCCCAGTTTAGATGGCAAAACAAGGTATATATAGCAAGGGTGAAAGAGCCTGGCATAAGTAAGTACAGTGTATGAAATGCCACAAGACAGCCCTTGAGTAAGGATGAATGAAGGATGGGTAAGATAACAGATTCCAGAAGCTTAACAAGGAGAAGGATAACTGGGCTAGAATGAAGAGGAAAGCAGAGTAACATCATGGGAGGAAAAGAAAACTATAATCTAGAAGCCAAGGTTAGTACCTCAATCCTCCCATCCTCCACCGGATGCCCGATGGCAAACCACTCTACTCTAGGGGTCCCCAACCCCCGGGCCCTGGACTGGTCCTGGTCCATGGCCTGTTAGGAGCCAGGCCGCGCAGCAGGTGGGCAGTGGGAGAGCATTACCACCTGAGCTCCGACTCCTGTCAGATCAGCAGTGGCACTGGATTCTTATAGGAGCACAAACCCTATTGTGAACTGTGCATACGAGGGATCTAGGCTCTGTGCTCCTTATGAGAATCTAACTAATGCCTGATGATCTGAGGTGGAACAGTCTGATCCCGAAACCATCCCCTACTGACCCCCCAGTGCATGGAAAAATTGTCTTCCACGAAACTAGTCCCTGGTGCTAAAAAGGTTGGGGACCGCTGCTCTACACCACTGGGTCTGGGTCTCCTCAACTGTCTTTTTTTTTTTTTTTTTTTTTAAAGAATTTACATGGCTTTCCT
Source organism: Homo sapiens (assembly GCF_000001405.40). Classification (NCBI taxonomy): domain Eukaryota; kingdom Metazoa; phylum Chordata; class Mammalia; order Primates; family Hominidae; genus Homo; species Homo sapiens. The sequence goes on from NC_000003.12 coordinate 57,122,784, forward strand.
CTAGGAGGTGGTTTTGAGGAAGATCAAATGAAGCCGGGTACAGGAGGGACTTCGCAAAAAGGAAACACATTCCATCTAACAATATGCTCCCTAGTGCATAGGGACCCTGGCGACCAATCACCTTACTTGTCAGATGTAGCTTTTTTTTTTGTTCCAGTTCCCTTATATTTGTTTGTTTGTTTCCTCTTATTCCTATTGCAACATGTTATTTGCAGGTACTTATTGGGCAATGGCCAATGCATTGTGGAAAGGAGCCCAAGACAGTGAGGTGTGCTATGCCATGCATTCAAGAACCTAAATCCCTCCAAATAAAGTCTCTGTGATGTGTGTGGAACTGTTCAGAGGGGGGTCCAGTGAGGCAGGCCTGGAAGGAAAGTGAAGCTTACCTGTGGCATCCATTCACTCTCTGCTGAGCATTCCACCTTGGCCTAAGACTCACAAGGCTGGGCACTCAGCTATGAAGCAGACCCAGGTCTTGACCTCAAGGGGCTCTGGCCACGTGCATATCTGCCCTCGCTCCCCTGCTTTGAGCCCTTCACTGGCTCCCTGTCCCTCCAGATCATTCCTGATGTGACACCTGCCTACCTTCCCAGTCACTCCCTCTTGCACCTTCTAAACCCTTTGGGCACTGCAGTTCTGCTCGGAAAATGTCCTTGGGCATGCCTGCATTCTCAGAATCCCCTCCTCTTCTCTTCCTATCACCCAGGTCCCCTCCCCTGGTGGGCTGCTTGCCGCATCACACTGTGTGTTCCTGACACATCGGTCTGACTGCTACTCACTTGAGGGGAACATGGTAATTCATTCCCACAATTTGAGTAGCATGGCACTTTTAGGGATGTAGATGCAAAATGGTAGTTCCAATTCCACAGAAAATCAGAGATCATAAGACCCCGTGGCCATCCACGCCGGGTCATGGAGCTCAGAAGCAGGAGAAAACATCCCAGGTATTAGTTCTTACATGCATTTTAAAGACCTTTTGGCTGCGCGTGGTGGCTCACACCTGTAATCTCAGCACTTTGGGAGGCCGAGGCAGGTGGATCACCTGAAGTCAGGAGTTTGAGACCAGCCTGACCAACATGGTGAAACCCCATCTCTACTAAAAATACAAAAAATTAACTGGGTGTAATGGCGGGCACCTGTAATCCCAGCTACTTGGGAGGCTGAGGCGGGAGAATCGCTTGAACCCGGGAGGCGGAGGTTGCAGTGAGCCGAGATCGCGCCATCGTACTCCATCCTGGGTGACAAGAACAAAACTCCATCTCAAACAAACAAACAAACAAAAACCTTTCATTCCTGGAATTCCTCAAGTGCACAGCTTCTCAGCACATGCATCACAGATGCTCTATAAGGCTGTCCTTAGCTCAACGCCCAAATAATACTTCAGCTGCTCTAGAGCCCTCAGAAACCACCTTAGCAATGGTATCCCAGGCTAGCCCATGGTGCACTTCTATTTTCCTTACACCTCAGGATAGGTAGAATGATAGCCCCTTAAACGTGTCCACATTCTAGTTCCCAGAACCTGTGAGTATGCTATTTTACAGAGCAAAAGGGACTATGGAGATGTAATTAAGTTCAAGTATCCTGAGATGGGGAGAGTATTCTGGGTTATCCAAGTGGGCCCAATAACCACAAGGGTCTTTACAAGAGGAAGACAGAAGGGTCAGAATCAAAGACATGTGACAATGCAATGAGGAGAGAGAGAAAGAGAGATCGATTTTAAGTACTGGTTTTGTGGATGGAGGAAGGAGGAGCTAAGGAGCCACAGAAAGCAGGCGGCCTCTGGAGACTGAAAAAGGCAAGGAATGAATCCTCCCCTACAGCCTCCAGAAGGAGCCAGCGCAGCCAACACTTTGATTTTGGCCACATTAAGATCCGTTTTAGAATTCTGACCTCCAGAACTATAATAAGACAATAAACGTAAGTCATTTTAAGCCACTAAGGTTTTGGTAATTTATTATAGAAGCAACTGAAAGCTAATATACACTCATATAATTTCAGCTGCAATATGGATAAAATAGACCTCCATGTCACACACACGGCACGTGCTGTCATTCCTCCACCCTGCCCCCCAACACCCGGAGCTGATCCCTGTCCTTGTGTTCTCCCCAACCCAAGCTTCAGGCAGGCATAGAACATGCACCCATCAGAGCTGCCGCTTGAGATTCTACTGTCCTAGATGTAGGCTTCTGTGGGCTGACCTGGGGCTGACCCCCAGAAGTAGAAAAGTGGTTAAGACAGTTGGTTTTGGAGTTATGCAGATGTGTGTCTAAACCACCAGCTTTCCAGCTGTGTGACTCTGGGTAAATTTCTGAACCTCCCTGAGCTATAAAGTATATGAATAGGCTGGGTGCAGTGGCTCACACCTGTAATCCCAGCACTTTGGGAGGCCAAGGCGGCCGGATCACCCGAGGTCAGGAGTTTGAGAGTAGCCTGGCCAACATGGTAAAACCCCGCCTCTACTAAAAATACGAAAATTAGCCAGGCGTGGTGGTGGGTGCCTGTAATCCCAGCTACTTGGAAGGCTGAGACAGGAGAATTGCTTGAATCTGGGAGGTGGAGGTTGCAGTGAGCCAAGATCGCGCCATTTCACTCCAGCCTAGGCAAAAAGAGTGAGGCTCCATCTCTAAAGAAAAAAAAAAAGTGTTTGAATAAAACTTTGTGGAAAGCATTGTGTGAGATGACATATATCAAGTGCTCAGCATAGCATCTGACACACAATAACCTCAGAAATGTTTAGGTCATCCTTCCCAAGAAGGTTACTGCCTCAATAAGCAGGTGAGAGTTGTACTGCAGGACAAGTTACAAAGAGATAATGAGGAAGACTGGAGAAAGGTCACAGGTGGTGCATTTCCTAGGAGTGATCTGTCTTCTGCATCCAGAACCTTGGAGGATTGTGGAAGATAAGACAGACAGACAGGTCAGGGCAAGGTATTGGTAGGCACTGATCACCAGACTAAAATGCATTCAACAGATGGTCAAGGAGGCCTAGTAACTCCAGTTTTGTTAAGGGCATAGGTTGGATTGGAAAAGGAGAGGCTGAAGACAGAGTCGAGGAGGACAGCCCTCAAAACCCCTGCCTACAGTCCTGGGCCTGACACATAGTCCTTGATAAGTATAAGTTTTCTGCCTGAATAAATGAATGCATTATTAAGCCAAGTAATATACCCCAAGAACCTAGCTTGGTGTTACACTGATTTATGGGCTTAGAATGAGGGCCCACACTAAGAGAAAACAGATAAGGCAACTTACAAGGCTGTTGACCAGCTTTGTAAACTGTTCTTCAAGAAACAATCCCAAGCTTTTAGCTACTATACCATTTTTGATATTTAATGAGCTGACGATTAAAAATACTTGTTTGTTGCCTGTTACTTGAAAACTATAAATGCCAATGCAGTGGACTCAGGGTGCCACATTCTTAGTTAATTAAGCACCCCCATTTGCTGCACTAACGGGTAGCTTTTAATTTGTTCCAAAGGGAGCTAAGCAGCAAGCCCCGGCTGTCTGGAGTGCTGCTATGAAATTCCTTTGGTTGGTGCTCTATGGTCAGTAGGGACGGAAGCAGCAAATGGCAACATAATGGAGAAAACATCTTTAACTCAGGAAGGGAGGGGAGGATAACCCTTAAGTGCTCTAAATGAATAAAATTCAAAAGCTAAAAACCCACACCATGCTCCAGCCATATATGGCAAAGAAGCAAAGGCCTGGATACAGAGAGGCCGGCAGCGGAGCAGGATCCACAGGCAGCAGCTAGGGGCAGCCATGAAGGTGATCAGACAGCCAACTTCCTGAGGGGCCTTTGGGCATTCTAAGCCATTTGAAGACACTAACTTCCCAGAGCAACATTTCCAATTCACCTCCAGCATAGCTTAACTGCCATTTTGGAAAAATGCATTTCAAGAACTGTGCTAAATATAGCGCCCCTCTTCCAGTGGAAGGCAGGCCAAACTTTCAAATCAAGTAAGGAACTTTCAGAAAGCCAGTAATGTTTTAGTGAACAGAGTTAGAGTGAAAATTTAAATAAGAGCATTTGCACAAAGAATTGAGAAGACTTTTTTTTTTGAGGCGGAGTCTTGCTTAGTTGCCTAGGCTGGAGTGCAGTGGTGAGATCTCGGCTCACTGCAACCTCCGCCTCCCAGGTTCAAGTGATCCTACCCTCTCAGCCTCCCGAGTAGCTGGGATTACAGGTGCCCACCACCATGCCTGGCTAATTTTTGTATTTGTAGTAGAGACAGGGTTTTGCCATGTTGGCCAGGCTGGTCTCAAACTCCTGACCTCAGGTGATCCACTCGCCTTGGCCTCCCAAAGTGCTGGTATTACAGGCATGAGCCACTGCACCCGGCCGGAAGATGGGTTTTTTTAAAGGTACACCTAGTAACTACTTAAAACTAAGGCCAACTCATATATATATATATATAAATATATATAAAAATATATATAAATATATATAAAAATATATAAATATATATATAAATATATATAAATATATATAAAAATATATATAAATATATATAAATATATATAAAAATATATAAAAATATATATAAATATATATAAAAATATATATAAATATATATAAATATAAATATATATATATAAATAAATAAATAAATAAATATATATATATATATATTTTTTTTTTGAGATAAGAGTCTTGCTTTGTCGCCCAGGCTGGAGTGCAATAGCGTGATCTTGGCTCACTGCAGTCTCCACCTCCTGGGTTCAAGAGATTTTTTTGCCTCAGCTTCCCAAGTAGCTGGGATTACAGGCGCCCACCACCATGTCTGGCTAATTTTTGTATTTTTAGTAGAGACAGGTGTTTCCCCATGTTAGTCAGCCTGGTCTCGAACTCCTGATCTCAAGAGATCTGCCCGCCTTGGCCTCCCAAAGTGCTGGGATTACAGGCGTGAGCCACCAAGCCCAGCCATACTTTCTGTTTTTCTATAAAATTTTCTCCATCTTGGGCTTCCACTGTGTAACAGCAGACAGTGCTGTGAGGCTTAAAACGTACAACGGGACTAACATCTTTGTCTCTGACCAATGGACATGAGAAGGGTGAGACGAAGCAGAATATGGGGCCATTTGACTCCATGCCAGTTCAGATGGTTTCCTAAACAAAGATAGACCCCACTTACTTCAGTTCAAACCTTTAACAACAACAACAAAAAGTCGGCAAAGGCAGAGAAGCCCCAGGTGATGTAAGCTGAAGAGAATGCTGGTGAACGCAAAACGCAGGGAAAATAAATCAAAAGCCAGCCTGGGCCTGGATCTGTTCAAGATATTCTCTCCACATTCCCAGGAGCTGTTCTCTCTCTCTCTCAAATTGAGATGCAACCAACTTCAGAAATGAAGGATGCCAGCAGTCTGATTTGGAGGTGAGGTCTTGGATGCGTAGCAAGGAACACACAAGCTCTTGGGGAGTGCTGCTGGGTTCCCACCAGCAATTACCACATTGGCCCAAAAAGACCCGGAGATCTTAAGCTAATTAAAGAGATTTGCTCGGGGAAGTAGGAAATCACTACTCCAGAGCACCGCCTGTGCACCAGACCAAAGCCGTAATCGTGATTCATCTCTGACATGTTGCTAATCAGCACACACATGTTCCTAATTTCACGCTCTCCAAAGGAAAGCTGAAGGGACAATTGTTTCTGAGCTCTAACATGAGGCCGACCCATGCCAAGTTACCATGTGTCCTGCTTATCAAACTGAAAGCTCTAGTTTTCATCCAAATTTCTTTTCACTATCCCACCCCTCCACCCACTTTGCCCCCCGAAATCCATTCACTAAAGATAAAGATATGTTAGGAAATCCATTCACTAAAGATAAAGATATGTTAGGACATTGGTGTGAGTTGTTTCTCCGACAGCAACTTCTCTAAATGATGGTGGCCTGAATGGAACTGCATATATTTTTTAATGTTCTTCCCCACGCCTGACTTTATGATTTTCTTATTGCTTTGCCACTGGAACCAGCCGTGCAGCTAAAACCCAGAGATATCAACACAGACACACACACACGCAATGCACACAAGCAAACTTTCTCCCTGGGTTTAAAAACAAGGCAAAACAAAGTTGTGCAGTCTCTTTAGTTCTCACAAAGCAAAAACTCAAGTACTTTTTCCAATTAGTCTGTTAAGGATCTGGGCTGTGTGTTCTCCCATGGCTGATAATCACAAATAGACAGGATTGTTCCATTTTTCCAATTCCGAAAACGTTAGAGACACGCTATAAAACATGCCTATGGACAGAGAGCCAGACCTTTCCCTCCGCTTCGCACACCACTCCCATCCACTCAAATGAGAACCGCATGTTAGAGAACTGGCATCTTTAAGGTAACAGTCAACCCATCTGTAGTTTAAAAAGCATACACAGACTCAGATTAACTGTGTCTGTGTATGCTTTTTCCATAAATACTGGGTACAAAGAGGAAGCAAACAACCAACCACCCAAATACCCACCCAGCAAATCGGCTACTGACTCACTCTCACTTAGCCGTGAAAGGAACAGTTACAAAGACTTCACTCCAGAAGCCGAAAAAGTCTCTTCCTATGAGGGCAAAATAGTGATTAGACAATAGAGGAAAACTTAAAGCTATAAACATGATTGTTATGCCTAAGCTGAGAGGAAATGTTCAGATCAAAACACAACTACTAATGAAAAGCCTTAGGACCACACAGAGAGGTGCACCGAATTGTGCTGACTTCAAATACCACTGTTTCCGAGGCACAGGGACTGAGTCTCCAAATACTAAGCCACATCTGGAATTCTGCTTTTACAGCACAAATGCCTATAGAAATGGGGGATTGTGACGTTGCCATGGGGACCCAGCCTCCTCCACCCCAACAGGTCCCCGGCAAGCCCCACGCACATTTCCTTCAAGGTGGATTTCGCATATTTGGAAATTATGGAAGGCCATCATTTTAGGTTTCAGTGTTAATGGAAATATTACAGGACATGCTAGAAAGCAAGGCAACCCCTTCTGTCAGCCGATTAAGTCTGTCCACATGGTGGTCTCGGACAGAAAAACCTTAAAATAACAGTGGGAAGCAGTAAGTCAGCATTAGGCCCTTTTTCAAAATGTGTGGCTTTCCCCCACTTTCTCTAGGAAGGAGACAGGCTTCAAGCATCCTTTTAAATGCCCCTGTTCTCTAGCTGCAAAAATCCAAGTGAGTCAACCTGTGCTCAAAACTGCCTGCCATTAGTAGCCCACCTCAGGCTCCAGGTAGCCTTACCCTTGCTGAACTGAACCTCTAATCCCACCCTGCAGGGCTACTGGCCAAGGCAGGGTGTATTTGCTTTTAATTACTGATGACCCTGTTTTTGTTAAGAGGAAAAGTTTACTAGAACCTTTGGAGAATCCTGTGAAAAATAATCCTTACCCAATTTCCCCCAGAAACTTTTCATACACAATTTTGGGAGGTTCCCAGAGCTCATGAAGGCCACCCAAGGGCCTCTGAGGGGTTCACAGGCCCCCAGGTCCAAAGCCATGTTTAGACACAAAAAATCCCAAGACCCCACTCAGAAATCAAAGGGTGCATCTTGGCTTTGCCAGTTCCCTGGGATGCAGACCCTCCAACTACCTCTCCAGGTGTGAATTCAAATAGCAATATATAAAATATCCACACATATACCATAACCACCCTTGGGTGACCCCAGCTGGTTCTCTCTGTCCTCCAGGAGTGAATATTCTCCCATTCATTCTGACTAGAATGTTCTAAGCTAAAGCCAGAGTGACCCTTCTAATAAGTATCTGCCTCTCTCTGCAAGGTCTGGCCTTTCCCAGAAGCTTTCTGGGGGAGAGGGAAGTAGTCAGCCCAGAGGTGAAGCCACAGTCACCAAGCTCTGACGGGCAGATGGGAGGAGAAACAGGAGTAAAGCCTCCTGTTTCACGGCCCTGCCCGGCCCAGGGGTGACACTCACGGTGTTACCTCCTGATCAAACCATTTCCATCTAGTCTCTTAGATAGCAAGTCCTGAAACATCCCCCTGAGATGCAGTCAGGGTTTCTGAATGCCTTTGAGTGTGTGTGTTGTCAGTATGTGTGCCCAGCCACAAAGCCAACAACAACAACAAAAAAGCACCAGGAAGTCAGCAGTGCCGGCTCCAGGTGTTAACACTTAGCGCATCCTGCCCAGCCCCCACCAGCTTGAGGCCAGCCGCCTGGGAGCCGGACACAGCAATTAGACCCTTCCCAGGCCAGGCGCCTTTGTCCCCTCGCTAACATCATTAGTGTCTGACTTCCTGTGCACAACGGGGCCTCCCGGGGGGCAATCACCGGCTGACCGGGGCAAGGCATTAGACTTCCTTTGTCAAAGACCCTTAAATGTTAACAAGCATGTGAACAAGCTTCCCCTCCCCCACCCCCTCCTACCTCAGCTGTTCCTCCAGCCCACCACTCTCAACTGTCTTGATTCTCCCCAAGCTGTGGGAATCCCAGTTACTTGGGAGAAATATCAAGTCTCAATGTTGGGCGAGCAGCACTGCCTTTCTACAGAAAGAGCCTCCAAACCTGATTTCCTAGAACCTTTCAGTATAAGCATGCAACTCACACTCGCTGAGTGCCCACTGGTTACAAAATACCACCGTCCTGCCTTAAGAAGGGTGAAACAAAGAAAGGTGAAAGTATTCAGCCAACAGGAGTCCCAGGCTGTGCCACACCCAGCCCAATGCCCATCAACCACAGGTGCACTCTGTTCATGTGTTCATGGACTGAAGTACAAAGTTTGGCCTCAAGATGCAAGGACTTTGAAGGTTTGAGTGATATCCTGAGGCCTTCAGAAAAACACTGGTGAGATCTGAAAACGGGGTGAGTGTGAGTTGCTATACAGCTGCAATCCTACCGTCATCCCTCTCTTGGCAATACTATCACCACCAAGGCCAAAATCACTTTGCTCTCATTTACCCCTCATTACCAAGACTCACAGCTTTTTATTTGGGGGAGAACTGTGGTGCATGTGTGCACACACATTGGCACATGGTATTTTCAGGAGGCTTCTGGACCCCTGAAGCCCCCAGACCTCTCACCTGCCTTATAGTCCAGCTCCACTCAATAGCTTGATAGCTTAAAGCTACGTCTGTTGAATAATAGAGAGTGGTTTTACTTCGGTGATTAAAAACAAAATTCAGGCCAGCCATGGTGGCTCACACCTGTAATCCCAGCATTTTGGGAGGCGGAGGCCAGCGGATTGCTTGAGCTCAGGAGTTTAAGACCAGCCTGGGCAAAACGGTGAAACCCATTCTACAAAAAGTACAAAAATATTAGCCAGACATGGTGGTACACACCTGTGGTCCCAGCTACTTGGGAGGCTGAGGCAGGGGGATCGCTTGAGCCAAGGAGGTTGTGACCGTAGTGAGCCGAGATCACACCACCACACTCCAGACTGGGTGACAGAGCAAGACACTGTAAAAGAAGGGGCGGGCGCAGCGGCTCACATTTGTAATCCCAGCATTTTGGGAGGCCGAAGTTGGGGGATCACAAGGTCAGGAGTTCGAGACCAGCCTGGTCAACATGGCTAATAATACAAAAAAAAATTTAGCCAGGCGTGGTGGCACCTGCCTGTAATCCCAGCTACTCGGGAGGCTGAGGCAGGAGAATCGCTGGAACCCAGGAGGCAGAGGTTGCAGTGAGCCGAGATCGCACCACTGCACTCTAGCCTGGGCGACAGAGTAAGACTCTGTCTCAAAAACAACAACAACAACAAAAACAAACAAAAAATTCTAATGGGGGAGGGAAGTGGTTGATGTAAAATCTCCATTTTAAATATAATTATTGGATTAATGCCATCCAACTGTAATCCTTTATAGGCAGTATTTGTTACAACTCAGTAACTAAACACTTTGTCCAAGATGCTGGGACTCATGAACTTTACAAAGTAGAAACATGAAAGGCAACAACTTACACTGTTGAGCACATAAACCCATCAAGACAGAGGTATCTAGCACCTTTCGGATCACAGGTGACAACAGTTATGTCTGCAGCCAAGTCAGTTGCACTGAATCAAGATAAAAAGTGAACTAGGATGTGGCTAATTCTTATTCTTTTTTTTTCATCACTGAGTGTGGAGGAAAATACTCATAGTGTCCACTAGATGAAGAAAACAGCTGATTTTCCCACTCCTGCTCAACTGCCTTTGCAGAGTATGGTATTTGCGGTCAACACACAAAACTGAGTTGGGTTTGGGATATATTTTATAGTATCTGTGCATGAGCCACTATGAAGGATAATCTAAAATTCCAACTTTCCAAAATGAATAATCTATGTCTCTGACTCCTACTCCAGCCACAGCAAAACTCATTCAGCTTCAAAATTAAGATGTTGGTATAAAGCAAAGGACACCATCGCTTACATGATGCCAAGTCCCCCACAAGTTTATTTTGATGAATGTTACAAGTTTCAAAGCGTAAAAAATTTCACTGTCAGTTCTGACTTTTACCTTTTGCCAAACTAATTTTAAAATAGCAGGCAATCGGAAGGATATATTCAAACACTAATGATCCCTGTAACTTTACATCGTCCTACTATTTGGATGGAAGCCAGCAGTCTGTTCTTAAACTATAAGCAATAAATCTAGAAGACTCTCTTTCCTAATTTCCCAAAGATACCACATGGAATTTCCATTAAAGCACACACACACACATGCAAACACACATACACACAATGACATACCAATTAAATCATTGTATGACATTTAGGCCAGGAAATAATTATGCTTGCCAAGGAGTATTCAGCTTTGTTTTAATTTCCTTGAACCACTAAAATGTCATTCGGAGAAGGCAAAGAATGATGTAAAAATGAAGTACTGATGTCTTGGTCAATTTTAGATTTTGATAAATGTCTTTTTTGTGGGTGAAGAAGGCAGTGGGGTGTTCCCAGGAATTAAGGTCTCCCTGCACTCCCTCTCCAAGGATTTCTGGCAAGGAGTGGTATAGAGAGGTCAATTATAAAGCAAATCCATTGTGAGGCAGACGCAGCAGATGGAACAGCAGGTAGGAGCATATTTCCACCCCTGATGAAGTGGGCCTGGTGGTGTGTTCCTAGTCCTCTCCTATAGGGCTGAGGCAAGTAAATGGCACATACAACCTTGTCCCTTCACCTGTCAACAGAAAGAAATCAATGTATCTTGCCACTTCATTAAGGCTTCCCATGGAGAAATGTTTACAAAATCAAAGTAATATGGTGAAATTAAATTAGAAACCTGTAACATTTTGTCATGAAGTTAGCATGAAACAGAAGCTAACCAGAAAAGATTAAAAGCAGTGATTAATTCTTTTTTAAAGGAAAGTCCAAAGGTTCTGGCTAAACTGACTTTAAACTAAGAATCGGGGAGCTCATTGCTTTCGCTGCTGCGGCCACAGCCATGAGTATGCTCAGGTTTCAGATGAGGCTCGCCTTTAGTGTCCTCTGCTGTGGCAAGAAGAAGGTCTGGTTGGACCCCAATAAGACCAATGAAATCGCCAATGCCAACTTCCATCAGCAGATCCAGAAGCTGATCAAAGATGGGCTGATCATCTACAAACCTGTGACTTTCCATTCCCGGGCTTGATGCCGGGAAAACACCTTGGCCCGCTGGAAGGGCAGGCACATGGGCATAAGTAAGCGAAAGGGTACAGCCAATGCCCAAATGCCAGGGAACGTAACTTGGATGAGGAGAATGCGGATTCTGTGCTGGCTGCTGAGAAGATACTGTGAATCTAAGAAGATTGATCACCACACATATCACAGCCTGTACCTGAAGGTGAAGGGGAATGTGTTCAAAAACAAGTGGATTCTCATGGAACACATCCTCAAGCTGAAGGCAGACAAGGCCCACAAGAAGCTGCAGGCTGACCAGGCTAAGGCCCGCAGGTCTAAGACCAAGGAAGCACGCAAGCACCATGAAGACCGCCTACAGGCCAAGGAGGAGATCATCAAGACTTTGTCTAAGGAGGAAGAGACCGAGAAGTGAAAGCTCCCCCTTTGTCTGTACATACTGGCCTCAGCGATTACGTAGATCAACCACTAAAATAAAACAAGCCTTTACCTGCCATAAATAAATAAATAAGCTAAGAATGGGGGCTAGGTGTGGTGGCTCAATCCTGCAATCCCAGCACTTTGAGGCAGGGGGATTATTGAGCCCCAGAGTTTCAGACCAGCCTGGACAACATGGTGAAACCCCATCTCTACCAACAAAAACACAAAAATTGGCCAGGTATGGTGGCATGCACCTGTAGTCCCAGCTACTTGGGAGGTTGATATGGAAGGATGGCTTGAGCCCAGGAGATGGAAGTAGCAGTGAGCCATGATCACTCCACTACCCTCCAGCCTGGGCAACAGAGCAAGACCTTGTCTCAAAACAAACAAAAACAAACAAACAAACAAAAAACACACAAAAAAAACAAAGAATGGGGAGCTGGGTCAGTGTGAGGCCAAGCTGTCAGGTGAGCAGCACTGCTTCTAGGGACACAGATTCAAGCATTTCCTGGAGCACTGAGGAGGTGAAGCCCCAAAGGCACAGCAGGTTCAGAGCAAGGTGGGCAGGAGGCTGGGAGGAGGCAGAAGGCCAGGCCAGGATGTGCCACTTCCTGCCTGCCACTTCCCCAACTGCCTGCGAAGTGGTGGGATGCTCAATGATTCTCAGAGATTCCCTAAGAGTGGGTTTTCAAGTTTCTAGAACTGTAGGCTTTTCTTTTGAAGACAGCTTTATTATTTTTGTAAAGATAACAAGTTCAAGGTAAAATAAAATTAAGTACAAAGAAGAATATGAAACTTCTCCCATTCCATCATTTTGAAGAAGACTCTTCCAGACGGTCTTTACTGCCTGCATCACATGGACTGTGACTTGACATAAATTAGATCCTAATATATATAACATTTGCTCTCATAAATCTCCACCAGCTATCAGTTAATGCAGTTCCTTCTGGGTGAAATATGTAAGATCTATGGAGGAAATAACAAAAAGAGCCTAATAAAGTGAGTTAGGACCACTGGGCAAAATTCTTTCTAAGGGTCTTATCAACTGTCATCAACCATCATTTTCTACAAAGGGAAAACACCATTAGTAGGAAGTAGTATAGCAGGCCCCGTCACCTGCTCCAGAGCCGGCTGTGTACATGGAAAAGGCAAGAGGACACGGTGACAAGGCTACTTGCACAGTATACACACGTTGATACGCTGGTAGGTTGCCTATTGATGTGGGTATCCTAAACGCTGTTCTGCAGGGTAACCAAATTACTATAATTTATCCTGTATGTTTCTTTAAAATTACATAAATGTAGGGGATTTTATGATTAGATGACTGGTCTCCAGTGAATAACAGAACTGTGTAAAATTAAAAGGGAAACTGGCAAATCCAGGAAGCAGATAACAATGTCTTCCTCTCTCCAGCACAACAATCACATTACAGCCGTGTGGAAACCTAAGACCTCCAACTCTTTCCAGAGAGTCAGGGTGGCTTGATTTTACAGATCAAGCTAAGGAGATAAAAACCACTCACTGGTAAAAAACGGTAAATTCCATTTTGTGATTAGAATCACAACACATATGTAGCCCAGGTGTGGAAGAAGAAAGAATGAGCTCTGCCTCAAAAACAGCCTGGCCAGGGATGGTGGCTCCCACCTGTAATCCCAGCATTTTGGGAGGCCAAGGCAGCAGGAATGCTCGAGACCAGGAATTCAAGACCAGCCTGGACTCCATCTCATAGACCCCATCTGTATGAAAAATAAGAATAATTAGCTGGGTGTGGTGGCATACGCCTGTAGTCCCAGCTGCTGAGGAGGATCTCTTGAGCCCAGGAGGTTGAGGATGCAGTGATTGCACCACTGCACTCCAGCCTGGGAAACAGAGCAAAGCTCTGTCTACCCCTCCCCCGCCCCCAACCCCCACTCAAAAAAAAAAAAAAAAAAAAAAACTTAGCTGATCTAAAAGCAATATTTAACTTGCTTTTAGGATTCTCTCCTTCTCATTTATCCATGAAAAACCTCTGCAAATGCCCCAGGATTTATCAACCAGATGTCTCAAGAGCTTGAAATATGCTTTTGCACTTGGGAAAGCCATTTTGAGTGAGAATAAGGCTAAACTAGACCCCTGCCTCTAGGTGTTTACAATTAGTTTTGGAAAACAAAGCTAAAAGACACGAAACTACAGTAGATAAGGTTACACTGCCTAGAATGAATGGGCTAAGTTATGCCACTGAGCTCTATGTGTAATAAGATTTCAGACAAGGGGTAATTGAACAGAGGAAGGCTAGCCAGAGAAGTGTCTTCAGAGGAGGCATGTCAAGCTTTGGGGTTGCGGAGGGGAAGGAAGTTTATTTCAAGCAAACACAGACCCAGGAGCTTGTGCTACCAACTGTACCACCCAGTGCCCAACACATGGTAAGCATTCAGGAAATGGTTGCTATTTCTCAGGGATGACACAGAGTCTTCCTGGTCATCCAGAATAAACACTTCCCACATCCCTGGAAGTGACCAACACACCCTCATTGCTTCTGTGTTAGACACCCCCAACTGGCCTGAAAAGATGGGCACCATAGGGCTGAAATAGCCAAGTGGGTTCAGCTTTGCATGTGGTACATCTTGGAGACAGGCAAGATCCAAATACAGTGGTCCTTACAGATGTGAGCACAAGCCTAGATTTGGCAGACAGAAGCACAGGGAAAAGGTCTCTGATACAGGCCAAGGTGGCAATGGGGTAGGTGGGGAGATGAGGAAGGAAGAAAGAGGCAATGAAACAGCAGCTTCAAAGGATGAATCCAAAGGACCCAAGAATTGAACAGATGGGATGAGTCAAACCCCAGGGCCTGGAGAGCAGAAGTGACACTTATAAAACAGAAGACTGGAGCTGGGGTCTCAAAACACATATCCATTTCAAGATGGAAATTGATTCCCTGCCCCTAATACAGATGGAAGGTATTTAAGAAGGAGGAAGGTGAGTCCTGGTCACCAGCCGCTTCCAATTTTCACTTCTCTTCCCTCCATGACAAAAAACTTTTGGTATTAGGTTAGTGCCACAGAGGCCTAAGTTGGGAGTCTCTAATCTTCCCCTGTTGCTCTTACACACCTTGACTTTCCTGTCTGTACTCAGAGTAAACCAGTGTCATGCTTCCAAACAGAGCTCATTAAATACTAAAGAGATAAGAAGACTCAAAGCAAAGGCCCTTTGTTAGCTTTTACCAAATCTTCATCAACTTCCCTACAGATCAAGACCACTAAAAACAATCTTTAAAAATTTGACATTGGCACAAAAGGACAGAAAGGACAATACTGTATGACTACATTTATATGCGGTATTTAGAGCAGTCAAATTCATAGAGACATGAATAGAGATAGCCAGGGGCTGCGGGGAGAGGAGAATGGGGAGTTATTGTTTAATGGTTATGGAATTTCCATTTAGGAAGGTGAAAAAGTTCTACAGGTGGATGGTGGTGATGGTTGCAAAACATTGTGAATTTACTTAAAAATCTTTGAACTGTACATTTAAAATGGTTAAAATGGTAAATTTTATGTTATGTGTATTTCAACACAATAAAGAAAAAAGTAAAAACAAAACAAACAAACAAAAAACATTAAAGGAAACTGAACCAGGAAAGGAATGATAACAACAAAACAGTGTTAGGGCCACATATGCAGGAAGAACTAGAGACTAGAGGGTGGAAGACTGGAGCGAGGTAGACCAGATAGCCAGCAACTGCAGCAGTCCACATATAACATGACAGGGACAGCAATGTACTGATGAGGATCAAAGGACAGGTCTGAGAGGCATTTTTAAGGAAAAAATAGCAGGACTTGGTGACAAATACAATACCGAGGTGATGATGAAATATTCAAAGGTGACCTGCAGGCTCTTATTTGGGGAAGTCGGAAGATAGTGATTTTAAGGCAATAACGAGAATACTGGGGGCCAGGTGCGGTGGCTCACACCTGTAATCCCAGCACTTTGGGATGCCAAGGCAGGCAGATCACCTGAGGTTGGGAGCTCGAGACCAGCCTGACCAACATGAAGAAACCCCATCTCTACTAAAAAAATACAAAAAATTAGCTGGGCATGGTGGTGCATGCCTGTAATCCCAGCTACTCAGGAGGCTGAGGCAGGAGAATAGCTTCAACCCGGGAGGCAGAGGTTGCAGTGAGCTGAGATTGCACCATTGCACTCCAGCCTGGGCAACAGGAGCAAAACTCCATCTCAAAAAAAAAAAAAAAAAAAAAAAGAGAACACTGGGGAAAGAGGGTCTTTTTTTAAAAAGTAGGCTGCAGAAAAACAGTGAAAGTGAGGTGCCTACTATCTTTTTACAATATCATATATTTTGGGGGGAGGGGAGAAATGCAGGATTAAAAGGCAGGACGTCATGTATGACGGCATGCCACAGAAACTTAAGGACAGATAGGCTAATTCATAAGAGGTATACAAAATTAACAGAAAGTGTAAAAAAATAACAAAAAGCCAGGAATTGGGCTTTGTGAGACTACCCATAGTTAGGGCACGCATGGAGGAAAAAGATTGAAAAAGTGAGTTTGGCAAAGTAGGAGAATGAAATACAGTCAAAATAAAGAATATTAAACAGGCTACGGGTAAAAGAATGTCAAGATGGATGTTTTCAACATGAAAACCATCTTTTTAAATGCTTTTTAAACTTTTTCCTTTGTTTAAATTTTTTATTTTGAATTTTTGTGTAATTTTGAACTGAATGTGAATTTGAGTGTGAATATTATATATACAAATATGTGTATATTATTTATGGGGTACATGCAATGAAAATTTCCTTTTTTTTTTTTTTTTGAGACGGGGTCTTGCTCTGTCTCCCAGGCTGTAGTGCAGTGGCATGATCTCAGCTCAATGCAGCCTCTGCCTCCTGGTTCCAGTGATTCTCCTGCCTCAGCCTCCTGGGTAGCTGGGAGTACAGGCACGTGCCACCACGCCAGGCTAATTTTTGTATTTTTAGTAGAGACAGGGTTTCACCATGTTGGCCAGGCTGGCCTTGAACTCCTGACCTCAGGTGATCCGCCCACCTCAGCCTTCCTCCAAAAGTGCTAGGATTACAGGTGTGAGCCACCTCGCCTGGCTGAAAACCTTTTTGATTACACAAATCTCTGAGCAAATAATTATACTGCTAGATCATTTAAAATAGCTCCTCTATATTAATTCCTAAGTTTTCTGCTGTTATTCAAACTCAACTCCTGGTTTTACAGGAAAAATAGAAAACATATTATTAGGACCATTTGAATCAAATGTTTTCATATGTTTAAAACTTAAAAAAAAAAATCTGGCCCTGGAAAAAAGTACTGAAAAGACTGCTAGTTCACTGTCAGGCTTCTGCATAAAGATACCGAGCCGGGCACCTTAGAGGCAAGGCTGTGCTCAGAGCTCACAATTCTGCCAGACAGCCCTCTAATCTCCCACATTATGGAGAAGAACACAGAGAACCCATGTCTTGATGTTCCCCAAGATCTGCTCAGCACTTTACAGTTTGAACCACTGTTAAAATATACCTTTTTGCAGTTTTTGAAACAATGCTACATGGAAAATGTAGAGACTACCCACACTGAACTACGAGCTCTAAATCAGGTCATTTTTTTTAACCAGATACTCCTAACCAACTGGTCTACGAGCTAGCATTTAGAATAACTGACAATTTCCCAGAACTCAAAGAGAAATAAAAGTTCAAAAGATTGGCTAGAATGGTATCAGTAGGACTCAAAGTTATCGAATTAGATTTCAATTCAGGCAAACCATTTTTGTTAAAAGCTCACAAAAATGGTGAATGTTTGCATGATGGCACTAATACAAGTATTAATTTTCAGACCATCCTGTTTTGGGCATTATTCAACATTTGCTGCCATTTGACAGATGTACATCCATAGCCCCGAAAGGCTTAGTGGGTCAGTTTTGGCATCATGGCTAACAACTTTCTTTCTCAAAAGTAGTGTAGAAAAGCTGAGGTGTGGTCATCTCTGAAATTTGATTGATCTCTGAGATGAGGTCTACTCTGGGAATATTACACCTCTAGAATTTATTTCCAGACACCCAGAACAGGTCTAGGGAAAGTAATATTCTAGGAAACAGTAACTATTACACTGGTTCAATGCTTATCACTAATGAACATTTATTATGCAGTAGCAGAGCTGTGACTGACCTTCACACTTTTTTTTTTTTTAATTGGAGACAAGGTCTCACTCTGTTGCCCAGGCTGGAGTACAGTGGTACAATCATGGCTCACTGCAGCCTCCAACTCCTGGGCTCAAACGATCCTCTGCCTCAGCCTTCTAAGTAGCTGGGAGAACTACAGGCGTGTACCATCATGCCTGGCTAATTTTTAAAAGTTCATTCTTTGTAGAGATGGGGTCTTGCTATGTTGCCCTGGCTGGGCTGAAACTCCTGGGCTCAAGCAATCCTCCTGCCTAAGCCTCCCAATGTGTCGGGATTACAGACGTGAGCCACAGCACCCAGCCGACCCTCATAACTTAACCACAGTATGCTGATGTTTTCCTGACAATATAACTTTAATTAAAAAACATAATTTTTGAGGGCATAAAAAAGAACTTCTATAACCACCGGTCTGAACAGAACCATGTCATCTTACAAGTTCCCCAAAATAGCAAATGTCTCTGTATTTCATCTTTAAAAGCTTGACACTGAGGACTTATTTTTCAGGGAATATGTAGCTATTTTTTGTATTGTTAGCAGTTTTCATTTCTGAGGGATGGAATAAACATTAAAATATTCTTTGTTCTCTAATGTATTGTTTGAATTAAAAATACTATATACAATTGAATATAATCCTGAGCAGAACAACTAGTGATTATTAAACATTAATTATTTGTCACTTCAGATTAGAAATTTTTGAAGGTCTATTTTTTGTACATTATCTGTATACACAAACTGCTAAATGTTATTAATATTTGTTATAATAAACATTTCTGGGAGGAAAAAAAAAGCTTGACACTCTAAGTTTCTTTTGCAATTCTCCCCATACTAGAACACCATGCCAACATCCTAATAAGACTGGTATTAATGAAAGATCAACTTCATTTTCTTGGCAACAATAGGCTTACAGAAGAATCACCTAAGAAAAAAACAAACACTATCTGATAAGGAAAAGATGGATTTTGTCTTCCACCGCAGGCCTTGGGCTCTCAGATCTGGAACACTGTTATCTGATTGTATCTGCACGGTTTTCACCAGAGGGCACTGCATGGTAGAGGAAGCAGAACAGAGGAACAAGGACCAAGAGCAGCCCCTGCCCCATTGCCTAAACGCTCTTATAGCCACAGGAAAAAAAAAATTCAAAAAGGGACACACGGAGCCTTCCTAACTCTCCCTTTCCCACTGACACCAAAAATAACCAACCATAAACTTTTAGCACCTCTCAAAGACTTCAAGAGAGGCATAAAGGGCAAAGCTTCGGACTAGCTAAAGGTTTTCAAATCAGTGCAATTCCTTTCTTTACTGTTTTATTAAACTATGCAAGCACAGTACTTATAAACAAAGGAATCATTTCAGTTTTTGCTTGGAAAAATGGGAGCCAATACATTCCTTCTGGGAATTCAGGGTAAAAGTTTTACAAAAACAGTGTCCAGATGTGCTTAAAAATTCACTCTGTTCTTTCTTTTGTGGAGAAGTGGAGGGAGAAACAAAGGGTAGGAGAGACATTTTATTAAAAATTGAAACACTTATTGGTTTTTCTTGGCTCACCCACTAACCTGCTCTCCACTGACAAACAACGCAGGAACACCTGAGGCAGAAGCGCGTGGCATCCCTCCCCCTCCAACCGCCCCGTCTGACCTCCCCCACTCCGGCCTCCTGGCAGGGAGATAGGGCCTGGCTGACCGCTGTGTTGGTGTCGCCAACCTGAGCCTCAGGAACTTCTCTAACTTCCAGAACGTCCTCATTGACAAATGGTTCCACCAGGTGGTGATGAAAAGTTGGGCGGGGCGGGGGGGAGGTTGGTGGGAGGGAAGAGGAGACTTTGAAGGCCAAAAATTCTCAACTGAGAATCAAGCATTTCTTTATGAAAACCACCACCCTGGGGATAAAGCTTCATTTAAAAAAAAAAACTTTAAACTGGAATGTTTTGTCAACATCGCATCCCAGTTTTAACCTGGAAGCTTTGCTGAGATTTGAAGCTTCCTCAACCCAATGATTTCATTCCCAGAGTCCTTTTTAACCACAGAGAGATTTAAATAATCTGTTATAAAGTTTCCCTTCATTTTCAGAGGGGTTGATGCTGGCTCTGAGTATTGAAGGTAAATGAGTGTTTCAAACGGAGCATAAATAAAGTAGACAGAGAATCAGGCATATATTATGAATAAAAAGATAATCCTAATAATAGTTTACATTATCACAAACCAAAGTTTATGTGAGCAGCTAAGCCCCCTTTCAAAGTAGAGAGCAGCTGCTGGTACGGCAGAGGAAAACGGTATGTCAAAAATTTGACCTACCTTAAAGTGTGTTTAACTCCGCTGTCAGCCACTGCTTCCTTCTGCCACCTTACACCAGGATGGAGGCAGGGGCAGTATCCTTTTTGAAGTATTTTGTTTGCACAGGCACAAAACTGTCTCAGTGCTGGAGGGACCTATCTCCACTCTACCTTGACAATCTCAACAAAGGCTACGACAATCTCAACAAAGGCTACGTCATTCTCATCAGTGATGAGGTAAAAACAGGGACTCCCTCAGAGGAGCCAGTCCTGAAGGTGCCCTGCTACTGCCTCCCTAGAGTGCAAGGAACATCTCCAGGGTCTACAGCCTCAGTCCCTGAAGGCTGCCAGTACCCCTATCAGAAGTAGGCAGGAGGCTGGGGAGCTGTGCTTACACACAAATCTGCCAAGTCACAAATCCCCTAGGCTTCATATGCACCCAAAAACGCTGGCCCCACATAAACCACTTTAATGCAAAGCCCTCAATGTGTGTGAGAGGAATATCTGTACTCAATAGGGTAATCCTGCCCTTCTTCATAGAGCTCCCAGGATGTGCAGAGTCCAGGGCCAGGCCCTAGGAAAATGAGTGCAATGTGCCTAGGGCAGTGATGTTCGGGTGGAAGAGACACACCCGGCTTTTCTGAGTGAAGGCGAGGGGGGCACCTTCTGGAAGTGGTCAGCTTCACGTTTCCAAATTAGAACACAGCGTTACAACTCAAGTCAATTATTTGGAATTAAATATTTCTGTACCTACAGGGGCAAGAGGCATATCAGAACTGTGGAAATAGTCCACACCATTGGTCTCATTTTTCAGTTTCCACAGATATTAGGCCCATTTCAAGATGTTCTCACCAGAAGCCAAGAGCTTTCTGCAAAGGTGGCTGAAGCTTCAATCAGCCCAGGGCAGAATGAGGGCAAAGAGCCCCTAGTAAACTGCTGCAGGTGGAGGCACTGGTTTCAACCACGGTCCCTTCCCAAAACAACTTGTCATCACTTCTGTCTAAGCTCAGTGTGCTTCCAGGGGGTGTGACCCCTGGAGATAAGGTATTTCATCAAGTCAGCCTTGTTGGTGCCCTCATACTCTAGGGCCTGTTATCACACACAGTTGCCCTTTTGGTCTCTGAATGAGTGACCTCTTCCCTAGCCGCTCACCATCTCTTCCTTTCCCTAGCCGTTCACCATCTCTTCCTCCTCTGGCTTGTGTCACAGACCCTGTGGAGGAGTCCATCTTCCTGACAGCCTATCAGGCATTCTTGGTTCCTCTCCTGCCCACGACAGGATGCCAGTGCAAGCTATAACCTTATCTTCTTAAAGCTTATCTCTGTTTTTATCTTCTCTGTCTCCCTGGTCCCTTTAAGTCCACCCACCCATGTACTCTAAGTCCAGGATCTTCACTCTGGTGTATTAAGGGTAGTCCCAAACTCACCCTTGTGGAGGGGAAGGAATTGCTTTTACAGGGCTCTTCCAGAAATGTTCTTATCATATCCAGGGATCATCCCAGAGGACCTACTAAAACAATGCCACGTCAACCAGGGCAGGTGGACAATCACTCAGGATAAGTTCTTGGACTGAGAGGGAAACCCACAGAACAGCAATGCCTGCATGAGAGGCAAGGACCTGTGGGTGGGGCGGGGCTCAGCCAGGGTCCTTCTCCCCACTCTCTTCAACCAGAGCTGCTGCACTCTTATCTGCTTCATGTTGGGGTTCCCAGGAAGGAGTCATTTTTAAAAACAGGTGAGGAAGGTGTAGGTGTGTGTGTATGTGTGTATCACTATTCTGACTTCCAGCTTTCCTGACAAGAAGACAGCTTGGTGTAAATGGGAGTAAAGAGGGTAAAAAATGAACGACTCAGTTCTGCAATTACCCATATGCAGATCAACTGTCAAACAAACTATTTCTGTATCTGTGACTGCCTTTCTTCTGCCCTCGCCAACACCTAGCACAGTACCCAAATCCTCTCCAACCCAGACAGTTGCTGACAGAAAGGCCTCTGGGACTGTCAACACCCCAGTGTGATTCAGAGCTCCCAGGGAGTCTGAGGCAGTCCCCTTGTTTATGGATTCACTGATTGATTGGGCCCTAAAAGCTCCTGGCCCAGAAGACTAAATGGGTTGTAATCAATCATTAACAATAGTGTTGATGTTAAAAATTGGGAGATGCACCGGGTCTTTGGCCATGTGGATAAGCTGGGTGATCACACATGAAATTGTGAAGGATGAAGGCAGATGGAGACGTGGGCACCCTCCATGTACGCAAGCAACACAGGCACATCAAAAGTGACCAGCAGAGCCGACAGGCCACATTTTGCAAAAATAAAGCTGTGTCTCAATTTAAAAAATAAAAACTATATGTAGGACAAATGCTTTTCTTGTATTAGAGAAAGATCTGCAACAATGGTCAGAGGTTGGGTGTTCTTTCCCAAGTGAGATGAAAAACAGACACCCAGGTGCAAGGGGCAAGTGTCTAGGTAGCAAAAGAGGTGGGCAACTCAATAAGGACACGGAGTGGGTAGGACAGGACAATTACACCCTCTGAATTAAAGGTTCAAATCACCTCAATAAAAATAATAGTTAAAATCTTGAGAATAATTCTAGTGTAACTGTCCCACTTTACAGGTAGTAAGGAAACTGACAGCCTTATGGGTCACCTGCCCTGTCCATAGTCACAAGCAGTCAGCCTGAGATGCTCTCATCACACATGTCACAGTGACCTCAATGAGACAGCCTAACCAGGGTGGCTTCTAGCCCAAGATCGGGATTTTTTTTAAACTCCAATAAAACAGAATTAATATATATTCTCTTTATGGGTAATGTGCGATCAATCCAAAGACTTTGGGGAAAGCGTGCGCGCACACACACACTCACGCGCGCGCGCGCGCACACACACACACACTGATGCATGCACGTGCACACACACACATACAAAGGAACAAAGGTTTGCTGGCTAAATTGGCAGTACAAATAGAATTTCCATGATAATATTCAGATTCAATTATTTTCATAATATGCTGGTAAGTCAGGAAGACTCACTAATCAATAATTCTTAGACTTACTAATCAATAATTATTTTAAATTCTTACTTTAAATTCTTATTTATTCACTTAAAACATCTTCCCTAACACTCTCTACTAAGCGACATTTCGCCCACACCTAGCTTTAATATTTCTAGACTTAAAGGCACTAAAACATACTCAGAAGGTAAATCACCAGGTGAAAGATTTAGTCCTTCTCTAAAAAATCCAAAATCAAACAAGTATAAGCTACCACCAAAATAACAAAGGTAAAGAAAAATTATACTTGGGGCTGGGCGCGGTGGCTCATGCCTGTAATCCCAGCACGTTGGAAGGCCAAGGTGGGCAGATCACCTGTGGTTGGGAGTTCGAGACCAGCCTGATCAACATGGAGAAACCCCATCTCTACTAAAAATACAAAATTAGCTGAGCGTGATGGTGCATGCCTGTAATCCCAGCTACTCAGGAGGCTGAAGCAGGAGAATCGCTTGAACCCAGGAGGCAGAGGTTGCGGTGAGCCAAGATTACGCCACTGCACTCCAGCCTGGGCAACAGAGTGAGACTGCATCTCAAAAAAAAAAAAAAAAGAAAGAAAAAAAATTATATAAACGTCAATATTTCGTGTGTGTGTGAGAGGTATTCTTTTTTTTTTTTTTTTTTTTAGATGGAGTCTCTGTCGCCCAGACTGGAGTGCAATGGCACAATCTTGACTCACTGCAACCTATCTATGCCTCCTGGGTTCAAGCAATTATCCTGCCTCAGCTTCCCGAGCAGCTGGGATTACAGGTGCCCAACAACCATGCCCGGCTAATTTTTTTTTTTTTTTTTTTGTATTTTTAGTAGAGACAGGGTTTCACCACATTGGCCAAGCTGGTCTCAAACTCCTGACCTCAGGTGATTCGTCCACCTTGGCCTCCCAAACTGATGGGATCATAGGCTTAACCCACCTGGCTGATAAATGTCAATATTATTAGGATGGAGAAGAATGAGTACATGTATACTGCTGATAAAAAGACTGCAGCCAGTCACTAAGCAGTTACCATGTGGCCAGGCACAGAGCTGGATGTTTTAAAAACAGTATCTTGCTTACATCTTAAAACAAACAACAACCCTGGGAGATGAACTATTAATAACACATTTTACAGATGAAGAAATAGCCTCAGGGAAAAATTTGCCCAAGGTCTCAATAAATGGTAGCAAATGGTGGAGCTGGGATTCGTGAAACAAACCTATTCTTTTCTCAAAACACAATTCCTCCCAGTAAACTGGTTCAGTCATTATACAGGACAAGCTGGTAAACATGTATGAAATGAGAGCCACAAATCCTTTGACCCAGTAATTCCACTTTGGGGAATAAATGCCAAGGAAATAAACCAAAACGGCAAGGGAGATGGGCAGGTAACCCATCTGTATGAAGATGTTCATAGCAGCTTTGTAACAGTAATAACTCGGAAACAGCCCAAATGCCTCATCAAATGTGGGGACAGGACTGGCAAAAAGGGGAGGGGAGCTTACTACATGAACATATCATATGGCCACTAAAAGTGACATGTCTGTGCACTACATCAATACATGGAAATATCTTTGGAAAACAAACATAAGTAAAAAATAACCATAAATAAATAAAACACAGTGATTATAGCAGCTATGCAACAAGATCTGTTTGTGTGTTCAAGGGTAGAAGAATCAGTATGTAATGGAGCTTAATACTCAGTAAGCTTCATTTTTCTTATAAGGTTGAAGTAACCAATTTGTAAAGGCAACACAAGGAAACTCTCCTTAGAGATGTTATGATCCATCCAGGATGTTCTCTTCCTGATCGAAAGAAGTCAAGTTTTCATATAAAAAATAAAGAATGTTGGGCACGGTGGCTCACACCTGTAATCCCAGCACTTTGGGAGGCCAAGGTTGGGGGGGGGGGGGGGGCGATCGCTAGGTCAAGAGTTCAAGACCAGCCTGACCAACACAGTGAAACCCCGTCTCTACTAATACAAAAATTAGCCAGGTGTGGTGGCGCACGCCTGTAATCTCAGCTACTCAGGAGGCTGAGGCAGGAGAATCGCTTGAACCCAGAAGGCAGAGGTTGCAGTGAGCCAAGATGGTGCCACTGCACTCCAGCCTGGGCAACAGAGCGAGACTCTATCTCAAAAAAAAAAAAAAAAGAAAAGAAAAAAGGAAAGAAGACCCACTAATTTTAAACCTACCTCCCCATTTTTACGCTTTCAAGTCAGTCCTATTTTTAAATCAGATTAACAAAACCTCCAGTTATAAGACCATAGCTCACGAAATTTTTTGTTACCCATTTAGCAAATTTATTTAAGAACACATATGTTTACAAATTGGAACATTCTTTCTGCCACCATTTGGTTTGTACTAATAAAAGTCCACACTCCCTGAATCTCATTCTTTTATAACACATTTGGAAAAGTAACACTAAGATAACATAAATCAATGGGGGTCGAGGAGGTGGGTTTAGGAGCGTCTGAACACAAGCCAAGGTAAAGGTCATGTGCTCAAAGCATAAAGCAGGAAGTTTATGCCTAATTGCCTTTTTTATATGCTCTCCTTCCCCAAAAAGGAATACAATATGCCCACACAGATTCTTCATCACACTCTGTCTAGGGAGGCAGGTGGGCCCAGTGAAGCCCAGAACATCCCCACCTCTCTGCACTGAGCTCACCTGGCCCCTCTGATGGCTTCCTGTATATCCTATCACTGCAGAAGAATGGGAGCATAATTCAAGAGCATCCCAACTAACCTCTGCACCTTTTAAAATGAACAAGGTTGGAAGGTTGGGGAAGGAAGTGGGCCAAAGATGGTGCTATCTTTGGAGAAGAAAAAGCAGATTCCTGGCCAGGCGTGGTGGCTCACGCCTGTAGTCCTAGCACTTTGGGAGGCCAAGGCGGGCCGATCATCTGAGGTCAGGAGTTCAAGACCAGCCTGGCCAACATGGTGAAAAATACAAAAATTAGCTGGGTGTGGTGGCACTTGTCTGTCATCCCAGCTACATGGGAGGCTGAGGCAGGAGAATCGCTTGAACCCAGGAGGTGGAAGTTGAAGTGAGCTGAAATCACGCCATTACATTCCAGCCTGGGTGACAAGAGCGAAACTCCATCTCAAAAAAAAAAAAAAAAGCCGATTCCTTCACTCGGCAGAATTGTCCTCTGCCTGGGCAGATCTCAGGTGAGTCTTCATCCCAAGGTTCCTTCTTCTCTGTACTTACCCATATTGGTAAGTCCTGTCCATGTTTCCATTTTACCCAATGTTTGGGATGACTTACTATTGTCCCTCGAGTATAAAGTACCACGGTGTGCATCCTGCACAGAGCCAAAGCTCCATGATATCACCATGTCTACCTTTGAGGGTGAGCTGTCCAATAGGGTAGCCTCTAGCCATGTGTGATGATTTAAATTTAAATTAAGTTTAAGTAAAATTAAACATTCAGTTCCTTAGTTGTGCTAGCCACATTTCAGGTACTCAGTAGCCAAAAGTGGTTGATGGTTACTGAATTGAACGGTGCTGGGAAGAACATTTTTTGTCACAGGAAGTTCTGTTGGATAGCACTGGGCTAAAGAGTTCAGCACCTGCCCACGCCTGCCTCTGCAATAACAGGTGACACTCTCTCATAGCTGGGCAGCTCTTCCCAGCTGTCACCAGGCACCACAGGCCATCTCAACTGACACCTAGATAACTCAGTTTCACCTGGGCAGCATATTTATTTTTATTTACACAGTACAATTGACAGTTTTTGGTGTATGGGTCCACAAGTTATATGCATATATATGTATGTATCCACTGCTATAATCAGTATACAGAACAGTCCCATCAACCCAAAAAATTCCCTTGTACTGCCCCTTGGTAGTCAAGCCCTCCCTCCATCCCTCCAAAACCCTGGCAATCACTAATCTGGCAGCTTTTTTAAAAACTCAGATTCCTGGCCTTCCCCTGGAAATCCCACTTAAGCAGGTCTGGGGTGAGGCCCGGAATCTCCCCCCACTCCAAGAATGCTCCTCAGGTGATTCTGGTGTTCAGCCAGGTTTGGGAATCTTTGGGGTAATTGCCTAATCTGAGTTTAATTTAATTATCTCCAAAGTGCTGTCTAGTCTCGCCTCTTTCCACCCCCCATTAGTTGCTTTGTTGCACATGGCAGCCGTCCATCTGAGACAGGGTGCTTGGAAGGCAGGGCAAGCCCGACTGCTGGGGGCATGGGCAGGGTAAGAACTCTGCAGCTCCGGTTTCTGGCAGAGAGAGGCCTCTCCGAGTCACAAGGATTCTCATCTTAATCCCTTCCTGGCTCTTTGTGCCATGGAATCCTCATCTGGAAAAAAGGGAACCACATCAGAAATAATTGTCTACCTCCGAGGCTTGCTGGGAAGTGATGACTTAGGTAACATGTTCAAAGGCTGGGCAGTCAGGACGAAAGGTACACTGTCCCGGATATGTCATCGCCTCACCAGATTTCCTCTGGATGGAACTCTCCTCACCCTCTTTACCTGATGGATGTGAGAGATCGGGACTCAAATTACAATAAAATTGCAGACTTTTTGAAAATAAACAAAAACTCAAAATATTTTTTCCTCCTAAATTCATGATCCCAAGGGTGAGGTACCAAATTCCATTTTTAAAGAGGAATTCAGAAGAGTCAGCATCTTCTCAGAAAACCTCCTCTGCTCAGAAAGTAAACAATTACGAAGGGGGCCAAAACTTGAGTTTAGCCATTCTCCTCTGGCTTGCTCCTGCTCTGCTGAGGATTCCTGGAAAACACTTTGAAAAGTTTAAGATGATCAAAGAAAAGGCATGGCCAACACAAGAAATGCTATCATTTAATATCACATGTTTATTTAGCCCCTCCAAGCCAAAGAGGGAAGATTGTTTGAAAGGGAGAGAATGCCTGCTTAATCAACTAAAAATGCATTCATTACTATGCTATTCACTGCGGCTTTCCTGAAATCAGACACTTTTGCCCCTAGACCATAAGATTGAAGCGATTTGAAATGAAAATATTTCCTGTCCACTGCTTGCCAGTTTCTAGCCCCAGAGTGATATAACAGATGACATCCAGTACAATAAATGCTTTTATTAACCATAAATTTGAGACTGCTTTAGGGATTTGAAGTGTTGGGTTTCATGCTGAAAAAATGTAATGTTATCCACAGACCATCAGTGAGTAACAAAAACAGAGGCACAGGTTATGCTACTTTGATCAAATTATGGCAAAAAATTGTCTTTTGCATTTAAAATAGTAGTTGCATTCAGGGCATATCTTCAAGGAGCACCACAATAATTTAATCATATGTCTTGGAGAGTTTCATGGAAATTCATCCTGAGTGCAAATTTATAGAACCAGCAGCTTCTGTTAAACAGATAGGAAGCTCAAAAGTGTTATGAGGCTAAGAGGGCTGAGAAATCAAAATACTAAGATGGGACCCCTAAATCAGGGTTTCTCAGTCTCAGCGCTATTTACATTTTAGGCCAGGTAATTTTTTGTCATGGAGGACTGACTTGTGCATTTCAAGATGTTTAGCAACATCCCTGAGCCCTTCCCATTGACTGCCAGGAGCAGCCTACCCCAGCTGTGACAACCAAAAATGTCTCCAGAAATTCCCCAAATCAAGG
Organism: Homo sapiens; assembly: GCF_000001405.40. Classification (NCBI taxonomy): domain Eukaryota; kingdom Metazoa; phylum Chordata; class Mammalia; order Primates; family Hominidae; genus Homo; species Homo sapiens. The sequence continues at coordinate 57,151,795 of NC_000003.12, forward strand.
TTAAGGCTGCAAGTAAGCTGTGATCACACCACTGCACTCAAGCCTGGTTGATAGAGACCCTGTCTCAAAACAAACAAACAAACAAAAAAGAAATCCCCCAAATTCCCCCAATCAAAAACCACTGCTCTAAATCAAAGTCTAGGCTTGTTTAGCAAATGCTGCCTATGTTTGCTTCATCCGAAGGAAATGTCAGAGCCTGGGGAGCTGCGCAGACTCAGTACTGTGCCCCCAGTGCCTCCTTCTACACAAAAATGGTTAACCCTGAGTGATTTCTGAAATCAAAAGCACCTTGCACTCCCTCTTCCACAAAACTAAAGGTAGCATAGCCATAGAAACAAGAACTCTCTCGGCTGTGACCAGAGCAAACGAGACCAAGCAAAGGCAAGCTGCCCCCCGCCCCCGACCAAAGCATACCCTCACCCGACCTTTGTGTCCAGCATGCATTCCAGCCCAGGAGCTCCGGCCCGCTGGGCAGAGGCTGCACACCATTCCTGCCAGCATCTAAATCGCTGCTTTCTGGCCTTTCACTGTCAGGCCACAGAGGGGACTGTGGACTTGGTGCCAGAAAAGAAAATGAAAAGCAAAGTTGAATCTCTGCGGACCATTCTCTGGATGCTGAATGTCCCACTATTACATCTCGGCATGACATTTCATGGCCAGCAGGGGAGGAGGCCCAGTCCTGAAAGCTGAACAAACGCCCGGCACACAGGCCTGCCTGCGCCCTCGTAGTCTCTCTGGACTTATGAATAAAAGATGGAGGTTTTGTCTCTGTTGTTTCCCTGGTACCCTGTAAGAATAACAACTTGTTGCTTTTTGACATTTTAACTTACTTTGAAAAATGACCAATATTAACTTTACATGTCTTGGCCCTTAAATCTGGAGTGGGGTAAAATGAAAGAAACAAAAGCCATGTAATTAGGTAGAAGATAATAATTCAAGTTAAACTAATGAAACTGTCTGTAACGGACTCTAATAAAATAATGTAGGTAACATGCAATCACAGAACTAAAAGGCTAGAAACTGACTTGGAGGATACGTTTTTAGTAAAGTAGCCTTTACTGGAAATAAAGTTCAATGTTTTCTTAGCACAAAGGAAAGAAATGGCTGAATTTTGGTGTGAGGAAGCAGTCAACCGTAAACCTGCCCCGGCCAAACACAGGTCTTTAATAGGAACTCATTCCCCGTCTCTGAGGGCGACATCTATAACTGCAACAAGCCCATGTGAATAGCAAAAGCCTTGAGCATTCTTGAGAAATAGCACTCCTCATTTTGAGACAGTGTGGTTGATTTCAAATAATCTTTAAGGAAAAAGTTTATTACAGGATAGCACAAATGACATCCTGCATTTCCTTAGACTCTCAATAAAGTAAAAGGGAAGGCTTAATGTGAAACACTGCATTTTTAAAAAGACAACACAAGACTAAACTGGGTACTACTATTAGCACAGATCTCTAAATACAACAATTTCACACAGAAAAAACAAATTTTTCTTATTGCTAAAACTGCATCTACATTTGTTACCAGTTGATATGTAAAATCCAACAAAGTCACAATATCACCTTTAGAGGGGTCTTGTCAAAATATTTGAACCTATTCATGAGGAAACAATCAAAAATCCAAATTGTGTACACAAGTGGCCTTGACTCTTCAGAATGTGTAGGCTATAAAGGACCGAAAAATAGGTAGAGGAACTGTTCTGTATTAAAGGAGGCTAAAGAGACAGGACATCAAAAAGCAATGAGTGACCCTTCTCTGCCCCCTAGAATGTGATGCAGAAAGAAATTATGAATGACATTAAAAGGACAAGTGAGGTAAGTGTAGCAAAACGTTATGAATTGGTAACTTTAGACAAAGGGGAAATGGGTGTTCATTTTACTGTTATTTCAATTCTTCTACAGATTCGAAAATTTTCAGAATACAAAGGATGGGAGAAAGAGCACAATAATGGGGAATCCCCATGTGGGGCTGTAAGGGACTCTAATATACAGGTGACTGTATTTTATACATTATATACATACATTTTACACACTATATACATTTATATTTACATTTTATATATTATATATACCTGTATTTTGTACAGGTGACTAGCTGCCTGCTTGAGGGGTTGGGGGGTTGGGATGGCAACAACTTCATCTTCCTGTATCGTTTCAGAAAACGTATGCTCTAGGCAGGGCATGGTGGCTCATGTCTGTAATCCCAGCACTTTGCGAGGCCAAGGCAGGAGGACTGCTTGAGGCCAGGAGTTCGAGACTAGCCTGAGTAACACAGTGAAACTCTGTCTTAACAAAAAAAAAGTAAAAAAATAGCCAAGCTTGGCGGCACACGCCTGTGGTCCCAGCTACTCAGGAGACTGGGCCAGGAGGATTGCTGGAGCCCAGGAGTTCAAGGCTGCAACGAGCTATAATTGCATGACTGCACTTCGGCCTGAGTGACAGAGTGAGACCTTGTCTCAAAAAAAAAAATTATATATATATATATATATATATACACACACACACACACACATACATACACGTCATAAATCCATTTAAAATCTCCTATATGCCTTTCCCTAAAACTCTTCTCCAGCAATTTACCATTCTCACTCTCCTTTTTAGAACTCTTTAAAAGTTCGCTGGCCTGCTGCCCCCATTATCTACCCCCATCCTTTTTTAATGAGATAAAAGCAATGATTACACTAGTCTTGATCAACTCGAAAACTCTGTACTTTTAAAAATGTGTGACCCTTTAAGTAAAATAAGAAAGCTCAGTAGATGGGAAATGTGCTCAAGTGAAAAGATGTGGGAGGTAGAATTTGTCTCTCAATGACTTCAAAACCCAAGGAGGAGAACAATGAGAGGCGGCCTGTCCATAGCAGCACTATAGGGGCAGGTGACAGTCACCTTGGGCATGCCAGCACTGGGAACTCATAGCTCCAGAGGCCCTGAAGCAGTCTTCCGCCAGCACAACCAGATGTTACATTTTTTCTGCTTAATTTTGGTAAAACTCCATGACGTCCTTCTCAAATTAAAAAGGCAATGCCATTTTTTTTTGTAAGCCACAGGAGCTATCTTTAGTGAAGCCTTCTAAGGATTTCATTAATTCATAGCCAGCCAACCAGGACTTTTCCCACAGTCTCCCACAAAAAAGCCCGGGAAGTCACTGATTGCTTGGCTGGATCTGAATATGAGCAGAGGTAAGATCAGAAATATCTAGTTCCTCCCACGGGGAGGCAAGGCATGAAAATCAAAGCCGGGCAAAAACTCATTTCCACAGCTGGCCGGCAAATCCGCAGCCCCGGAAAGAAGGCAAAGAGCACCTCTGATTATGGACAGACCTTCAAGTGGCTTCAGAAAATGAAATGCATTCACCACCAGAGGGGAACGAAGCAAACAAAAACGAGACCTGCACCTCTGTTAAGAAGACAAAGTTTCATACAAACTGAGGGCTGCTGCCAGGGAGTGAGATTTGTTCCGTTCACATCGTTTCAGAAAGTCCAAAACCGGGATGCTTAGTTAGTGCTTAGCAGTAACTTTTCACATTTTTCTCATCCACAGCACAGGGTAAAGTAGACAGTCCAAGCAACCCCCTCAAGCAACAGACACTCGGCCAGGTGTGGCTCCCACACAACACCAGCCCACACTCTCCCTGTCATGAGTGGGAACCTGGCTTGAAGCCCAGCCTCTAACCAGTATGTGGCCCCTGGCAGGAGTGCCAATAACTGTGGTGTGAATGAATAAATTAAGCATATTTTTTATGCTACTCTCAGCACTAACTGCCACATGATTAGCCAATGTTAAGAAAGCAATTTCAGAGGAAATTTTTTTTTTTTGAGACGGAGTCTCGCTGTGTTGCCCAGGCTGGAGTACAATGGCACGATCTTGGCTCACTGCAACCTCCGCCTCCTGGGTTCAAGTGATTCTCCAGCCTCAGTCTCCTGAGTAGCTAGGATTACAGGTGCACATCACCATACCCAGCTAATTTATGTATTTTTAGTAGAGACAGGGTTTCACCATGTTGGCCAGGCTGGTCTTGAACTCCTGACCTCAGGTGATCCGCCTGCCTTGGCCTCCCAAAATGCTGGGATTACAGGTATGAGCCACCACTCCTTGCCCAGAGGAACTTTTTATTACAGTTGCTTGACTGACATGTCACCTCCTCAGAGAGGCCATTGGAGAGTGTCTACTTGCAAACACCCATTGCTCTTATTGCCTCATTTTAATTTCCTGTAGAGTGCTTAGTCATTTAAGAAACATGTATGGAGAACCTACTATGTGCCAGGCACTGTTCTCGTGATGCAGAAGGGAACAAAACAGGTAAAGACCCCACCCACATGGAGCTGACACTGCAACGGGGAAGAAGGATGGACAAAGAAAATACTATGTATGTCCCAAGGTGAAAAGTTCGGCAGAGAAAAAGTGAAGAAAAGAGGACAGTGAGCAGCAAGTTGCTATTGGAAAGAGCATGGTCAGGTCTGATACTTCATTATCCTATTTGTCTCCCCTACTAAAACCTAAGCTCTGGCCAGGCATGGTGGCTCATGTCTGTAAACCCAAGTGGGCAGATCGCTTGAGGCCAGGAATTCAAGACCAGCCTGGGCAACATAATAAAACCCCATCTCTACAAAAAATGTAAAAAATTAGCCAGACTTGGTGGCACGTGCCTGTAGTCCCAGCTACTCGGGAGGCTGAGGTAGGAGAATTGCCTAAGCCTAGGAGTTCAAGACTGCAATAAGCTATGATCACGCCACTGCTGCACTCCAGCCTGGGTGACAGAGACCCTGTCTCTGGAAATAAAATAAAATCTAAGCTCTAGAAATCAGACCTAACACACAGAACACACCAATATTCACTCAATGAATGAATGGCCACTGAGTGTCCCTCTTATCAAACCGTTCACCTGTTGGAGAAATCTTCCAAGCCTCACCACTTCTGACAGAACATACACAGGCAAACTTCAAGGTGCCCTGTTATCTAGTACCTATATCTTCAACCTTACCATCCCCCGACCAATGAGCCCCCTTCTCCAGCTTTGCCCACATCTTACTTTCTGCCCAAACTGTCCCCCCAGCGCCTGGGTCCACTCACTGGTCAGGCCCTGCTCAAAGTCCCTTTGGTAAGACCTGTCTTCTTCATCTAAGCCTCCCACGAACCATTGAAATTCAATTTCTTCCTATAAAAACATCAAATTTGTTTGTTTCTCAATGCATCACTGCAATGTTTGGACACATTCTCATGAAATCTGGAGGGATGATGGGGTCGGCCAGGCTTTGTGGCACATGGGAAAGCTAGAGAGTGGTATGGAGAAGCCTCACAGAGAAAAGGGGGCCTCCTCCAAAGCAGGGGAAACTGAGGCAGAGCAAAAAGCCAGAGATACTGGGAACCAACTGAGACATGGGCTAAAAAGCCAGAGTTCTAAGGTGGCCTCAAGCAGGGCCTCAGGCAGTTGAATGTCAACAAACTGCTTTTCACGGGGGCAGTTCTAGGATGAGGAGCAGCAGAAGCCCGTTCAAGTTTCTCTGGAATGAGTAGGGAAGTGTGGAGAGAGGACGGGGAGTGCTCGGTACTGTGGCCCCAGAATCTCTTCCTGAATTTCCCTGTTGTCCAGGCCCCTACTCCTTTGTCTTGCTCCTGGCCCAGACAGGCAGCCACTGTGGACGGGGGACTGGTCCCACAACCTAACACAGGGTGGCTGCTCAAAAAAAGGGTCTCCTGCCTCCTCACTCCAAATAAGTCTTTTTGAGCTTCAGATACTGAACAGTTACAATAAATCCTAACCGTGTGAGTGCCTGTGCTGCACCCAGAGCAAATGTGCACACTCCAGAGGAAGGGGCCATAAACCGTCACTCAACAGAGACCACGCTCAGGCGGCGGACTGCTGCTACATTTGGTCCATACTGCACTGCATTTTCCTCAGATAAAAGGGGGCCGTTTTGGGAGAGAAGAAACCAGAAATCACCCGGACAGAATAAAATCACAGGGAAAGGGTTTCTAAACCATATGGCCTATCTCAGGAAAACACACCTCTTCGTTCCAAGGAAGCCCTCCCTTTATCCCATTAACCCTCCCACTCTCGAGTAAAACAGTCCATCGCAGCACAGAAGTCTGGGGACACTGCCAGCATTTTTTAAAGGGTTACTATTCAATGGGGGGAAAAGATCTACAAAAATGACCAAACAGAACACTTGGAAAAACTCCTAGTTTTGAAGGCAATAAAGTACTTTTTACATCTGAAAAAAAGTTGTATTTAAGGCCTAATCCCTCATGATTTCAAAAGGATTCATATGAAGTATTCATTTAATGTGTGAAATGTAAATATCCATCCAAACATTTTAATTAATGCTACCAATTTCCATTCCGTTTTCAAAGTTGATACTTGAATTTTATATGGCTTTTCTGGTACGTTCAAGCATGCTTCCCTACCATGTAGTAGTTTTAATGAAAAGCCTCATGATTAACGTCTATTAGATCAGGTATGGAATGAAGAAAGGTACAATAAAATTACAATTTACTAAGCTTCCAATAATACTTGCCATCTACTGCCCTTTCAAGTCTTAAGGTACCAGCCATATGCAAATAAGACATTTTAGCATTAGTTTTACCATAAAATGAATGCTTCTTAAATAAGCACAGTAGAGGTAGTTTTCATTTACACTATTAAATCAGAAAATTTATGAGCCCATTTCCGTTTTAGAAGAGAATTACATGTGTGTTCACATCACATCTTTATTTTGTCGTCCACCCAGTGATTTGTTGAGGACAGCTGGTACCTATTAAGTCCCCCCCTTTAAATGTTGTAGCCTTAATTAGCTACATCCACCTTCCCCCAACATTTCCAAACAAGGAACCAAAGAAAAGGGAATCCATTTTTATCATGGATACTTTGAACAATGGAGTTGCAAACATCAATGTTAACAGTCTCTATTAGAAACTAGTTATTCGTTTTTTAGGCCACTTCACAAAAACATGGTACAAATGGAGTTTTTGTTATGTAGGTAATTTTTTAAATTGTTCAATTTTTAGTTTCCTGCCTGGTGTTATTAATTAAAAGCCTTCTTTTAATATATTGTTTGGGAAAGGATGAAGGAGTCTCCCCAGAGATATTCTTGGTATTATTTAAGCTACAGACTTCTTTCTTACTTGGACTTTTCAGCATATGACTGAACAGGTAGAATCTGCAAATAGAGAAAGCAGCAGGGTGTGGTTTTCTATGAACAGACAACATGCCCTTCCCAGACACCAAAGGGTTTCCAACTCACACAATGAGAAATTGTTGATTGGATTGCTTTAACCTGCCATATATAGATAAAACACACACTGACTTAATTTACAATGTCGATATCTCTTCTTTTTTTTTTTTTTTAAAGACACATTTACATTTATGCACTCAGGACTTCAAGTGTGAATTCTGTTCAACAGACTAAATTCTGAGCAAGATAATGGGCCATCTCAAAGATTCCCCCCTTGGATTTGTTTCTTCAAGACTGGCCCTAGCTTTAATCTGCAGTAAGACTATCTGTTTCAATAGGATGTGATCACTTGAGGGCTTGTGTCTTTTCAATCAGCCGGTGGCCCTGCCGGGTTTAGAGTGGCAGAGGGGAAGTGGCCTGTGGTTAAACAGAGGAAATACCAAGGCATTTTAATAGAGCAAATAGTCTCTTTACTTCCCACCGGGAAGAGCTTCAAAGGCTGTGGGCCCCGGAGGAGACAATGTGTTTCGGAGGCCATCAGTCACCTAATCGTGTGTCAGGCCCATTCAGAACATCCAAGCAGCCAAGACAAACACTGCCCAGGAGGACAATGCCTCCCACTGGCTGGGCAAGTCTGGCTGGCTGGAGATGGGGCCTGTAGCTCCAGCACAGACAGCCCCCCGGCTGACTGAGGGCAGGAGCTCTCCAAATTTGGGAGTAGATGGGAAATGGAAAAGGTCTGGCTGCCAGGGCAGGGTGGCCAGAGAGAGGTCTGCTCTAAGGCCACTGCACCTCTCAACCTGTCAAGCTCCCTGATAGCTGAGCCCTCTCCTCACCCCACATTCTTACAAATCAAGGGTGGAGGCTCAAGTTCTAGAAGCCTAAAAACCCATCCATCAGAAGCAGGCTGAAGAGGCAGTGGGGGGCCAGGCACGGTGGCTCACGCCTGTAATCCCAGCACTTTGGGAGGCCAAGGTGGACAGATCATCTGAGATCAGGAGTTCGAGACCAGCCTGGCCAACATGGTGAAACCCTGTCTCTACTAAAAATACAAAAATTAGCTGGGTGTGGTGGTGGACGCCTGTAATCCCAACTACTCGGGAGGCTGAGGCAGGAGAATCGCTTAAACCTGGGAGGCGGAGATTGCAGTGAGCTGAGATCATGCCAATGCACTCCAGCCTGGGCTCCAGAGCGAAACTCCGTCTCAAAAAAAGAGGCAGCGGGGAATGAAGGAGGACAATAAAATTGTTGATGGGGTAGCCCCAGCAGGAGCAGACACCTGCTGGGGCACAGTATATAAAAAGTTCAGGGACAGAGGAAGAAAAAGCCTTGAAAGCTTTAAAAAAGAAAAAAAAAACATGTTTTAGGCCAAATGAAGCATGAAAAATACTTAAAAGCACTAGCAGTTCTTTCCTTTGTTGGGAAGTTGTAAGATTTGAACTGCTGAGAATCTGATTTGGATCCTGTGCTACTCCTTCCTGAGACTGTTTTCAGACAAACCCAGCTGTTCTAGGGAGGAACTCAGGGGAAGTGTCAAGTCCTCTTCACTCCAGGCCTCCTCATCTGCCCCAGGCCAGAGGCACCCATCCAAACTAGCTTCTCCCCCGCCCCGCTTCCCTGCTCCTCCCATCCTCACACTCCCCACCCAGCCTGACCCCTTTTATCGGTCAGGGCTCTGAGAAAGTCTTCACATTCTTCTCTAAGGCCAGTGACATAATTTAAAGCCAAACTCTGATTTTAAATGTTTAGAATGTGTGTTCTCCCCTTCTTTGGATTGTGGGACCCCTGTCCCCTAAAACAATAGGTCTCATCCTGGTTACAGCATGCGTATCCTCAAAAGAATTTGTTAAAATGCCAATTCCTGGGCTCCACCTCACTCTCACTCTGATCCCATTAGCTTTCAATCTGCATTTTAACAAGCTCCTGAGGCAATTCTGATACTGGAAGGCCCAGGGTGTCACTTGGAGAAAAAGTTAACTGCTGGTCTCCTGGTCACGGAGCTATATGCCCAAGTTAATAACTAGCACAATGCCCCAGGCACTGCAGGGGCTTGGGGTTGGGTGGATGGCTGAGGTTGGGGAGAGAAGGGAGGGCTGCTCAAGAAAGATGGACATGGGCCAGAAGAGTTCCCAATTAACTAGGCAAAACAGGCTGGAAGAAAGCTTTGCACTGCTTATAAAAACGTCTCTCTAAAAAATGTATCAACCAGGACTGAGTAATTTTTTAACCAAGAATTCTGTAACAGACACAAGAGCATCTGTAACATGGACAACATGGCCATACGATAGGCAGACCAGATGTGGGCTTAGGAGCCATGAGCTGCAAGTGAATGAAAATGCATCCAATTCAGAATCAAATAAACATGTCTGGGCCCACAGCCAAGGATAATTCTTGGATTGGACTTTTATCAGGAACCTAAATTTTAACCAGCTGGAACTTCTCTTTTCCAAGTACCACCCTATTCCTTCCTACCTTTTGTGATGAAGTATTTGCCTTAAATGGGAAACTTGCATTTCATTGTAAAGATGATGCCAGCATCCTGGCTTCCCGAATTCCTGAAGGAGTAGTGTTTTCTTGCAGGGGGAGTAGGAATTATGTTCCAGGGATAATAGACCAGAGAAGGTGGACCCCATTTAGGTAAGGAGGCAAGAAATGTTCCCTCCTCCCCCACTGCAGGAAAAGCCACTAAATACAAACCTGTGGGAGTAGATTCCTAACTCCTTGTTCCATAAAAAGGCTTCTAGACCAGCAAGACAAGGGGAGGGAGAACTTCAGTATGAGTGACTGACACAATTAAAGTTATGAACCAAACTTGCTTCTAGTTGCAAACAAAACCATTCCACTCTAGAAGCAAGAGCCAGTGTAAATGAGGATGGTGTGGTCCCTCTGGAGGTTTTACAAATCATTACTTCTGTGTGAACACAGTATTTATTACTCAAAGAGCAACCTTACCTGGCAAGGACCCTAAGAGAATTTTTTTTAAGTAGTTGAGGAAGTGTGCCCACAACTCATTTCTAAAACACTGACCTGTGTTCAAGATGGTATCAGCCTCTTAATTGCCCCACTAATAATGGGGAGGTTGTGAAACCTGACCACTTAAACCAGGCCAGCCCATGGCTCCTCTGGGAGCAGCCCCGAAGGGTCTGTTAGCAGGGCTGCAGAGGGTTGGCTGGCTGTAGTCACCTTGCAAGTCTTGCAAAAATACACATTCCTGCAAGGGCAAGGGTTCCTGAAACAAATGTTGCCTGGAGATCAAGGGGGTCATTTGCTCAGCTCTGCTCCAGCACCTAAATCCAGTTTCTCAGGACTTGGTGCTGCACCTTGCTGCCCCCTCTCAGGTTCTGAGTATGGCCCAGGCCCACAGAAAGCCTCCTCTGATTTGCATCACATATAGTCGACCCTTATCCTTTTATGTTCCTACAGCCCCACTGTAAGCAACCTTAGAGCTGAGGCCAACATCTATGGACTAAGTACCTCTTATTTGGTAGGGGACCCAAACATGAATCAAATACTCTAGTCACTGTGTACCAGTACTTCCTAGCTGACTCCCTGACAGAGCAACTTCTAGAAGACATGACCTAGGGAGGTGTGGACAGGGACAATTTTTTGCAGAAGTGATGCTAGGGCCGAGAAAGGAAGCTGCAGAGGTGTAAAGGAACACAGGCAGGAACAGCATGTGCAAAGACAATGGACCTTGATGCCCTGATCTTTGCCTCTACTTCTTAAAATCTATCAGGAAATACAGGATTTAGCAGGAAGGCAGCAGGGTCTAATTTGGTTCAGCCAATATTTACAGGGCTCTGACGCCACCAAGATGAGGTTCAGTGCCTGGCTAAAGAAACTAGTCTGAAGACATAGAAGTGAACAAATACTGACAAAGCTGTCTGATGAGACTAAAGTGCAAGGACCTGCATGAGAAGGTAAAGCAAGGGGCATGGCATTCAGGAGGGCTTCCCTGAGGAGGTACCACCTGAACTGAGTCTTAAGATAGGCAAGGAATTCTCAAGGGAGGAAAAGGCATCCTGGGAGGAGGGAAAAGCATGTCTTGGAAGCACAGAGGGCATCCATCCGGAGTTAGGAGCAGGATGAGAAGGGTAGGGGGTGAGGCTGGAAAGGGTGGGAATGCAAAGCATGTGGGGAAACTGGGTCCATGAAATCCACCAAGCAGCAAATCCAGGAGACAAGGAACCATGTATCAGCCTGGATGAGCCTGGAATCTGGAACATGGCCCAGAGGCCTCTACGATCGTCCAGGAGGCGAATGAGGATGACCCAAGGAAACGATTGGTGGGGCCAAGGCAGGAGCAGCTGAGAAAAGTCACCCCCAACTAGGGGCTGTGGTGGAGAAAACGTCAGCATAAGTGTGAGGTGACTGGGACAGAGCCACCATTTTATGAGGGTGCAGGTTTGGGAGAGGAGAACACACTCGCACAGGTAGAAGAAAATCACCAGCCTGGCTCCGTCAGGGCACTACCATACCCCACAGCATGGAAACTTCACGAGTTTTGTACAGTGGCATAAGAAGCCACCTTGGCAACTGCAGCAAAACAGTGAATCGGACTGATTTACCTACGCCATCACATGAACACTCAAAATAAAACGCCTGTGATATTGTAGTCATTCAAAAGCCAATAGGAGTCTAAATCCAAAATTCTAGTAGGATCCTTAAGTCAACACGAGATCCTCCTTGAGGAAACTTGCTAGCTACTAAAATTTTTTTAAACAATAAAACAAGAGCAGTAATGTTTTACTGAAATGGAACACAGTAAGAAAATGTGATGCTTTACTCAACTAGGAAGGAATGACAGAGCCTAATGGGGCGGGGGGGCGGGGGGGGAAGGGGGTGGCGGGGGCGGAGGCAGAGCAGGGGTCATAGCCGTCTCCATAGCTTAGCTACTGAGTCTGAAGACATCCCAGCTGTCTGGCTCACACCTGGTTTTCTGCACCACATTTCTTGGGACTGTGGGGCAAGTGAGCTTGGAGGCACCAGCCTGCGTGCCTAAGGGAGTGTTATGTCCTAGGTTTTGGCTGTGCTGAGGCTGTTTAGAGCCACCCAGAAGAGGCTGAGTCAACGTTCGCCTAAGCAAACCACTCCATACCTATCCCTCAGCCCAGCAATACTAAGGAAATTCTCATTTCATCCCATTTTTCATATGAAGAAATTGAGGCTCATGGCTCCCCAGGAGCAGAGCCAAGGTCATGTCCCTGCTGCCTGAGTGCAAAGCCTACGTTTTCTCCACAAGCTTAAGGCCGTGAGTGCCCTGACGCCGGGCCCACCCGGGCCTCGGTGGGAGACTCGGGGCAGACGGACATCATCTCCAGGTTCTGGGGCCGCCCAAGGCCAGAAGCCCAGGTAGGGAGCAGGGAAGCTGAGAGGGGAATGGCAATCACCCGCGCCCATCGCCCAGACAGTGTCAAAGGAGCGCTCGGTTCCACGAAGACGGCTCAATGCACACGGCGAAAGTCTGGGCACCTCTCCAGTCTCGTCTCAGGCACCTCACCCAGATGACACCCACGCGGCCCTTTGGCGGAAAAATATCCGCAACTCGAAGCAGGGAAGGAGGATATCAGCCGCGAGACCTTCACAAGACGAAGGGCTGAACCGGGAGGCGAAGTTTCTCAGGAGGTCCCGGAGTCAGAGGAGGGGTAGGAGTGGGGTGACGGCCCCAGGCGAGGAGGAACAAAGCTACTAGAAGAGCGGGGCGCATCCCTCCCCGGTGCTCCAAGTCCCCTCTCCGGCCGCCCGGGCCTTAGCAGGGTTGTGGACTGAAAGTCCGGGAGAATACCCCCTTCCCTCTCCAAAGCGCAACCCGGTCCGGGTGGCTCGGGGGATCCCAGCCCGGGACACGCAGCCCTGGGACGAAGGAGGTCCCGGGCCAAGAACAAAGGGTGGGGCGCCCGGCCCAGCCCCGCCGCCCCTCACGCCCGCCCTCTGAATGGGACCCCGGCCGGCGGCCGCACCTCATTAGCAACACAAAGCCGGGGTCGGGCAGCCGCTTTCATCTCGGCCAGGGCCGGAGGACACGCGTCCGGGGAGGGAAACCAGGAGGATGCGCGGGAGGAGTGAGACCCAGGCCGGCCGCGGACCCCGCGAAGAGCAGACAGGTTGGCGCGGGCTCGCCTCCCCGCGAGCACCTGTGCGCGCTGCGTCCCCCGCGAGTTGGCGACGGCAAGAAACCCGCCGCCCTCGCCTTACCCTCCAGCCACAGGTGTCGGCGCCCCGCGCGCGGCCGGACCCGCCAGCGGCCACAGCCAGCTGCGAGCCGTTGAGGCAGGCGTTGACCGTAAAGAAGACGGAGCAGAGCTGCAGCCACGGGGCCATGGCCGTGCGCTCGCCCAGCCAGGCCGTTCTCTGCGCCCCGGCCGCCCGCCGCTGGCCAGCCCCGAGTGGGCGGTGGCCGCGGCGGCCGCGGCGGCAGCGAAGGGGACCGCACTGGGCATGCGTTGCCAGCCCGGGCCCCGCCCCCACCCTCAGTCCTCGTGTGCTGGCCCCGCCCCCACAGCCTGGCCCTCCAGTTGTGGCCCTGCCCCCGTAGACCACGCCCCTCTGGTCACGCCCCCCAAGCCCCCACTGAGACTCTGGCAGCCGCAGTTTCTTCCCCCTCACTTAGTAGATCTTTTTTTAATCCAAAGGATTTGTCCAAGTGATGCTCACTCTATGCAAAACCTGAGGAAAACACAAAGAATGTAATAATAATAATTTTAATAATAATTTAATAAACACCTGCTATGTGCCAGACCCCTTTCTGTATACGCCCAACCACACAAGGAAGTGTATTATTGTTATCCCAGTTTTAGGCGCAGAAAAGTTAGGGGAACGTGACAGAGAAATCCTGGCTCCACATTTACTAGTAGGACTTTGGACAAAAGGCTTGCTGTCTCCACAATACTTCCTCACCACAACCCCCCGTCCCCCTCACCCTCCTGGAAGCTAGAATAAGTATCCTAGTCTGGGGAGAGTTCTGTTGGTTGAAACATAACAAGTGCTCCATAAAGGCTACAATCTATCATTAACTGACTCTCATAAGGTCACACAGCTGTTACCTGCCAGACCTGAGATCCAATCCAGACCTGACTAAAAACAATACTCTCAGCTACTACACTTGTCAAACATAACCTCATGAAGTGGATATTATTTCTGTTTGGAAGAGGAAACTGAGGCTCAGAGAAGTGGAGTAGCCCAAGCTATCCAGAGTTTCACCGCACTCTTCCCAGCGCTTTGCCTTTTATCTGAGCACCTAAACTCTCCCACTTTGTCCCTCTCCACTACCCCCTTCCTCAAGAATACCACCTCCTCTTCCTAAGGGCTTTTTCTACTTCTGACTTTGTCCCCGTGTCCGATACATTTCTCCAGCCTGGATCCAAAGTTATCTTCCAAAAACACAAATCAGACTACTGACTTATCCCAATTAAAACTCTAGGCTGAGTGCAGTGGCCAATCCTAGAGGATCGCTTGAGTTCAGGAGTTAGAGGTAACAGTGAGCTATGATCCTGCCAACCGCACTGAAGCCTGAGTGACACAGTAAGACCCTGTCTCTAAAAACAAACAAACAAACAAACAAACAAACAAACCTACCACCACCACCACCAACAAAAAAAAACAGTAAAATTATGTGTTCTGTGTTTGGAGGAGGATTAATAAAAATAAAATCAATAAATAAAACTGTTCTATGGTGGCTCTTATGCAAAGGCCATTTAGAATAAAATCCATACTGGCTTTCTCTTCCACTCTGTCTTTACCACCTGGCTCCTGCTGCACAGAACTCCCCCCAGCCCCAGCCTTATCTTGGTCTTTTTGCCTCAGGAAACCTTGGAAATTGTCACCTCCGTCCATTCAACAGGGCAGCCTCCTCTATATGACTCTCCTTCCAGGGCCCAGAATCCCCTCCCTCTCCTTCTCTGGCCTGGCCTAAGCTCAGCCACTGCTAACACAGGATTCCTGCACTTTCTCTTGTGGCTTGTGTCTCCACCACCCTGCCCACACGTCCTTGGAGGGCTTAAGTGGAGGAAGAGAACTCTTCTTGGTAATGCTAGCAGAAGTCTTGGGGATTTGCTTGGAAGTAGCTACATCTAGAACCAAGGAGTAGAGCCAGCCTCACCTGAACTTCAGGGGCTGGAAGTGTGAAACAGTGCTTGCCCAAAGGAACACTGACATTATTGCCAGGGAGAGGGAGAATGGGTGCTGGGTTCCCCAAACAACAGCATCCACCTCAAGACCCAGATGCTGGGCAGAATTTTTTTTTTTTTTACCTCACTGCCTGGAATTCAGGAATTCAGCCAGACCCAGTGAGGTTTACCATACCCTCTTCAGACACCAGAATAGCTAGGATCCACAGAAGGCTGTTCTGGAGTAGCCTTCTGTGAATAGACCTCAGGAAGCACATCACTCCTTTGGAGGAGCTGCTGGTTCAGTGCCTCCCTACCCTCCCTCACATTCTTGGTACTGTCCCTGGGTTGTTCTCAGCCCCCACAGCAAGGATGTCCAGCGTTTGGCCATGAGAGTCAGGGGTGCCAGGGGCTGAGATGAGGCCAGGACCATATGGGTTTTGGTGAAACAGGGAGGAAACAATGAGGCGACCAGCTCCTTAATCTATGTGACATTCCAGCCTATACATGCTTTATAACTTATTAAACAACCCCATGCTAAGGGACATCTGTTAGAATCAGTGATTCAAAAATACCCTAACACACTTACCTTGACACATTGATTCAATGATTTTATACATTTCTAGAATCAGAATTGCTGGATTATGCACATTTAAAATTGTCAAACTGTTCATTATGGTATTATCACCATCTTAATTGGCTTCTCTGGTTGCGAATGAGGTAGATCATGTTCCTATGTATTTGTTGGCCATTTGTATTCTTTCTCTTTTTTTTTCTTTGAGACGAAGTCTCACCCTGTCACCCAGGCTAGAGTGAGTGATGCAATCTTGGCTCACTGCAACCTCCGCTTCCCAGGTTCAAGCGATTCTCCTGCCTCAGCCTCCCGAGTAGCTGGGATTACAGGCGCGCAACACTGCACCCAGCTAATTTTTTGTATTTTTAGTAGAGACGTGGTTTCACCATGTTGGTCAGGCTGGTCTCGAACTCCTAACCTCAGGTAATCTGCCTGCCTCAGCCTCACAAAGTGCTAGGATTACAGACGTGAGCCACCACTCCTGGCCCATTTGTCCTCTTTCAGGAATTGGACTCCAGGAAAAGGAGCAGTACTTAGCACTTACAAGAGAAAGAGAACCTCAAGGAGAACATTGGTTAGAGAAAACTGTTTCTCCCTGGGTTTTACTCATGTCACCATATGATTGCATGACAGGGAAGGCAGAGCCCCACTCCTGCTCCCTTTCTGTCTGCACACCCACCCACTATTGAATTCCCTCCCATCCACAGCTCACTGCAGAATCTGGCAACCGACAGCCTCTGAAAACATGCTGCAGGGTTCAGAGAGAGCACAAGCTTTCCTGAAGCCATGTGGAGGGCACAAGAAGGAAAAGCCTTAAGCGTCCAGTCTAAAACATGCCTAGAATGACATCCCTCAGGACCAGGGATGGGGAGGCCCTCCTATTTCCTTTCTAGGAAGGCCACCAGCATGTATGTGAGTGGCAGGAGAGCCACAGACACCAAAGGGTCAAATCTGGTCAGGAAATTAAGGTTGTAAATTGGCATTTGGCAACATTCTCTGTATTCTGGTCTTTCCCATTGATTCTCCCATCTCCTCCTTTCTGGTTTTTTTGTGTTGTTGTTGTTTTTGTTGTTGTTTGTTTGTTTGTTTGAGACGGAGTTTTGCCCTTGTTGCCCAGGTTGGAGTGCAATGCCATGGTCTCGGCTAATTGCAACCTCCACCTCCCAGGTTCAAGCGATTCTCCTGCTTCAGCTTCCCAAGCAGCTGGGATAACAGGTGCCTGCCACCATGCCTGGCTAATTTTTCATATTTTTAGTAGAGGTGGGGTTTCACCATGTTGGCCAGGCTGGTCTGGAACTCCTGATGCCAGGTGATCCACCCACCTCGGACTTCCAAAATGCTGGGATTAAAGGCGTGAGCCGCCGCTCCCAGTCTCCATCTCCTCTTTTTATCCCAACCCTTCAGAATAGCTGTAAGGCTGCAGGGAGTGGACCTCTCTGTCCTGGAAGCTGAGCTAAAATGAGGGGACCAGGCCCCACATGCCTTTCATGGATCACAGTTTCCTCCAGGCCACAGTGGAGCTCAGCTGTGGAGGTGACCAGAAGATGAGCTAGGGAAACCCTCCCTCAATACAACACTTGGTCTCACCTGCCAAGGCCAGGATTGCCTGTAGTCCAGTCACACTTTCAGCCACTCCTCGTGGTGAGAGGTGGCTGTCATCTGATTCACCTCTGCCCCCATGCCTAGCACTCTGTCTGGCACGCTTCAGTGGGCAAGAGACTGTCACCACCTCCCCCTCTTTGGAACAAAGCTGAGAATTAAACAGATAAAATCACCTTAAAATAAGCTGTTGATGAAATGTAAATATATTTTCCCACTCTAATTATAACCTAGCCAGATAAGAAAAATCCTTAACGCAAGGATTGGATTTTGTTAGGGGTCAAATTATCCCGTGAAACATAAAAAAAGATAAAGTGATGGTGGAAGTAATTTGTATCATGAATCATTTTGAGCAGGGAATAACTAAATACTATTTTAATGAACAGTGTTAGAAGCAGTCGGCCCAAATTCTAATTTATTTTGGTATTGTGAGAAATTAGTGTATGTTTTCTGTATTAATAAAGACATTAAAGGTAAAGAGTGTCACTGTACCCCTGACCCCAGTCTCCCAGAGGGCTGAGGGTGCAAGGTTTCCCAGGCTTTGGAGGGAGCAGTATGTGGAGAACTGGTACCCACCTGCAAGCCCTTAGTCCCTGAGACCCCACAAGACTGCCTGGATGTCAATCAGGCTACCTGGCAGTCTTGGCTCCAATGGGGTAGGCGTCATCATCCCCACTGCACAGATGGGGAAGCTGATGCTCAGCGAGGGGAAGTCTGCTCGCGGTCACAGAGCTGGGGTTCAAACCGGACCCCGATCGCCTGGCCTGGGACCGCCTTGCCTGGGACGAAAGGCCCCAGACTCAGCTGATTCCTCCAGACTCTTCCTGTCTAGGACGCCAAAAACATGGCCTTCCTAAACCCAGCCTTGGCGCCTCCTGCACAGCCCAGAGACCCAGGGCGGCGGACAACAGAAAACCTGGGGCGGCGGACCCAACCCTGCGCCCAGAAATCCCAGGACGCCCACCCCATAGTTCTGGAGCGGTGCGTACCTTGGCCACTACACGGAATTCACCGGCCCACGGCCACTTCCCGTTTCTTTTCCCGGAGGAAAAGAAGAGCGGATGTCTAGTCTCCAAGGTAACCGCGAGGGGGCGCGCGCAGTCCAGGTCGGAGACCGCCGCCCCAGACTACCCTGCACTGCGACCGCACAACAAGTCTTTCTAGATCAAAGCCGCCAGGGCAGGTGGGAGTACTCTGCTGTTATTCAGAGCTGGTGCTAAGCTTTAGGGGAAGTAGAGTCCAGGGGGTCGTAAGAAAACGGATCAAATGGGTCCTTTCAGTAACCATGTGGCTTTGGGCAACTCCATCTCTCTGGATGTCAGTTTTCTCAGATGGCAATACTGGAATGACGGGGATGCAGACCTCGGGTTTTTTTTGTTTGTTTGTTTTTTGTTTTTTTTCCGAACCTGAAGTAAGCAAATGACTTAGAGCCTGAGTGAATGTTACTGCAGGTAGTGGACCAGGAGTTGATGCAGCCAGGGCCAGCTCTTATTTGCAATTCAGTTAAGACCTGGGGAAATGGCCACGTCTAATCTTCAGGAGATAACATCCTGGCTTGGATCCGCACTATACTGGAAGGCTAAGGACCATATCCTGTTTTCCATTCATTAATTAATTCATTTAACAAGTATCAATGGAATCTCTGCACCATATCAGACATTATGCCAGGAGTGGGGATCAGAGTGAACAACAGGGCACTGTCATAGTTGTCATTAACCTGCAAACAAACATTCCATGGAGGACACTGGCATTACTCAAATAGCCCTATGACTAGGGAGGAATTACTAGTAGATGAGTTGTTTTTGAAGAAGGGATCCCTGAGCTAAGATTCCAAATATAAGAGTTACCTGGGCAAAGGGGAGGGGAGCAGAGAGAGGAGAACTGTTCTGGGCAGAAGGAATAGCATGTGCAAAGGCCCTGGGGCAGTAGGGAATGTGGCAACTTCAAGGAGCTGAAAGAGGCTAATGTGGTTGGAGAGCAGTCAGGTGTGGCGGAATGGTGCAAGGTGAGCTGGTGAGGCCTACAGGGGCAGCCAGGCAGTACTTTATGTCCTGGTTTGAACCTAAAAGTAGCTAACAGCTTCTTAGGATTACTTTAAGGGCAGAAGTGGGGCTATATTTTGAAAAGATTCCTGTATTCCAAGTGCTGAGCACAGGGTATTTCCTGGCATTTAGCCAGCATTTGATAAATACTGTTGAGTGAATGAATGAATGATCACCATCTTTACTGAAATTCTGAGTTTTAATGTCTTGAATGAATCCAAGACTCATTAAAAACCCTAGGAAAACATCCAACCCTACTAAAGCTCCAAATAATGCGAATGAAACAAACTGCAGAAACATTTTCTTGTCATCTTTTGAGGTTATTTTTATTTTGTAAATTTCTGTCTTATTTTTAATAGACTTTTAAAAGAATAATTATAGATTTACAGAAAAACTGAGATGACGGTACAGGAGTTCTTATACAAAAGAAACCAGAGTTTCTTTAGTTATTAACATATTACATTAGTAAGGCACAATTAATGAACTGAGGCTGATACATTATCATTAAAGTCCAAACTTTATTCAAATTTCCTTAGTTTTTACTTAATATCCTTATTCTATCCAGGATCCCAGCCAGGGTATCATGTTACAGTTAGTTGTCATGTCTCAGGTTCCTCTTGGCTATGACAATTTTTCAGACTTCCATTGTATTTGGTGACCTTGACAGGTTTTTTTTTTTTTTTTTTTTTTTTTTTTGGAGACGGAGTCTCACTCTTGTCACCCAGGCTGGAGTGTAATGGTGCGATCTTGGCTCACTGCAATCTCTGCCCCCCAGGTTCAAGCAATTCTCCTGCCTCAGCCTGCCAAATAGCTGAGATTACAGGCGCCTGCCGCCATGCCCAGCTAATTTTTTTTGTATTTTTAGTAGAGATGTGGTTTCACCATTTTGGCCAGGCTGGTCTTGAACTCCTGGCCTCAGGTGATCTGCCCGCCTTGGCCTCCCAAAGTTCTGGGATTACAGGTGTGAGCCACTGTGCACAACCGAATTCATACCTTCTATGGCTGAGTAGTATTCCATCATATATATATATATATATATATATATATATATATATATATATATACCATAGTTTCTTTATCCACTCATTGATTGATGGGCATTTGGGCTGGTTCTGTATTTTTGCAATTGTAAATTGTGCTGCTATAAACATACATGTTTATATATGTATGTTTACATGTATGTGCAAGTATCTTTTTCGTATAATGACTTCTTTTCCTCTGGGTAGATACACAGTAGTGGGATTGCTGGATCAAATGGTAGTTCTACTTTTAGTTCTTTAAGGAATCTCCACATTATTTTCCATAGTGGTTGTACTAGTTTACATTCCCACCAGCAGTGTAGAAGTATTCCCTTTTCACCACATCCATGCCAACAACTATTATTTTTTGATTATGGCCATTCTTGCAGGAGTGAGGTGGTATCACATTGTGGTTTTGATTTGCATTTCCTTGATTGTTAGTCCCATGCCGGGCTAATTTAAAAAAAAAAAATCCATAGACAGGGCTTTTCCATGATGCCCAGGCTGATCTCAAACTCCTGGGCTCAAGCAATCCTCCTGCCTCAGCCTTCTAAAGTGCTGGGATTACAGGCTTGAGCCACTGTGCCTGGCCTATATTTCTTACTATCCAACAGAAGCTCTTTCTTATTTAGTTGTTGTCCCTTTTGCTGAGCATCTTGTTCTTGCTTAAAGAAGTAATTCTTTCTCTTATCTCTCTGAGGAAATAGTTTTATTGAAGGTCTCTTCTGTTTCCTCCAAATGCCTTTTTTCTGTTTGTTTGAAATTTTAAAACAGAATCAACTTTTTATGGCTCCTCTAAAAGTGGAAAATAGATATGCTATATTAGCAGGTTAGGACTTAAACTGGGTAATTGACATCCACAAGGATCGAAGATAGGTCACATATATCAAGAGGAAAGAGGTTCCACTGAACCACTCAAATGAGATGTGGTTGATAAACAACCTGGAGCAACCGTGGCAACTCTTAGCCATTTTACTCTGTGAATTATCACACCTATAATGTTTAGCTCTCCCTTCACCTAGATGAATTGTTTTTTGTTTTCTCTGATACCATCATGAATCTAAATGATATGACTTGTGATATAAATGAATACATAATCATAATGAATAGCGTTTTTATATTCAACTGTTAATCTAGCAAGCATTTATTGAGTGTCTCCTGTATGCCAGGCACTGTGCAAGGCACTGGAAAGGAATATGATCAAGGTCATGATGTCCTTGCCCTCCAGGAACTCACTCTCCAGGGCAGTCCCTTACACTTAGCAGAGTCCAGTGCCAGTGAGACTGAGGGGCAGCCACTTGCAGTTCCATTTAACAGACGTGAAGGATGTGAGGCTCCGGGTGGTTCCCTGGTTTGCCTAATGACACGCAGCTATTTGGAGACTGTGCTGCATCATGAACCCAAATCTTCCTCTCCTACACTCTTTGTTTCAAAAGCTCGGGTATAAATAGAAGCCAGAGAAAATGAACCACAAAAGGAGAGTTCAGAGAGACAGGGGGAGAACTAAGAGGAAACCAAGGGGAAAAAGAGTTTCAAAGTATTTGCTCAGGCCCTAGCCTCCCCTGTTTACATTTTAGCAGGGACTGGCTCAGGGCACTCAGTGGGGGAACAGGGCCTGCAGGAGCACCTAGGAGACAAGGAGAAGTTTCTGGGAAAGAGAGGACAGAGGAGAAGAAAAGACATGCTGTGTTCATTTTACAGTTGCAGGGAATGTTTTCTCTACTCTTTTAGAGTTAAATCCTCGTGGGCAATAATCCTCAAATTGAATAACTTACACACCTAGAAGCAGTGGCTGGCAACTGGGTGGGTCAGAGCCTTCTAGGGTGTCCTCTCCATTGCAGGGGGAAGGCCAATGTCCCTCAGTTGTGAAAATATGCAATGAGCTGTGACTCTGGTCTCTCAGCCAACCCAGTGCCATTGCAAGAAATTGCAAGAAATTCTAAATTTCTGGCCAGGTGCGGTGGCTCATGCCTGTAATGCCAGCACTTTGGGAGTCTGTGGCAGACAGATCACTTGAGATCAGGAGTTTAAGATCAGCCTGGGCAATATGGCGAAACCCTGTCTCTACTAAAAATACAAAAATTAGCTGCACATGGTGGTGCGAGCCTGTGGTCCCAGCTACTCGGGAGGCTGGGGCACGAGAACTGCTTGAACCTGGGAGGTGGAGGTTGCAGTGAGCCGAGATTGCGCCACTGCACTCCAGCCTGGGTGACAGAACGAGACTCTGTCTCAAAAAAAGAAAAGAAAACAAATTCTAAATTTCTGAATGTAAGCTAAATTTTGCTAGAGGTGGAGCAAGGATTACAGATCTCAAAAACAGCAGCAGAGCAAAACATTGAGCCAAATTCATGAGCAAAAGTCAGCCCCATGCCAGCAATGAAATCCACCAAGCACCCTCCCTGCCAGGCTGCTTCCTCCTCCCACAGGAGCCACCCAAAGATTCAGGTGGGACAGCAGCTCTGCACCCCTGCCTGGGACAGGTGGAATCCCCTGCAGGTTGGCAAAGGCATGGGTAGGGTGGGGAGGAGTGTGAAGGAAAGTGGTTCACTCTTCACTGGAGAGATCAGATGGTAACTTCCATTGGCCTTTCTCAGCTTGACTAAAGATATACATTAAAACCCGAAACCTAAAATAAATTCTTCCATTGCTGCTGGCTGCCATTATGTAATGTCTCACAGTGTTTCCCAGGGACCCTCCAGGCGGTCTCATTTACTGCTTTGGGTGCTCTTCCAGCTTTGTTCATGACTTCCAAACTGCTCTCCATAAAAGTGAGCCATATGTACATTGGCTACTCTCAACATAGTTTATACCTTCAAAAGCATGCATATATCATCATGAGGCCAAGGTTGAGAATGGTATGCAAGTCCATAGATTGGGTTCCTTTTTTAAAAACCTGGCAACATTTCAGGCTAATTTTTTAAAAAGTTTTTGAAATAATTTTAAACTTACGGAAATGTTGCAAAAATAGCTCAGAGTACCCATATGCTCTCCACTCAACTTCCTCTAATGTTAACCTTTTATAGTATAACCATAGCACCATAATCAAAACCAGAAATTTAACACTAAAATACTACTGCGTAATCTACAGACATTACTGGAAATCCACCAGACTTCCCACTATTTTTTTTTTTAAGAGACGGAGTCTCTCACTCTGTCACCCTGGATGGAGTGTAATGGCAATATCGCAGTTCACTGCAGCCTCAAACTCCTGGGTTTAAGCAAACCTCCTGCTTCAACCTCCCAAGCAGCTGGGACTACAGGAGTGTGCCACCATGCCCAGCTAATTAAAAAAATTTTTTTGAGACAGGAATCTCACTAGGTTGTTCAGCCTGGTCTTGAACTCCTGGCCTCAAGCAGTCCTCCCACCTCAGCCCCCTGAGTCACTGGAATTACAGGCATGAACCACCACACCCAGCTCTAATGTCTCATTTTTAAAAACAGTTTTTTAAATTTTAGAATGTTTAGATTTGCAGAAAAATTGAAAAGATAGTACAGAATTTCCATACACTCCACAACCAGTTTTCCTTACTATTAACATCTTACATTAGTATGATGTATTTGCTCCAATTAATTAACCAGTATTAATACCTTATTATTAACTAAAACCTATACTTGATTCTCATTTCTTTAGTTTTTAATGTAATGTTCCAGGATCCGATCCAAGATACCACGTAATACCTAGTTGTCGTATCTCCTTAGGCTCCCCTTGGCTGTGATAGTTTCTCAGACTTTCCTTGTTTTTTCATGACCTTGACAGTTTTGAGGTATACTAGTCAGATATTTTGTAGGCTACCCCTCAATTGTAATTGGCTGGTGTTTTTCTCATAAGTAGACTATGCTTGTGGATTTATTTTTATTTAGAGATAGGGTCTTGCTACATTGCCCAGCTGGAATGCAGTGGCTATTCACAGGCACAATCATAGTGGACTGTAGCCTTGAATTGCTGGGTTCAAGGGATCCTCCCACCTCTGCCCCCTGGTAGCTGGGACTACAGGTGCACCACCATGTCTGGTTCAGGGTTATGGATTTTTAAGACAAGGTCATGGAGGTAAAGTGCTGTCTTTATCACATCATATCAAGGGTCCACTGACGTCCTTTTTCTGGTTCAGAATACAATCCAGAATCCTGGACATACACTAATTGCACTTAGTTGTTTTGTCTCCATGGTCTAGTTTAATCTGTGTATATTAGTCCATTCTCACACTGCTATAAAGAACTACCTGCCCTGCGTGGTTTCTCACGCCTGTAATCCCAGCACTTTGGGAGGCTGAGGCAGGTGGATTGCCTGAGGTCAGGAGTTCAAGACCAGCCTGGCCAACATAGTGAAATCCTGTCGCTAATAAAAATACAACAAATTAGCTGGGCGTGGTAGCGGGCGCCTGTAATCCCAGCTACTAGAGAGGCTGAGGTGGAAGAATCACTTGAACCTGGGAGTTGGAGGCTGCAGTGAGCTGGGATTGTGCCATTGCACTCCAGCCTGGGCAACAAGAGGGAAACTCCGTCTCAAACAAACAAACAAAGAACTACCTGAGACTGGGTAATTTATAAAGAAAAGAGGTTTACTTGACTCACAGTTTCACAGGCTTAACAGGAAGCATGACTGGGAGGCCCTCAGGAAACTTACAATCATGGCAGAAGGCAAAGGGGAAACAAAGCATATCTTACAAGGTGGCAGGAGAGAGAGAGTGAGCAGGGATGTGCCACACACTTTCTTTTTGTTTTGTTTTGTTTTGTTTTGTTTTGTTTTTTGAGACGGAGTCTCGCTCTGTCGCCCAGGCTGGAGTGCAGTGGTGCGATCTCTGCTCACTGCAACCTCTGTCTCCCGGGTTCACGCCATTCTCCTGCCTCCCGAGTAGCTGGGACTACAGGCGCCCGCCACCACGCCCGGCTAATTTTTGTTTGTTTGTTTTTTAGTAGAGACGGGGTTTCACCCTGTTAGCCAGGATGGTCTCGATCTCCTGACCTCGTGATCTGCCCGCTTCAGCCTCCCAAAGTGCTGGGATTACAGGTGTGAGCCACCGCACCCAGCCTGCTTGGTGGAGATATTTTAGATGGTGCAAATATCCTGTTACTCCTCAAACTTTTGTTGTTGATTTTAGCATTCATCAGTGGATCTGGCATTTAAAAATTGTTACTGCAGTGTTCTAATAGTGATTTTCAAATTTCTCTTATTCCCTCTTTATTTATTAATTGGAATTCTGTAAGGAGAAGTTTACTGTCTCTTTTCTACCATTATTTATTCAATTATTTATATAAATATGGACTCATGAATATTTTATTTGGTAGGTTTTATTCCTGTACTATTATAATTTAATTTGGTGCTCAATTTTTTTCAGCTTTGGCTGTTGAGAACACCTTCAGGGTGGTCCTGTGTCCTTTCTGTATGCCCTATCATTTTTTTTTTTTTAGTATGTCCTTACTTCCTGGTACACGAAAATGTCCCAGGGTCATGTTGTATTTCCTGTGTCCTAGTACTGGAATCAACAATTTCTTTTCTTTTTTTTTTTTTTTTTTTGAGACAGAGTCTCACTTTGTCACCCAGGCTGGAATGCAGTGGCGCGATCTTGGCTCACTGCAACCTCCACCTCCTGGGTTCAAGTGATTCTCCTGCCTCACCCTCCGAGTAGCTGGGATTACAGGTGCCCACCATCATGCCCAACTAATTTTTATATTTTTAGTAGAGACAGGGTTTGCCCAGGCTAATCTCAAACTCCTGACCTCAGGTGATCCACCCACCTTGGCCTCCCAAAATGCTGGGATTACAGGTATGTGGAATCAATAATTTCTATAAGGATTTTTGGTTCCTTTTACTGGAGAATGATATTTAGAAATCAAGACCTAAGCACTAGGTGAGCGCATTGCTACTGGGGTATCATTGCTCCTAGTCCCTCCCAGCAGACAGAGCTGGGAAATGTATGTATGTATACTAACACACACATACACACACACATGAAGCCATGAGTTTATACTAATAAATTCAATTCTAATCCAATATTGTAGGTTCAATCCAGCCTTCTCCCTTTCCTTGTCACTTCTTTTTTCCACAGCAAGAAACCTGGCTGTCTTTATTCACAATACATTCTCTTATTTGCTTCTGCCGGCACCGCAATATTGCTGCTGACTCACAGAATACCTTATCCAACATCATCCCCAAATCATTGCATCTGATAAAAAGTGAAATGTCACAGCAAAGAAAGTGTAACAGTGGACTCATGCTCATGAAATTAACTGTTCTTATTACATACCCCATTACCCTGAGGCAGCAGACATAATTAAAAGTTGACAAAATTTACTGAAGACTTTATTATGGTGCCATTTGGGAAATAATACCCTGACAGGATGGATTCTGTCTTATAGGATGCGGTATATATTTTGAATTAGGGATCATCATATGGTGCTGTCTCCCTCTTAGCCACAATAAATAGCTCCATGATGCAAGGAGTAGAAGTGGAAGTGGCTTCTCTCACTATTACATACTAACCCTCTTGCAGGATTTTTGCTTCCCTTCCCTGCAACTTTGAGCTCTGCTGGTTTAGAGGTCTTAATCCCCAAAGGGAACCCAATAATGGTTCCGTTGAATTGAAAGATAGGAATGCCACATGGCCATTTTGGACTCCTTATGCCACTGAAAGGTGTTACTCTACTGGCCAGAGAGACTGATCTCTATTACAAGGGGGAAATTTTTGGATCATTGCTATACAACGGGGACAAGGAAGACTATGTTTGGAACCCAGGGATTCTCCAGGGCACCCCTTAGTACTTCCATGCCCAATAGTAAGGGTTAACGAACAACTAGAGCAACCAGAAAAGGCAAGGCAATTGAGTACTCAGAGTTCTGGGGGACTAAGGTTTGGGTCAGTCCACCAGGTAAAGAACCCTAACTAGCTAAGTTTCTGGCTGAGGTTAGGGAAATATTGAATGGGTAGAGGTAGAAGGAAGTCATGTATATCAATTATGTCTTATGACCAATTAAGGAAAATACATTCTATTTGCTTGTTATGTGTGTTTGTCTATATAAATCATTTTCTCCTTCTTTCTCTTCTTGCCATTTTAATTTATATACAAGTTGCTAAAGTTAATGCTACAGTTTAGTCTTTAGGTAACAGAAGATTCCATGGGACTGTGACTGAATATAAGAAATAATTAGTAGAGCCAGGAATGGATGTAATGATTGTTGGGACTGAGTGTCTTCTCATTTGGGGGAGAGCATGAGGACATCTTCATTTCTAAGATGAATAGCTCTATCTTGTTAGGTAGAATTGTAGAGGTGATTTGTTGTATAAAGGTTCAAATGTGTGTAGAAGGGAGCATATGGAAGGTGAACAGCCGAAGAGGAGAACTCTACCAGTTATCAATTTATTGCCTCTCAGAACCAAATTCACCCTTCATTACCTGATGCTAAGCAAAAATGGATCTGGTCCATTTAATTATTTTCATTTGTCAGCTAGCACTATG
This sequence comes from Homo sapiens, assembly GCF_000001405.40. NCBI lineage: Eukaryota > Metazoa > Chordata > Mammalia > Primates > Hominidae > Homo > Homo sapiens. Next base: position 57,179,760 of record NC_000003.12, read on the forward strand.
TTAAACTCTGTCAGTAGAGGGTGATGGAGAGACATTGTAGGAGGAAGGAGGAAAACCTGGTTGCTGTGTTCCTTCCATCAGGCTTCTGCAGTGTGGGCTTCTTCTCCAGCATCCACTCCTGCAGCACTGGTGGCTTTTCTAGCACCTGCATTGCAGGCAGCTTCTCCAGTGTTCAGCTCCTACAAACACAGCTTCCCCAGTGCCATGTTCCTACAGCAGCTGGCTCCTGCAGTGCATGGCAGCCAGAAGTGCCCGTGGCCAGCAGCTTCCCCTGGCACTCCTTTTGAACAGTTTCATAGCAGAGTGCCTCCAGAGAAACACCTTCCCATGAAAGCTTTCCCTGGCACTATACTGGGTGGATTTGTGACAAGTTCTGACACGGAAGCCTCACAGCAACTTCTCTGCCATTCAGTGAGGTATGGCTGTGTCCCTTCCAGTGGCGTCTGATCTCTGACCTGGGGAGAGGGCCCTTCCTTGCATTGTCTCTCTCAGCCGTAGGCAGTGGCTGCTCCTCCTGTATGCTATTGCTACATTCTTTAGCATTCTCTCTACTTCTTACTAGTGAATCCATCACTTCTCCAATCTTTTATTATAGTTAATAATTCCTTATATTAAACTTTCCCTGTTCAAATTACTATGTAGTTTGTCTACTGACTGGACCCAGACTAGTCTGCACAAAGAATAGTTTCAGAATTGCTAACTCATTAACTCATTCCCCTGTGAGAGCCATAGACAGAAACAAATCTACTAACAAAACTATAATCTTTTTTTTTTTTTCTTTTTGAGACGGAATCTCGCTCTGTCACCAGGCTGGAGTGCAGTGGTGTGATCTTGGCTCACTGCAACCTCTGCCTCCCAGGTTCAAGTGATTCTCCTACCTCGGCCTCTTGAGTAGCTGGAACTACAGGTGCATGCCACCACGCCCAGCTAATTTTTGTATTTTTTAGTAGAGACTGGGTTTCACCATGTTGGCCAGGATGGTCTCGATCTCTTGATCTCGTGATCCACCCGCCTTGGCCTCCCAAAGTGCTGGGATTACAGGCATGAGCCACTGTGCCAGGCCTAATGAAACTATAATCTGTGTGTACATCTCTTTTCCATCTTTAGTCTTATAGTATCTAGTCAAAACATTGGTTTCCAGAGTTACCCAAGTTAGGTCTTTTCTTAACTATTTCCAGTATGGTTATACTATTCGTTTGGGATATACTGAGGTTCACTGGTGTTGGTGTTCCATTTTGGGTTCTCCTCTTGTCCTGGTTGATTTAAATTAGTTATTTATTTTGGGTGTATGTGAAGCATTACTGTGGTTCTAAGAGTCACAGCAACATAAAAGGATCTACTCAGTCTGTAATTCCAGCACTTTGGGTGGCCAAAGCAGGCAGATCACTTGAGGTCAGGAGTTCGAGACTAGCCTGGACAACATGGTAAAACCCCGACTCTACTAAAAATACAAAATTAGCAGGGCATGGTTGTGCATGCCAATAATCCCAGCTACTTGGTGGCTGAGGCGTGAGAATCACTCGAACCCGCGAAGCGGAGGTTGCAGTGAGCCAAGACTGTGCCATTGCACTCCAGCCTGGGTGACAGAGCTAGACTCTGTTTTATATATATATATATATATATATATATATATAAAATATACATATATAATATATAAACTATATGTTCAGTATTTATAGTACATATATGATATATATTATATATATATATATATATATATACTCAGAGAAGTGTTGTGCCCCTGTATTCTCAGCACCCATTCCCATTATTCCCTCCTTCTTTCCATCCCATCCCCATCCACTCACTCTCTATAAGTAATCAGACTTTTTGGCTTCTGGTTCATCTCTACTGGATTTCATTTGCACAAATAAGCAGATGCATGCACATTTTCTTGTATCCCTTTCTTTATATCATAGATACTCTTTCGCAGTTTATTAACCCCATGTTTTAACCAGATGATGTATGGGAGGTCTAAAGATGAGTCTTAAGCCTTCCTAGGGAGTAAAGACATAGGTTCATATTCCTCTTGTTCCCTACTTTGTTTGGAGCCCAGGCTGTGTCCATCCCAAAGTAGATAAGAAATATTTACTGGAGTTGACCACTGAAAGTAACATTGGAAGACCACAGAAATGGCCATTTCTATTAAAATAAAACATATGGATAATCTCTAATTTGTAATGCACAGTGATTCTACTTCTTGATGTTTAACCTCAGAAAAAAATTCATATCTGTGCACAGGTAGATATATACAAGCTGTTTTTGGTAACTATCTTAATCCATTAAGGCTGCTATAACAAAATACCATAGACTGGGTAGCTTAATAACAACACAATTTTATTGCTTACAATTCTGGAGGTTAGGAAGTCAAGGATTAAGGTGCCAGCAGATTTGGTGTCTAGTTGTTACAGGATCTTCGGGGTGTTGATTTTCTGGCCAGAAACCTCTGTGGCCGCGGCACCTGAGTTCTTGTCCTGCATCCAGGAAGAATGAGGTACACAGACAAGTGAAGGGTGAAGAAAATGAAGATGAACTTTATTGAGTGTTACAACAGCCCAGAGGAGACTTGCAGTGGTTAACTCCTCTCCGTAGGCAGGTCATCCTTCAGTGTTCAGTTCTCAGCAGAGAGGAGGCCCTGGGGATGGTAGCTCCTCTCTGCAACTGGTTGTCCCAATGTCTACAGCTCTCAGCAGAGAGGAGGCCCTGGAGAGGGTGGCTCCTCTCTGCCAGCAGGTCATCTCTGCAGCTTTCAGCAGAGCCAGTAGCTCCTCTCTGCTGCTGGTTGTCTTGTCATCTCCAGCTATCAGCAGAGAGGGTAACTCCTCTCTGCAGCTGGTCATTCCTTGTCTCTCTACCCTCTTTGTCCTCTGGCCATTGTCTGCACTGCTCTGGCTAAACTCCGGGCTTTTATGGACCTCAGAGGGGAAGAAACACATGCCAGTTGGTCCATGAGTGGCCATGGGCCGGCCAGAAGAGGTACCATGAGTCCCCACTCCAGTCCAAAGGACTGGCAGACTGGCCCCCAGCCTTCAGGCCCTCCCTGGCCTGAAGGTGGGGTCTTACTGGAAACCTGCCCCCTTCCACCCAGGAATCAATCTGCCTCCTGCTGCGATTCATGGCCCCTGGGGCTCGGCCCAAACCCTGCTCCAAGATTGGAGCAGGCACCAGGAGTGGAGAGAGGCCAGGCAGCAGAAGCAGACAACCCCAAGCCTGCAGGGACTTGCGGGGGAGCGGGGGGTTCTTCCTGGGGTGCAGGAAGGGTGCAGGCTGCAGAGACACCCGGGTCCTGCACCTGGGTTTGGGCAGCTGCAGTGGCACTCGGGGAGCTCCCACTCCAATTCAGAAGGGGTGGGCCTCCCACCGGCTCCATGGAGTGTGCAGCAGAGTGGTGCCTCCCCGTTGCAGCCAGCATGATGGCAGCAGCCACTGCCATCATAGTGAGGACCCATTTCCTGGTTCATAGATGGTTCCTTCTTGCTGTGTCCTCACATGGCAGAAGGGGAAAGGGAGCACTCTCAAGCCTCTTGTATAAGGGCACTGATCTGATTTATGAGGGCGCCACTCTCATGATCTAATCACTTCTCCAAGGCTTTACCTCCTAATACCATCATTTGGGGGACTGGGATTTCAATATTTGAATTTTCGGAGACAAATATTCAGCCCATAGCAATAGCACTATTTTTAATGGCGGGACAAACAACAACAACAACAGAAACAACCTTAGTGTCTGTCAAGAGAGAAATGGCTGAAAACACACTGTGGAACACCCACCCTGTCACACTACACAGTGCAATAGGTTTGTTTGTTTTAACAAGGTACTGCTACGAGGAGCTTAGAAAAAGCCCTGAGGCATATTGTTGAGTGGAGGAAAAATGCTAATTATAGAATAAGTATGCTAAAATACCATTTATGAAAAATCAACAAATAAATAGAACTACAAAGCAATGCCACATGTTTTATGTGGGTACATACCCCTGTGTAAAAATCCATAAGAAAAAGATTTTGGAAGCAAAGATATCAAACTGAAAAAGGTAGTTTTATTGGAGGGAGGAGACTGGGGGTTTGGGAGGAAGGGTCTCAAAAAGAGCTTCTATCTGTAATGTGTTCACTTTTTCAATCCTAATGTAATTATTATTTGTATAATTAAAAACAAACAAGTACAACAAATAAGCAAAACAGACTACATTAATTAGACCTCAAAACCCTTGAAAAAGTGACTACAATCTATTGCAGAAGCACGCAGACTCACTCAGTATCAGTATCTTCCTCCTACAGAAAATCCTGGAAAATGACAGAGTCTCCCTTTACCCCCATATAATGTGAGCGTAAAAATTTCTAAAAATTGCCTGCTTAACTAAGGCTTGTTGTCTGCTAATAAAACCAAGCAGTGCAAGCAAAGAAATAATCTAGAATCTAAAATTGCTGTGAACACCATACACCCACCACCTGCATACTATATTTAACGCTGGACTATTCTTGCTTTCTCACATGCAATCACTGACATGTAAAACTCCACTTCTCTCAATATGCATTGTCTGCTTTGATTCTGTTCTTTGCTAAGCTATAAGATATTCCATGTGAGGAAAACAACTGATGGCTGAGGACGGAGTTCAGGTACTCCAAGTCATTTGCTTTCTATTTCAACCATTTGATGATGAGGTCAGAGAGGAGAAAACATTCTCACACTGAGGTTATTAAATATATTTCTAAAGATAAAAAGTATATAACATACAACATACTTTTCAAGTATGTAGTTAAATTATATTTCCCTTGGGGAAAATGAAAAAGTAAAACTACAGCGTTAGCCTTATTACATTAAAAAAAAAAAAAAAGATTAAGATGATAATGAGCCAGAAAGCTGACTAAGCCACTAATCAAAGACAGAGACACAAATACAATTAGTGTTTCGAGCAAGTTGCTCTGAGGATTCTTGGCTAATCCTGAGACATCTAGAGGCCTCACATGGGGAGCCCCATCCCGCCTTGACATGGGAAGGCACTTCCTGCCACCCGCTCTCTGTTTTTGTGTAGCTCGGGTTAAGACCATGCAAAATAAACAACAGAATTTTGCCCAGGCATCACATTCCCTTCTAGGAGGAAATTACCGTACTCATTTTTTAGCTTCTCTATTTGGAGTATATTTTCCAGTATTTTAATTTTTAAATCCCCTAGCCCCTCTCCTGCCTTTTAGGAAAATTACTTGTGTTTTCTGACCTTACAGACTCAAAGCTATTCCTTTTGAAGGTTTCTTTTTGATTCAGGAAATTTGCACAAACAGCAAAGAAAAAATTCTGCTTGTGCAAAACACATCTGTCCTCATGTAGAGAATATCTGGAAGAATGGCAGTATCTCAGGGTAGTAGGATTGCTGGTGATTAATTTATTTTAATTTTCTGTATTGTTTAATTTTGAATATTGAGAATATTTTATTTTTACAATAAAAAGAACATTTTCGTTTTGGAACAACAACAAAAAATGTGGGGAGGGAATGAGGGATGAAATAACTGGAACAGAAGAAAATGACAACAGGGACAATAAGATGTGCCAGGACTGAGGTGAGCACTCAGACTCCTCACAGACGCAATAGTTGTCCTGCTCCAAATCCATTCCCCTGCCAGGCCACCTTCCCTTCTGGCCCGCACCTCTAGTGACGTCTCCTGTCTGGTCTTCCTGCCTGCTGTTGCTCCTCAATAATCCATCTCTACAGAACAGCCAGAGTGTTTACTTGAAATGAAAATCTGATCCATTATTCCCTCCATATACGACCTTCAGTGGCTTCCAGTTGCACATGGATAAAAACCCAATCTCCGGCCGGGCACGGTGGCTCATGCCTGTAATCCTAGTACTTTGGGAGGCCGAGGCGGGTGGATCACCTGAGGTCAGGAGTTCGAGACCAGCCTGACCAACATGGAGAAACTCCATCTCTACTAAAAATACAAAATTAGCTGGGCGTGGTGGCACATGCCTGTAATCCCAGCTATTCGGGAGGCTGAGGCGAGAGAATCACTTGAACCCGGGAGGTAGAGGTTGTGGTGAGCTGAGATCTCACCACTGCACTCCAACCTGGGCAACGAGAGGGAAACTCTGTCTCAAAACAAAACAAAACAAAACAAAACAAAACAAAACAAAACAAAACACCCAATCTCCTTATCCCACTTAAGGCCCGGCCCCTCCTGCCCTTGCTCCTTCTTCTCCTGCCCATTTTCCTTTTACTCACTTTGTTGATCATTCCTGGAACACTCTTTCCTGCCTCAGGGCCTTTGTACTTGTTGTTTCCTATGCTTTTCCCTCAGCTCCTCACATGTTCCGCCCTGCTCCTCCAGAGTCTCCAGGAATCTGCATTTTCAATATGTATTTCACGTGATGCTCATGCACACTTATATTTCAGAGTTTCTGGATTTGGATGAGTGTTTAAGGGGAAGGGCGTTCAAGAACCAACTTCTGACAGATGCCTAGAGTATAACTATTCTCTCTCAGCCTTTTGCGAGACAAGGTGGGTCCCCTGGACCACGATGCTCCTCAAGAAGGACCTGGGTATGGTATGTCGGCTCATAGAAGGATGGCATTTTAGGGCTTGAAGTGCCCCCACCAAAGGCCAGAATGTCCGACATTCTAGCTAGGAAGATTTTTATTTTATTTTAAATATATAGAGAGACAGGGTCTCATCACTCTGTCAACCACGCTGGAGTGCAGGGGCACAGTCACGGCTCACTGCAGCCTCGACCTTCCAGCCTCGAGCAATCCTCCCACCTCAGCCTCCCAAGTAGCTGGGACTACAGGTGCATGCCACCATGCCTGGCTAATTTTTGTATTTTCTGTAGAGATAGGGCTTTGTCATGTTGCCCAGTCTGGTCTTGAACTCCTGAGCTCAAGCAATCTGCCTGCCTCAGCCTCCCAAAGTGTTGGGATTACAGGCATGAGTCACCATGCCCGGCCCAGGAAGATTTTTAGTGGTGACAATTATGTATTCATCTATTACTAAGCTATACATAAGGTAACCATAACAAATTTGACCTTCCTTTAAAATGGGGTTTGGGGACTGAGATATATTCAGATATTGACTGCCTAAGAACTAGTCACCCTGAAAGGTTCACAGAGGACAAATTATTGGGTCAAATTAAAATGACCTATTGGAAGGTATTGGAAGCATTAAGCAAACACTGAGCTGACACTACAGGCAAGTTCCTATGCTAGGAGTGTGAGGGGAAGCAAGACGGTGGGCCCAGATCTGCCTAGCCTGCCCACAAGGGCTTACAGCCCCTCAACGGAGCTTGTCATGGGGCAAAGTAGATTGAGTAGTTTTATTTTTTATTGTTTTTGAGGAGTTTTTCTATTCCCACCTAGTAGGCAGGTGGTAAGGGTAAGCAGAAGTGAGAACTTCACAAAGAGGCCATGACAAGGACAAGCAGTAAAGAGCCATGACTTTGTTGTCAACGTCTCCTCTCTGTGAGTTCTTTTAGGAACTCTTTCCTCCCTGCCTGTAGTTCTAGGGGGCTGCCAATCAAGGTGGCCCTGTACCAGCCAACCCTCCCATTAGGAGTGATTCTCCAACCCCAGGAGTTGGGTCCATCAGAGTCCTCCCTGGGACGTCTTCGACAGACTCAGAGTCAGGCTCCCGCTCTTCCTGGCTTCCCAAATTGGCCAGAGATGAGCCTTGTGTTGTCCAATTGCATCACCCGCACCCAGTAGAGAAAGCTGAGAATTGCTGGAACCCGGGAGGCGGAGGTTGCAGTGAGCCAAGATTGCACCACTGCACTCCAGCCTGGGAGACAGAGCGAGACTCTGTCTCAAAAAAAAAAAAAAAAAAAGGAAGCCTACTAACTAGAGTTCAATATTTGCTTATAGTTCTTTATCTTTAGTCTGAGGGTATATAGTTGAAACACAGTATGCAAAAGTCACTTGGGTTGGTTTTCCCGCACTCTGCCCACTTCAGTGTGTTTGCATCATTTTGCATTATTCATTTTATTATTCATTTTAATTAATGTCAAGTTCATTGCTTCTGCTAATATTCAAATTTAAGGGATTTCTTTTCTTTCATACTTGTTGGTTTTAATTTTGAGTATGTGAAACATTAATACACCATTAAAAGTATATGCAGAGGCTGGGGGTGGTGGCTCATGCCTGTAATCCCAGCACTTCGGGAGGTGGGAGGTGGGCAGATCGTTTGAGCTCAGGAGTTTGAGAACATTCTGTGCAACATGGTGAAACCCTGTTACTACAAAAAAATTCAAAAATTAGTCGGATGTGGAGGTTCATACCTGTAGTCCCAGCCACTTGGGAGGCTGAGGTAGGAGGATTGCTTGAGCCCTGGAGGTCAAGGCTGCAATGAGTCACAATTGCACCACTGCACTCCAGCCTGGGTGATAGGGTGAGACCCTATCTCAATAATAATAATAATAATAATAATAATAATAATATACGCAGGCAAGTGTAACTCCCCCACCCATCCCTTCCACCTTGTTCCTATGCTCCCATCTCTACCACATATCTCTACTCCCTAAAGTAACCAATCTCGTTTCCTAGTTTATCCTTCCTGCATATCTCTTTTCAAAAATAACCAGATACCTCTAGGTTTTATTTCTCCTTCTTTTCACAATATAGACACTCTCTAGCACTTTTCTTTGCTTGTATGCTGGACATCACTCAACAGTTCGTAGAGGCATCTGAGCTTCTGTACAGCTATGCAGTATACCATCATGTGGCTGTACTAGGGTTTACTCAACCACTCTTCTGTGTATGGGCATTTAGGTTGTTTCTAATATTTTGTAATTCCAAATGTGCTTCAGTGAATAATCTTACGCATAAGGAGTTTTGTGTTGTTGGAAATATTTCTTTCTTTCTTTTTTTTTTTTTTTGAGAAAGAGTCTCACTCTGTCGCACAGGTTGGAGTGCAGTGGTGCAATCTCAGCTCACTGCAACCTCTGCCTCCCAGGTTTAAGTGATTCTCCTGTCTCAGCCTTCTGAGTAGCTTGGATTAGAGGCACCTTCCACCACGCTGGCTGATTTTTGTATTTTTAGTAGAGATGGGGTTTCATCATGTTGGACAGGATGGTCTCGATCTCCTGACCTCGTGATCTGCCCACCTTGGCCTCCCAAAGTGTTGGGATTACAGGCGAGAGCCACCGCATCGGGCCAGAAATGTTTCTTTAGAGTAAACCCTCAGAAGTTGCATTGCCAGATGAAAAGTTAAACATGTATGTAGTTTTGTTAGATGTTATTAGATTTCCCTTCATATGAGTTCTAGCAATTTGCATACTCACCAGCAACATATGAAAGTGTCTGTTTTCCCACAGACTTGCCAGCTGAATGCTTTGTCAAACTTTAAAATTTTTGCTAATGTGACAGGTAAGAAATGGTATCTCAGCGCAGTTTTTAAAAGATGTATATAGGCCAGGTGTGGTGGCTCACACCTGTAATCCCAGCACTTTGGGAGGCTGAGGCGGGCGGATCACCTCAGGCAGGCTGAGGTCAGGAGTTCAAGACCAGCCTGGCCAACATGGTGTAACCCTGTCTCTACTAAAAATATAAAAATTAGCCGGGTGTGGTGATGGGCACCTGTAATCCCAGCTACTTGGGAGGCTGAGGCAGGAGAATCACTTGAACCTGGGAGGCAGAGGTTGCAGTGAACCGAGATCGCACCATTACACTCCAGTCTGGGCAACCTTGAGAGACTCCATCTCAAAAAAAAAATTATAAATATATGTGTATATATATATATGTATATGTGTATATATGTGTATATATATGTGTATATATATACATATATATACACACACACACAAAAACTATCTTTTGGTGCACAGTTCCAGGAATTTTAACATGTATAGATTCAAGTGACCACAGTCAGGACACAGAACAACTACTCCATCCTCCCCCAAAATTCCCTCATGCTGCCGCTTTTGTAGTCAAACACCTCCCCTCTCATGAATCCTGTGTACCACTGATCTGTTCTTCACCCTTATAGCTAGGACTTGTTCAGTGTCATCTACATGTGCGAGTTGTGGACTGCTATAGAATACAACCTTTTGAGACCCGCTTCTTTCACTCAGCATATCTTTGACATTCATCCATGTGTCGTGTGGACCAGTAGTTTTTTTAAAATTTATTTCTGAGTAGCACCTCATTATTTGGATGTATGACGGTTTATAAATGCACTCACCCATTGTTTCCAGTTTTTGCTGATTATGAATGAAACTGCTTATAAACATCTGTGTAGAGTTTTGAAGGTAAATACCTAGAAGTGGGATTACTGAGTCATATGGTAAACATATGTTTAACTTTATAATAAACTGCCAAACTGTCTTCCATAATGGTTGTGCCATTTTGCATTCCTACCAGCAATAGATGAGAGTTCTGGTTGTTCCACATTCTTGTCTAAACTTGCTACTATCAGCTTTTCCCCCCTTCTCCCTAGCCATTCTCATAGGTATGTGGTGGTATTTCATTGTGATTTAATTTGCATTTCCCTAATAGTTAATGATGTTGAACATCTTTTCATATGCTTATTTGTTATCTGTATATCTTTTTTTTTTTTTTTTTTTTGAGATGGAGTCTTACTCTGTTGCCCAGGCTGGAGTGCAATGGCACAATCTCAGCTCACTACAACCTCCACCTCCTGGGTTCAAGTGATTCTCCCTGCCTCAGTCTCCCAAGTAGCTGGGATTACAGGTCCCCATCACCACACCCAGCTAATTTTTTTGTATTTTTAGTGGAGACGGGGTTTCGCCATGTTGGCCGGGCTGGTCTCGAATTCCTGATCTCAGGCGATCTGCCTGCCTTGGCCGCCCAAAGTGCTGGGATATCTGTATATCTTTTTAAATAAGGTGTCTGTTTGAACCTTTTGTTCATATTTATTCCGTTTATCTTCTGAACCAAATGTGTGTGTGTGTGGGGGGGTGCGGTTTGAGACAAGGTCTTGCTTTGTCACCAAGGCTGAAGTGCAGTGGTGCAACCATAACTCACTGCTGCCTCTACCTCCTGGGCTCAAGTGATCCTCCTGCCTCACCCTCCTTTATAGCTGGGACCACAGGTGTGTGCCACCACACCTAGCTACTTTTAAAATTTTGGGCAATAAAGGGTTTCACTTTATTGCCCAAGCTTGTCTTGAAGTCCTGGTACAAGAGATCTGCTCTTCTCAACCTCTCAAAGTGTTGGGATTACAGGCATGAGCCACTGTACCCAGCCTATGATTGTGTTCTACACTGTATATATTCTGGATACAAGTCCTTTGTCAGATATACCATTAGCAAATATTTTCTAGTTTATAGTTTGTTTTTTCATTCTATTAACAGTATCTTCCAAAAAGCAAAAATGTTTCATATTTTGTTGAATTCTATGTTTTTCTTTTACTGCGTTACAGTAAATCTTAAAACCAGGTAGTATGATTGCACCAAATTTTCTGTGATTTTTCAAAACTGTTTTGTCTATTCTAGTTCTTTTGCCTTTCCATATGCTATTATTTTTTAAAAAACAAAAAATCCTGCTGGGATTTTGATGAGAATTGTGTTGAATTTATACATCACTGTGGGGACGATTGACATCTCAACCATGTTGAGTCTTACAATCACTAAATTCAGTATATCTGTCTGTTTATTTAGGTCTTATTTGATTTCTTTCATTAGCTTTTTGTAGTTTTCAGTATACAGATCCTGTACATGCTCTGGAGGGAACTATTTTTTTAAATTTAAGTTTCTAATTGTTAGTTGCTTGTATATAGAAATATGATTGACTTTTGTATGTTGATCTTGCATCCTGCAACCTGGCTAAACTCACTAAATCTCGGCACTTTTTGTAGATACCTTGGAATTTTCTACATAGATAATCATGTTGCTGTGAATAGGGATAGCTTTCTTTCTTTCTTTCCAATCTTTATGCATTTTTTTTGCCTTATTGTACTGGCTAGAATTACAAAGGCAACATTGGATAGGAGTGATAAGGTGGATATTGCATTGTTCCCAGTCTTAGGGGGAAAGAATTTAGTATTTCACCATTAAACATCATGTTAGCTTTATGGTTTTTTTTGTAGATATTTTGTAGATGTTAAGAAAGTTCCCTTCTATTCCTAGTTTGATGAGAATTTTTATCATAAATGGCTACTGCATTTCAATGGATATTGAATGCTTTTCAATGTCAGTTGGTATAATAATGTGATTTATCATCTTTAGTCTATTAATATGGTAGATAACATTAATTGATTTTCAAATATTAAACCAGGCTTGTCATCCCCTAAGTAAATCCCACTTGGTGATACTGTGTTATTCTTTTTTGTATTGCTGGATTTTATTTACTAATATTTTGTTGAGGATTTTTGCATCTTCGTTAATGAGGGATAGTGAACTTGGGCTTTTTTCTTCCCTTCTTTTACTGTCTTTAATTTAGTATCGGGGTAATATAAGTCTCATAAAATGAGTAGAGAAGTGATCTTCTTCTTGTATCTTCTGAAAGAGATTGTGTAGAATTGATGTTACTTCCTCTTTCAATGTTAGATAGAATTTGCCAGTGAAACCATCTGGGCCTGGAGTTTACCTTTTCAGAGGTATAAAATTATTATTTCACATTTCTTTAATAAGTATAGAACTGTTATAGTTATTTGTTTCTTCTTGGGTGGATTTTAGTAGTTTGTAGATTTGATCTATTTCTTCTGAGCTATCAAATGTGCGCATAGAGTTGTTCATAGTATTATCTTATTCTTCTTTTAATGTTGATGTGGTCTGTAGTTATAGCCCCTCTTTCATTCCTAATGTCAGTGACTTGTATCTTCTCCTTTTTTTCTTTGTTAGTCTGGCTAAAGGTTTATTAATTTTATTAAGATTTGTAAAGCATCAGTTTTTGGTTTCATTGACTTTTCTCCATGGTTTTTCTGATCTTTGTCTTCTGATTATTCTGAATTTATTATGCTCTCTTTTTTGTTGTTCTTAAGGTAAAAGGTTAGATTGCTGATTTGAGATCTTTACTAAATTTTTTTTTTTTTTTTTTTTTTTGAGAAAGGGTTTCACTCTGTCACCCAGGCTGGAGTGCAGTGACATGATCATGGCTCACTGCAGCCTCAACCTTTTGAGTTCAAGCAATCCTCCCACCTCAGCTTCCTGAGTAGCTGGGACCGCAGGTGCACATCACCATGCCTAGCTTATTTATTTATTTTTTTGAGACAGAGTCTCGCTCTGTTGCCCAGGCTGGAGTACAGGGGGGTGGTCTTGGGTCACTGCAACCTCTGCCTCATGGGTTCAAGCGATTCTCCTGCCTCAGCCTCCCAAGTAGCTGGGATTACAGGCACCTGCCACCATGCCCAGCTAGTTTTTCTATTTTTAGTAGACACGGGGTTTCACCATGTTGGCCAGGCTGGTCTCAAACTCCTGACCTCAAGTGATCTGCCCATCTTAGCCTCCCAAAGTACTGGGATTACAGGTGTGAACCACCATGGCTGGCTAATTTTTTAATTTTTTGTAGACCTCGGTCTCACTATGTTGCCCAGGCTGATCTTGAACTTCTGGCCTCAAGCGATCATCCTGCCTTGGCCTCCCAAAGTGCTGAGATTACAGGTGTGAGCCACCATGCCTGGCCTCCACAAATTTCTGATGGCAATTTCAGGGAAAAAGGACTTAAATCTAGTGATTGTTGTTACATCTTAATAAGGTTTAAAATACAAAAAAAAAAAAATCTTAATGAGGCTTAATATTTATACAGGTAAGGATGTACATATTATCTAGACAAAATGCCATTTATATATAGAGAAAATATTATTTCCAAAAAATTATTGGGACTTAAGTAATTATTGATTACTTTAGGTATCAAACACTCAGACTTTTAATCCCATCCCCCTACTCCCACCCAACCCTGCCAAAAAAAAAAAGTGGAAGGAAGGAAGAAAGGGAGGAAGAAAAGAAAAATGTAGTACATGTTTCTAGCTATTAGCATCACAGCCAGTAACTCCATCTACTGGAAGGCTTAAGAGGAAGAGGCAACTCTGGAGTCAGGCAGAACTTGGTCTGAATTCTGGCTGAGCTGCTTCAGCTGTGTGGCCATGATCAAGTCATTTAATCTGTGTCCTTCAATCAGCTCATCTGTAAAATGGGGTAATAATAATCATAATAAAGGCCCGGCGTGGTGGCTCATGCCTGTAATCCCAGCACTTTGGTAGGCTGCGGTAGGCAGATCTCTTGAGGTCAGGAGTTTGAGACCAGCTTGGCCAACATGGAGAAACCCTGTCTCTACTAAAACTACAAAAATTAGCTGGGTATGGTAGCGCACGCCTGTAGTTCCAGGTACTTGGGAGGCTGAGGCAGGAGAATCGCTTGAACCCAGCGGGTGGAGGTTGCAGTGAGCCGAGATCATGCCGCTGCACTCCAGCCAGGGCAACAGAGTAAGACTCCATCTCAAAAAAAAGAATCATCATCATAATAAAAATATCTGATGCTAGGTTTTCTTATTTGTAAAGTGGATTGCCTATATTCACTTTGCAGAGTGACTGTGAAAATTAAATGGGAATATTCATGTGAAGAACCATATTGCATAGCTCATGGTGGACACTTAGTCCATTTGGGCTTCTATAACAAAAATGCCACAGACTGGGCAGCTTATATACAACAGAAATTTATTTCTCACAATTCTGGAGGCTGTGAAATCCAAGATTAAAGCATAGGCAGAAGAAGTGAGTCTAATGGGGTGTAGAGTGTTGAGAGCCACCAGGAGCTGCCTTGTGCTGTGGACTGATGTTCCAACAGGAGTCAGAACAGTCAAAATGACCATGAAAGGTATCCAAAGACTAACTTTGGAGGGGGTTTTATTCCTATGGGGCTCAGTGAAATGGAGATAGCAAGTCACCCTTTGTCAGAATGTGAGTTGAGTTCCATATTGAGAAAATTGAGCAGTTCCCAGCTCTCTGCTGGGAGGAACAAGGCCCAGGTTGATGCTCTGTGCTGGGTTTGGTAATGGGAGATTTATGCCATTCGTGTGATGTGTGATAAGATGCAGGAGGTGAAAGCGGCTATGAACACTGATTAACTCAAAAGTTGACCACCAGCACACACAGCCATTGTTTCCAGCAGCACTCTTTAGTGATGGGCTTTGTCTGGCTGGCTTCACAAAAGACAAATGCCATTACAGGAGACCAAATAACCTTATTTAGGCAGTTGTCAGATAATAGAGACGCTCCAGGTATTAGCCTGACTGCATTAGCTTGATTTGTTACTACTGTTCACCTTGTCTTGAGCATTAATGGAGACAAAAGGCCTAGAATTACCAGGAACAGAGATAAGCTGTGGATTAGAGCCTACGTGTTTTGAGGGAAAGATAATTCTATCTCGGGTTTTCCTTTCCATTTTCATTTTGCTTGATTTTTCCCGAGTCCAATTTTCCCCCTGAATATCATTATATTCTCTCCAAATTTCTAGCAATTGTAATTCCAAAAATGTTACTGATTCATTATTTCTTTTAACAAGATCAGCCTTTATCTTTAGATTTTTAAAAAAGATTTTAGGGGAAATACACTAGCAATCTTTTCTATTACCCTGCTTCTTGAGTATTCTTATATATTATGAACTTGCTTCACAAAAGTTATAATAGAACTTATATTGTTATTAGTATCAAAAAATATAAAAAAATAGGCATATTACATTTATAGTTATTTATTTAATATTATAAATTCTTGTTTTAATTTTTCTGACTTATAAATGTTTCAGTTATAAATATATCATTTCTATTATAAATGATTTCAGTTATACATATGTAGCTTCAGTTATAAATATATAAGTTCAGTTGTAAACACAATTTATTTCAATTATAAATAAAATTGAATTTTAGGGCCACATAAATCAGTTATATAAAATTGTCATTGGAAAATACTGAGACAATGATGGTCTAGGGTTATGATGTTTCTCTCCTCACCAGACTTTTTAGAGGTATGCCAGTTTTTATAATTAAAAAAAAACTTAAGTGCATTCTTAGTTGTCAATCGATATCTGTGATGGTGTTTCATTTTTTTCTAGATTCTATCATTTTGCACAGAATCTTTACATTCCTCAGAGATTTGGGAATTAGGTTTAATTGTAGAAATTCTAGATAAACTATGATTACTCTGAAAAATCTCAATTTATGAAAAGCACTACTTCAAAAATACTTTAATATTAATATTAATAATGTGGAATATTTTCTTATTGTGTATAAGACTTGAAATCTTATCCTAAACCAAGCAGACGTTCAGGAGACAGAGCTATAATTCTGACATGGCAGGATGTCAGAGAGACGCAAAACTGAATATCAAGTGTGATCACATTTTAAAAAATAACAGCAAAAACAACAAATATGTGTGTGTGTACATATATAAAGATGTTTTTGTGATACACAAAAAGATCTTAAAGATGTTTAATGATGGTTATCTCTGAAGGATGAGATTCAAGGGGGATTTTACTCTATTTCTATACTGCTTATATTGTTTGCAGAATACAGAATGACAATAAATTTGGAATTAAAATAAAAGCTTACCCATCATGTGACACATTCCCCTCCAACCCACTCCTCCAGAGCCTACTCCTGGTAACTTCCAGTCTTTCAATTTAACATAATTTCATAATAACCTAATGGAGAACAAAGAAAACTCTTTGTGGATAAATTTGAACTAATACATTTCATAAATAGTGCTTCCAATTTTTATATGAATGGAAGCAGCTCTTTATATTGGAAAAAGTGGCTCAGTCTTTTTTGGAAAACATGTAATGCCTATGTTCTTCCTAACTACCCTGTTGCCCTTCTTTTCCTCCTCCCTCTCCATCTCAGCAACAGTGGAATAGAATAAGCACGCTTATTGTTGACCAATTGTTGGGACACATAGCTCTCAACCTCAAATGTGCTCTCAGTAAATAATTTTAAAAAGCTCTAAAATCTGAGTCATGCTGCGTTTCCTTAGAAATAATATGCAAACTCCCTCTAGTCTTTTATATATAAAAAATAGTGATTATAGATTCAATAATTCAATGAGAACCTTCCACCTTGATCATCACTGGGACATCAGAAAGGACAGAGGACAGAAAGAAAAGAGAAGCAAGGGAGAATTCAATTCAAATGGACAAAGCTGAAATTTGGCTTCCAGTGGACAAAGTCAGAGTCTTAAGCTGACATTTCAAAAAAAAAAAAAAAAAAAAAAAACCACCCACTGAAGTCTTCCATTAACTGGAAAACAAATGCCCAGATTTCCAGCCGAGAGGGCTCCCTTCTTGTTATATATCTTATCCTATTCTCATCTTTTTTTTTTTTTTTTTTTTTTTTGAGACGGAGTCTCGCTCTGTCGCCCAGGCTGGAGTGCAGTGGCGCGATCTCGGCTCACGGCAAGCTCCGCCTCCCGGGTTCACGTCATTCTCCTTCCTCAGCCTCCGGAGTAGCTGCGACTACAGGCGCCCGCCACCGCGCCCAGCTAATTTTTTGTATTTTTTTAGTAGAGACGGGGTTTCACCGTGTTCTCGATCTCCTGACCTCGTGATACGCCCGCCTCGGCCTCCCAAAGTGTTGGGATTACAGGCGTGAGCCACCGCGCCCAGCCCCCCATCTTTAATTGGCAGGTAAAATGGGAAAATGGGAAATGAAAACACATAGTTT
The DNA here is from genome assembly GCF_000001405.40 of Homo sapiens. Classification (NCBI taxonomy): domain Eukaryota; kingdom Metazoa; phylum Chordata; class Mammalia; order Primates; family Hominidae; genus Homo; species Homo sapiens. The sequence continues at coordinate 57,197,341 of NC_000003.12, forward strand.
TTGTTACTTAGAAAGCACCTTGATTATTTCCAGTGACTATGTCAGAGCACTTACAAAAGGTGGGTCAGTTATCCTACCTTCTCAGTCAACTTAATATTGCAGTTGATTAGAAATCATTTAAACTGGAAATAGATATAAGCTACATGATCACTATCACTAATGAATGAAAGTAAAGTACAAAATTAAACTAGAAAACTATTTAAAATTTTGCATTTATTTGCTGCTTACTTCTTTTGTGCAATTCAATACCAATGGTATAAATATGATAGCTGATGCTTGTATATTTCTACTTTGGCATAATGACTTTGCTTGGAAAAAAAACTTGAAACTAACATACTGTAAGAATTTGTTCTGATAAATGGTGAGAAATTCTCACTGCTTTATGCTATAAATCAAGAGAAGTTGAAGATTCATGAATAAATCATAATTTATAATATAGTGAAGCATAATTATGTTTCAAAATGTGCATGGAAGAAACTAATGAAAACAACTCACACTTTTGTTCTTCAGATTATTTTACTTGAAATACTTTATAATTAGAATCCAGCTTGTGGAATCACTTAGTCATGAGTCTATTGATTTTAACAAACTAATTTATTAGATTAATTTGGCTTACTTAAAAAATAGCAATCTTTTCTGAAAATGTTTATTAAAATATATATAAAAGGTCTTTACTATAACTAAAAGTGCCCAAATATGTACCATGCTATAATAGTATTTACAATATATTTTCAGAAAAAATGACAATATTCAGATTAAATGCAGGAAAGAAAACATCACATTTTAACACTTAATATTTCCACTGATTCTTCATGCTCTGCAATTAGAAGATAATTTCACTTGTTTAGTTTTCTATCTATTCCAGCAGATTTGTGTTGAAATTTTTTTTCGCCATTAGAAACTGTGATTCTCTATGGGACCTTTTCAGTTTTGCACGCCGATTTTGAAACCAAATCTAAAGTTAAGGAAAAATAAAATAGGTCTCAGAAACATTATTTTATTATTCTTAACATTTCAACATCATGAATAACAACTAAATTTGAAAATTACCTGGATTCTGTCTTCCTCTAGATTCAATTTTTGAGCTAAGTCTTCTCTAATATCGATACCAGGATAGCAGTTTACTCTAAAGACATTTTCTAACACTTCAATCTAAGAAAAAAAAATGTTGATATTCAGTATGTCTCCAAAAATGAGCTTTAATTTCTAGAGTAAAATGACTACATTTAAATCTTGGCAATTAATCTGGATGCCTTTTTAAAAATGATTACCTGGAAATTGTTAAAATATGGTAGTCTACTGTTTCATTAATAAGGCTTCTAAACTGAGATACCAAAGTGAGTGGGCTTTTGCTCAACTTGGTGTCAATTAAAGCCTTTATATTATCATTATTGGGTGAAAAAACTTCCCACCTGGTTTTGAGTAAAAGCAGTTCTTGGTCTTCGGCCTCTATACCAACTCAACTCTCTTTTCAAAGACAGTCTTTCTGAGGCTGAAAAGTAATTTTCATATTTCGAAGCTCTTTCTTCTGGCATTGGGTGATCCACCACGCTAGGGAATGAAATCCCACTGGGAGGATTTGGGACATGTAGACATAAGTTACCATCTTTCCCTAAAAACAAAAAAATAAGCCCTGTCTTAGATGGTCAATCTTATGTTCCACAAAGTTCTATAGAGGTAGTTTCAGGAACTCATCTTTCATTTCCTAGTGGAATTCTGGGGTTCACAAGAGAATTGCACCCCGTTAACCAAAAACCAATAAAAAATGAAGATCCTGTCTTGGTAATCCTGCCTCTTTGGTCTCTGAATGTCGTTTATTTTTCAGTGAAAAGAGATTTCAAATATCTGATGTGTCAAACAGGGAGAGATCTTCTGAAGTAAATGCAGGTTCTTGGGATTTCCTGTGAGTGAATTTATCCACTTTGCTCAATCCAAAGCTGATATTCTTTTAATTTCCCATAGGACTCAGTTGGAGGCATTAAAAGTCCTAGACTCTGGCTGGGCGTGGTGGGTCATGCCTGTAATCCTAACACTTTGGGAGGCTGAGGCAGGCGGATCACCTGAGGTCAGGAGTTCGAGACTAGCCTGACCAACAGGGTGAAACCCCCCTCTACTAAAAAATACAAAAATTAGCAGGCCATGGTGGTGCATGCCTGTAATCCCAGCTACTTGGCAGGCTGAGGCAGGAGAATCGTTTGAACCCAGGAGGCGGAGGCTGCAGTGAGCCAAGATTATGCCATTGCACTCCAGTCTTGGCAACAAGACCAACACTCTGTCTCAGAAAAAAAAAAAAAATAATAAATAATAATAATAAATTAAATTAAAGTCCTAAACTCTAGCTCTATGTAGTATGAAATAAAGGGCAAATTAAACACTGTAAATGAAATAACAAAGAATTGAAACAATTAAGCTGTGGCATACCTGATGAGCTGCAGGTGTCTGCCCAGGGCCTGTGGGGTTTCATTAATGGAACACAGTCTTTCTTCTGGTCCAGTCCTAAGATTCTCTCAATTGAAAAGGAGCAAGTTGAGGGTTTGTTTTCCCCGAGCTGAGCGCCTTCCTGAAGGCTGGGAGACATCCTCTCGTGGTCTGCACAGAGCAACAGCTCTGGCCTCTGCTGGCTCTGCCCCACGTGTATAGGGCTGGGATCTTCCTGCAGTTCACCTTATAGCTCCGCTGACAAGGGGGCTGGATTTAGAACGTCACTAATTAAAATCCTGTCTTAGAAAGTTTTAGCATGTCAATGAACACTTGCCCAGCCAGCAGCTTAAGGAGTTAATTGTTTATTTGTTTGCAAGTAATTAGCAACTAATGGCTACACCAGGGGGGCCACCTACAGGGACAAAAAGTGTTATCTCTCCTAAGCAGAACACAGACTTAACTTTCTCTAAAGAAGTGATGCACAAATGTGGCACTTATCTTTTATTTGAAATCATTAATGTATAAAATCAAGCTTTTTATTCTGAAGTTTATACTTTCATGGGCTCCAGTTACCTAAACATACAGGCAAGATACGAGAGCAGTCGAGTAATAAATAATCTAATTTAAGTAAATTTTCTTCCAAGGAAATGGGAAAAAATAATAATCTCTTAATGCTATTACAGTAATTCTGATGAAAATGCCTGTTTTTCATATGCATATGTAATAGGGAATGTTGTCAATGAAAACACAATAGTATTTGGAGTGCAGCATAGTGGAAAAGGTTGGCAATGTTATTAACATGGAGTGTAATTGTCTTCCAAGTGCCTGGATTAATTCATAGGAACAGTTGCACCAAGTATTTTAAATAATTAATGGGCTAATTCCTTTCCTTCCTCTTTTCTTTTAAATGAGAGAGATACATGTTTATATGAAGGTTCATATGTAATCACCTTCAAGCAACTTAGAAGCATGACTACTTAAAGTGAATAATTTCTCTATCACAGTTATTTCAAAGAAAAGAACATAGTTTGCTTTCTAAAGAAAAATTTCCGTCTGTTGATCTTTTGAGGGATGGGCAGAGGATGGAGTCTTTCAAGATGGTAAGGCTTATGAAAATAACCAAGAACAGAATGTTTTAATTTCATAATCCTAAGAAAACTTGAAATTAAAATTAAAGTATAACTGCTGATTGGGAAGATTTTGAACTGGCTGTTCCCCCCGCAAAGGTATACTTGTAGTTTTTATACTCTGCTCCTCCTCTTCTTCCAGTACCTTCCTGAAGATAAATTTAAGTGCTTAGCTTTATTCATTATTTAAACAACTGCTGTTCTTTCCTTCAGGGAAGGGAAAAACAGTCTCCACTCATAGAGGAAATAGCCTCTATAGGATGGAGCTCATCTTCATCAGCTTTTATCCTATTATGATCTCACAAATATTGAGCTAAATTCCTCCTGATGAAAGCTCTCGGGTAAATAAAGGATCTCACATGCAAAACATCAACAGGCATATGGATTTATAAATGTACGTGTAAAACCATTCTGCGGATGAATAAACCGGTGAACATTTATACCTCATGGAGATTTTGTATATAGTGCTGAGATGTAGATTGTGCAAAGGTGGGGGGTATCTTAATCTGGGACGACTAGGAGGAAGCGAGAGAATACAGGACCTTTTCAGCTTTCTTTCTCTCCTTTGAGACATTCATTATTTCCTTCCACAATTGGTTGAGCACCTTCTCAGAACCAGAAAAAAACAAAATACTATCCTTGCCTTCATAGAGCTCACAGTGGTGCAGGGTGGGGGGCAGGAAACAAATAATAATTATAGGTAAATTATCTAGTATGTTAGCCAGGGTAAGAATGAGAAAAGGAAACAGGTGAGCCAGGTAAGATGAATTAGTGCAGGAAGTGGAGGGGTAGATGTCAGTGTAGGCCTCACTGAGCCCCTGAGCCCCGCAGATGAGTGCCTAAGAGGCACAAGGCAGAAGGATGCCACAGCGCATGCCAGAGCAACTCCAGTTTTCAACTTCTTCTTTATTAACAAAGATGTTCCAATATTTTTATTCAGCTTAAATTGATTTTCCTTGGATTTACATATCTATATCTATCTATCTATATCTATCTATCTATCTATCTATCTATCTATCTATCTATCTATCTATCTATCTATTTTTTTGAGACAGAGTCTTGCTCTGTCGCCCAGGCTGGAGTGCAGTGGTGTGATCTCGGCTCACGGCAAGCTCCGCCTCCCGGGTTCACGCCATTCTCCTGCCTCAGCCTCCTGAGTAGCTGGGACTACAGGCGCCCGCCACCACGCCTGGCTAATTTTTTTGTATTTTTAGTAGAGACGAAGTTTCACCGTGTTAGCCAGGATGGTCTCGATATCCTGACCTCGTGATCCGCCCGCTTCGGCCTCCCAAAGTGCTGGGATTACAGGCTTCAGCCACCACGCCCGGCTGGATTTACACATATCATTTTATATATGGATGAGTAGTTGAAAATAAAAGGCAGGAAAAATTATCTAAAAATGTGAGGGAAGCATTTTCTCATATACTCACTCAACAGATTTTTGTTTGTTTGTTTGCTGGTTTGTTTGAGACGGAATCTCACTGTTACCCAGGCTGGAGTGCGGTGGCGTGATCTCGGCTCACTGCAACCTCCACCTCCTGGGTTCAAGCAGTTCTCCTGCCTTAGCCTCCTGAGTAGCTGGGATTACACGTGTGCACCACCAAGCCTGGCTAATTTTTGTATTTTTAGTAGAGATGGGGGTTTCACCATGTTGGCCAGGCTGGTCTCAAACTCTTGACCTCAAGTGATCCACCTGCCTCGGCCTCCTAAAGTGGTGGGATTACAGGTGTGAGCCACCACCATGCTTGGCCTCAACAGACTTTTACAGGGCACTTAATATGTGCCAGACATTATTATAGGTGCTAGAGATCAGTGACGAACAAAACATGCTAATTTCATGGCATGATAAATACATTGAAAGGAGTGAACAAGGTGATGGAGATGCAATATAATGGCAGAGGGTGACTTAAAATACAGAGGTCGATGGTCGATGGTGGAGGAGGGCCTAAGGAAGTGACATTTTCACTGAAGCTGAGCTAGCATGCCAAGAGCCTGAGAAAAAGCACTGCACTCAGAGACAATGGCAAGTACAAAGGTCTTGCAGTTGAAAATCACTTGGAATGTTTGAGGAGGAAGAAGGCAGTAGTTGGAGTGAAGTCAGTGGTACCAGGTGCATTTGGAGAGCCAGGCTAGGCTGGATAATGGATGGCCTTTATAAAGGACATGGTAAGGAGTTCCAGTGCAAAGAGAAGCCAGGGTAGGGTTTTAAGCTGGGACCAAAATGATAGAATTTGTTTTTAAACCTTACTCTGGCTGCTCTGTGGAAAGGGATTAGAGAGAAGTGAGTGCAACCAGGGAGATCAGTTGGGGAGTTATTTATTCAACACATAATTTGCTAAGCATATACTACTTGCTAGGCATTGTTCTAGGTGTGAGGGATACAGTGGTGAAAACAAAGACAATTGTTTAGCGGCAAAAGATGATGATCCTTTGAAAAAAGCGTGAGGAGAGAGGGTAGATTTGGAGAGAAGTGCAATTCTTTAGAAGGTTATGGGAGATAGAATAATTGAATACTTGGTCCCAATTCTCCAATCCCCATAATATCTTATACAACCATCCCCTTGCTGTGGTTTCATGGTGAATACAGTATACCTCCTACCTCCTGATTTTGGGCTTGTTTGTGGGAAGTGATGTGAGCAGAAGCTCAGTGTGCCCATTTAGGGGTTTTGTTTTTGTTTTTTTTTGAGACAGAGTCTCACTCTGTCACCCAAGCTGGAGTGCAGTGGCGCAACCTCTGCTCACTGCAACCTCTACCACCCAGGTTCAAGTGATTCTCCTGCTTCAGCCTCCCGAGTAGCTGGGACTACAGGTACATGTCATCACACCTGGCTAATTTTTGTATTTTTAGTAGAGATGGGTTTTCACCATGTTGGTCAGGCTGGTCTTGAACTCCTGACCTCAAGTGGTCTGCCTGCCTCAGCCTCCCAAAGTGCTGGGATTCAGGCGTGTAATTTGTATTTTCAGTAGAGACGGGGTTTCACCATGTTGGTCAGGCTGGTCTCAAACTCCTGACCTCAAGTGATCTGCCTGACTCGTCCTCCCAAAGTGCTGGAATTACAGGTGCCCAGCCCCCTCTTGTGCTTTTGACTTCACTGTGAGATCATCCCTGAGATAGCTGCTGCCCTACAGCCTGAGCCCCAGAATGAACACACATGGATCAGATCCTAATCCATCTTGCAGCCTGCAGCCAAGTCAGCCAAGTCCAGCCAATCTCAGCCAAATACCAACTGACCTGCAGTTTTGTGAGAAACATATTCATTGTTTAAGCCACTGAAGTTTTTTCTTTTCTTTTTATTTTATTTTATGTTTTTTTAGAGATAGGATCTCACTATGTTGTCCAGGCTGATCTTGAACTCTGGAGCTCAAGCAATCTTTCTGCTTCAGCCTCCAGAGTAGCTGTTGACAACAGGTGCCAGCCATTACACTGGCTCCATTGAAGTTTTTGAGGTTATTATATACATAGCATTTTAGAGGAAATACCTATTTGATTCAGAGGTTAAAGAACATATCTTGCTGATGGATTGGATAGGGAGGTGAGGGAAAGGAAGGCATTAAAGATGACTAGGTTTTTTGGCTTGAGCAAATACAATGCCATTTACTGGGATGTGAAAGCCTGGGCTAGGGAAGGAAAGGTTTGGGGAGTAATGAACACCTCCAGTTTGGATAGCAAGTTGCTATAAGCTCAGTGCTAGAGTGCTAAGTTTATGCATCACCAGCAAAGAGATGGTTTTAGAAGCTATAGGTTTGCATAAGATCATCCAGTGGCTGGGCACAGTGGCTCATGCCTGTAATCCCAGAACTTTGGGAGGCTGAGGTAGGAGGATCCCTTGAGCCCAGGAGGTAGAGGCTATAGTGAGCTGTATTCATGCCACTGCACTTCAGCCTGGATATATGAGTGAAACCTTGTCTCAAAAAAAAAAAAAAAAATTACTCAGTGAATGGTGCTAGATACAAGAAGGGTCTCAGGACTGAGTCTAAGGTTCTCCAACATTTGGAGATAGGGACAGAAGTGGTACTGGAAAAGGAGCAGCTAGCAAGACAGGAGAAAAATCTGGAGATACAAGAATACAGTCAAGAGAGGGAAAAGGGTCAAGGAAAAGAATGGTTACAATAGCATCTCTAGTGGTCCCTGCTTCCACCCTGGACCCACCATGGCTTTCTATGAACACAGCAGCCAGAGGGATCATTTAAAAACATAAGTCAGTTCATGTCACAACTGTGCTCAAAAAATGGCTCCTGGCTGGGCATGGTGGCTCATGCCTATAATCCCAGCATTTTGGGAGGCTGAGGGCAGAGGATCACTTGGTGCCAGGAGTTCAAAATCAGCCTGGCTAACACAGTGAGACCCCAACTCTACAAAACAATTAAAAAATTAGCCAGGCATGGTTGCCTGCACCCATAGTCCCAGCTATTTGGGAGGCTGAGGTGGGAGGATCGCTTGAGCCCATGAGGTCAAGGCTGCTGTGAACTATACAACTGCACTTCAGCCTAGGACACAGAGCAAGACCCTGTCTCAAACAAACAAACACAAACACAACTCCCCATCTCAAGAAAAGTCAAAGTCTTTACAATGGCCTGCAGGACCCTACATGACCTGCCAGCCTTCCTTATTTACTTGATCTCACCTCCTACTCCTCCCTCCCATGTTCACTGTGTTCCAGCCACACTGGACTCTTCCTGAAAATATCTGGCACAGTCTTCCCTCAAGGCATTTACACTGGCTGTTGTCACCATCTGTAATGTTCCTCCCCTGTGAATCCCCACAGCTTACCCATTTATCTCTTTCAAGTATTTGCTCAAATATCATCTTCTCAATGAGGCCTACCTTTCTCCCCTTTTAACCTGCAACCTCTCTTCCAGCACTCCTGACATCCCTTGCCCTGTTCCCATTTCTATTCCACAGCACTTAACCACCTTTGGCCATATTACAAAATATAGGTTTATTATGTTTATTGTCTGTTTCCTCTCTATAGGATTTTTTTGTGTCCTGTTCACTCCCTAGCATTCAAAACAGTGCTTGGGCTAGGCGCAGTGGCTCACACTTGTAATCCCAGCACTTTGGGAGGCCGAGGTGGGCGGGTCACTTGAGGTCAGGAGTTTGAGACCAGCCTGGCCAACATGGTGAAACAGTGTTTCTATTAAAAATAGGAAAATTAGCTGGGTGTGGTGGCACGTGCCTGTAATCCCAGCTACTGGGGCAGCTGAGGCAGGAGAATCACTTGAATCCAGGAGGCAGAGGTGGCAGTGAGCCGAGATCACGCCATTGCACTCCAGCCTGGGTGACAGAGCGAAACAACTTCTCAAAAAAACAAAAACAAAACAAAACAAAACAAAACAGTGCTTAGCTCATACTAGGTGAAAGAATAAATGATGGTCAACTGTGTTAATGCCGCTGAGAAGTTGAGTAACATGAAGACAGAAATATATCCACTAGGTTTGTTAACAAAGAGGTATTATTGGCAGCTTTGGCAAGCCTAAAAAGTAGAGAAAAAGCCAGACTTGAAAGTAAACTGAAGAGTGAATGGGACATTTTTGGTCTGGCAATATGCTGGGTCATATTCCTTGTAACACCCTTCTATTACAAAACAGCTTGATTATAGATAAAACATACCTTTAAATGCATTGCTGAGATCTCAACAAGTAAGAGAAAATGTGTTTGTTCATCAGACAAAACAAAAACCAAAACCAGTAACCAAGCACTGAAATCAGAACTGCGAGCAGTGATCAGTAACCAAATGGTAAACATGGGGTCGCCTCCAAGGGCAAATAACTTTAGCATCAAAAACCAAGATATTAATCCTCAGACTAGCAGTAGGTGGGGCTGAAGACTCCTCTTGGTTCCTAGAAAAGGCAAACTAAACCCTCTCTGGAGGAAAGCATCCCTAATTTAGGTTCACAAGATTTCCACAGATTAACAGCAAGCAAACATAAGCTCATAATCAAAGATCATCAAGCATCTGAGGCCAGCCACCTCATGAGGGAAAGCCAGCAGAAACGAGATTTATAGCTTGTTCCAGAGACTGCTAGTTGTCCACCAATATCCATTCTATCCTTCCTCAGTAGCAGTATAATTTTTTTTTTTTGAGTTTCAGTCTGTCGCCCAGGCTGGAGTGCAGTGGCACGATCTTGGCTCACTGCAACCTGCACCTCCTGGGTTCAAGCAATTCTCTTGCCTCAACCTCCTGAGTAACTGGGATTACAGGTGCGTGCCACCATGCCGGGCTAATTTTTTGTATTTTTAGTAGAGATGTGGTTTCACCATGTTGGCCAGGCTGGTCTTGAACTCCTGACCTCAAGTGATCCAACGCACCTCGGCCTCCCAAAGTGCTAGGATTACAGGCATGAGCCACTATACTGGGCCACAATATAGTTTTTAGGTAAAGGTTAACAATGACATTTCCCAGACTGCCTTGCATATAGGTGTGATCATGTGACTTCTTACCTCTGAGATGTGAGTAGAAACAACATGTCTAACTTTCAGGCCCAGCTATTAAAAGGTGGGGGTGACCCCTCTGTGTTCCCATTTTCTCTTTTCTACTGTCTGGATTGTGGACAAGATGGTGGGAGCTGACAAAATGTTGAGAATAGCAGTGTAATGAGAAGAGGACTTGGAGCCCTGTGGATTGTGGATTGGACTTTCCATATCAGTACTGGACTACCTACTTGGACAAAGAATAAATGTCTGTCTTGTTGTTTGGGGTCTGTAAGTTATAGCAGTCAAGTCTATACCATAACTGATACAGATCTAGAAGAAATTCAGATATGGGAGTTAACAACAACAGATTATAAAATTTCTAACAAGTGAAAGTTTAAAGAACTAAAAGTTAGAATCATCAATAGGGACAAGCAAGAAGAAATTATCAGAAATGACTGGGAAGATTTTAAAAAGAACTAAATGGAATTCATAAAATAAAAAATGCATATAATTATTGAAATATACTCTGGATAAGTTAAAGAGCATTTTGGGTCGTCATGAGAGCGCCCTTTCCCACACCCTGGCCAATACTCACTGTTATAAACATTTTAAATTATTGCCAATCTGACGCATAAAATAATCTGTTTCACATTTCTTCAAGTAAGGTTGGGCATTAATTTCTTTACAGGTTTACTAGTCAATGTGTATTTCTTCTTTTGTGAAATAATAGTGTATTCCCTCAGCCCATTTTTCTATTAAAGTGATTGTTTTGTTTGTTTCTTCACTTTCTTCAGAAGGTGGGGGTGATGGCAGGGACTAAATGGGAAGAAAAATGAGGAAACTTTTTGGGGTGATGGGAATGTTCTATATTTTGATAGATTTGGATTACACAGCTGTATGCATTTGTCAGTACTCATTGATTGGTACTCTAAAATTTGTTCACTATATGCAAAATTTTATCTATAAAAGCATAAACAAGTACTTAACTTGTCAATGTTATGTATGCTAAAGAGTTTAAGAGGGAAGTATATTGACGTCTACAACTTGATTGATTGATTGATTGATTGAGATGGAGTCTCGCTCTGTTTCCCAGGCTGTAGTGGTGCGATCTCAACTCACTGCAGCCTCTGCCTCCCGGGTTCAAGCGATTCTCCTGCCTCAGCCTCCCTAGCAGCAGGGATTACAGGCGTGTGCTACCATACCCGGATAATTTTTGTATTTTTTTTAGTAGAGATGAGGTTTCACCGTATAGGCCAGGCTGGTCTCGAACTCCTGACCTCAAGTGATCCACCCACCTTGGCCTCCCAAAGTGCTGAGATTACAGGCGTGAGCCACGGTGCCCGGACTTGTTTTATGCATTTTAAAGTAAGTTGTAGGCCAGGCACGGTGGCTCACGCCTGTAATCTCAGCACTTTGGGAGGCCGAGGCGGGCGGATCACTTGAGGTCAGGAGTTCGAGACCAGCCTGGCCAACACGGTGAAGCCCAGTCTCTACTAAAAATACAAAAATTAGCCGGGCATGGTGGCACATGCCTGTAATCCCAGCTACTTGGGAGGCTAAGGCATGAGAATAGCTTGAACTGGGGAGGCGAAGTTGCAGTGAGCTGATATCATGCCACTGCACTCCAGCCTGGGTGACAGAGTGAGACTGTATCTAAAAAAAAAAGAAAAAAAATGCATAAAACATAAAATGGATGGATGGATAAATATGTGATGCTTTCATTATCACTCTTATTCAACATTATTGTGTAATTCTGGATGATTAGAACTTCTAAACCAATTGAGTTTTCTGGGATGATGAAAATGTTCTTCATCTGAGCTATCCAATATGGTAGCCACTAGCTACATGTGGCTAATGAGCACTTGAAATGTTGCTAGTGCAACTGAGGAACTGAATTTTAAATGTAATTAAGTTTAATTTAATTTAAACTTGGACAGACACACATGGCTAGCGGCTCCAAACAGAATAACACAGACAGAGAACATTTCCATAACTGCAAGAAGTTTTACTGGATAGTGCTGGTCTAGAAGTATAGAACAATACTGAAAATAGTGATGATAGGCCGGGCGCAGTGGCTCATGCCTGTAATCCCAGCACTGTGGGATGTGGAGGCGGGGTGGATCATCTGAAGTTCGAGACCAGCCTGGCCAATATGGTGAAACCCCGTCACTACTAAAAATACAAAAAATTAGCTGGGTGTGGTGGGGCTTGTAGTACCATCTACTTGGGAGGCTGAGGCAGCAGAATTGCTTGAACTCCGGAGGTGGAGGTTGCAGTGAGCTGAGATCACACCATTGCACTCCAACCTGGGAAACAGAGCGAGACTCCATCTCAGTGAGACTTCATCTCAAGAGTAAAGCTCCATCTCAAAAAAAAAAAAAAAAAAAGAAAAGAAAATAGTGATGATAAAAACAAAAAACAAACACCTTTGTTTTGTTCTGACATAAGAACAGTATTTCACCATTAAAATAGTATCTTCTGCTGGTTTCTAATAAATGCTGTTTATTTAGCACAATGTTATAATGAATACAAACACAAAATATCTACAGAGCTTTATTGCTTCTCCAGCATTTTAGCATATTTGTGTTTAATCTTCTCACGAATCTTTTATCATTTGGTAGCTGAGAAAACAGAAATTGAGAGTACAGTTGTAATACCAGAAGTCACTAACTAGGAAGTGGCAGAGCCTTGACTTGTATTTTCTGTCTCCAAATCCTGTTTTATTGACTTCACCTATTAATGGCCATTGTAACATCTTCACCAATGATCTCATGGTATAAATACCAAAGTGTACTAATCAATTAAGAAAAAAACTGTGAAAACTTTGCATATGATATCAATATCTTTCAACAATTACTTTGATATGAGAAAGAAAAGTCTGACATATTGACATTAGAGAGAAGAGATTTTAGGAATAAAATTGGACAGTCTATATTTCAAATATCTATACATACAAGATGAAGTAAAAACTGAGAGGTTTATGTTTTTTCTTGTTTTAGGAACATGTAAATCTATTCATGTTTTGATAAATATTTATCTTTAAATTGTGTATTTCAATTAATATCCAAATCATTAACATCAGGAAAAACGTACTAGGTCTGAGGTGTTTTGGCAGAGATTTCTGTAAACCAGCCATACAATTATTATGCTGTGAGCGTAATAAGAAATGGAATAAGCAAAGCTCCAGTGAACCTTGCCCCTTCCTTACTTTTGCATAGGAATTGCACTGATTTCACACTTTCAGTATTTTTAATGTTAAAATGTGTTTTCTTAAATATAAGTTTATTTTTTACTGCAATGCCTTCAGTGTTTCCTAGAACAATGCCCAAGTAGACATTCAATAAAATTTGTTGAATAAGTGAATTAAATGGATGGATGGACAGATGGGACTAGCAAGATGTGACATTTGAAACCTGACATGCAACTTAAATACTGTACTAGTATTGTTTATTGTTTAAGTTTACTTGAACAGGGTTTAACTATTGTTTTTTAATGTGTAAAGTAATCCCAGTTTTCTCTGAACTACATGTGTATCACTCCAGGGCAATCTACAGAAGAGAAGACACTATGGCATTCTGTAACTAAAATTTAATAAAAATTGAGATAGGGCATTCATTTAAAAATCTGAGTTTAGGCTGGGCGCAGTGGCTCATGCCTATAATCTCAGCACTTTGGGAGGCCGAGGCGGGCGGATTGCCTGAGGTCGGGAGTTTGAGACCAGCCTGACCAATATGGAGAAACCCCAACTCTACTAAAAATACAAAATTAGCCGGGCATGGTGGCACATGCCTGTAATCCCAGCTACTAGGGAGGCTGAGGCAGGCGAATCGCTTGAACCCGGGAGGTGGAGGTTGTGGTGAGCCAAGATCGTGCCATTGCACTCCAGCCTGGGCAACAGAGTGAAACTCCATCTCAAAAAAAAAAAAAAAAAATCTGAGTCTAGGCCAGGTGCCATAGCTCATGCCTATAATCCAAGCACTTTGGGAAGCCAAGGTGGGAGAATTGCTTAAACCCAGGAGTTCAAGACTTACCTGGGCAACACAGTGGGACCTCGTCTCTTCAAAAATTGAAAAACCTTCAGCCGGGCGTGGTAGCATGCGCCTGTGATCCCAGCTACTCAGGAGGCTCAGGTGGGAGGATCACTTGAGCGTAGGAGGTTGAGGCTGCAATGAACTGTGATCATGCCACTACACTCCATTCTGGGTGACAGAGAGAGACCTTGTCAAAAAAAAAAAAAAAAAAAAAAAAGCCAGGCATGGTGGCTCACGCCTGTAATCCCAGCACTTTGGGAGGCCAAGGCAGGTGGATCACAAGATGTCAGGAGTTCAAGACCAGCCTGGCCAACATGGTGAAACCCCGTCCCTACTAAAAATACAAAAATTAGCCGGACGTAGTGGCAAGCACCTATAATCCTAGCTACTGGGGAGGATGAGGTAGGAGAACTGCTTGAACCCAGGAGGTAGACGTTGCAGTGAGGTGAGATCGCGCCACTGCACTCCAGCTTGGACGACAGAGTGAGACGCCATCTCAAAAAAAAAAAAATCCAAGTTTAAAATCTAAAAATCTCGAGTCATGTTGAACAATTCATATTTGTGGCACTCTGTGGTTTCTATGGCCCTTGTCTGCCATTGTTACTAGAGACACACAGGAGCTTTCCCAGTGATTACAAGGTTCAGGAGAGCAAGATCTGTTTCATACAGTCTTCGATCTCCCCTGCACCCAGCACAGTGCCTGTCACATAGGAAATGTTAAGTAAGTTTATTGAGTACATTTGGTTTATAACAATTAAAAAGTATTTCAGCCTTTGCTCTTCTCAAATCTCAAAAGAGTAAAGTATTATATTTTTCATTTTCAAACCAGTTAAAATTGTTTACAGTATAATGTCTTGTATATATCAAGCCCTTGATTTAAAAAATTTGATATGAAGTCAACCAAAAGACAAATGCATTTTTATTTTTAAAAGATTCATTCTATAGGCTGGGCGTGGTGGCTCACACCTATAATCCCAGCACTTTGGGAGGCTGAGGTGGGTGGATCACGAGGTCAAGAGATCGAGACCATCCTGGCCAACGTGGTGAAACCCCGTCTCTACTAAAAATACAAAAATTAGCTGGGTGTGGTGGCACGTGCCTGTAGTCCCAACTACTTGGGAGGCTGAGGCAGGAGAATCCCTTGAACCAGGTAGGTAGAGGTTGTAGTGGGCCAAGATCACACCACTGCACTCCAGCCTGGGGACAGAGCAAGACTCTGTCTCAAAAAAAAAAAAAAAAAGATTCATTCTATGCTGATCCAAGTAGCAAAGAGAAAAAACGTAAATTTTAAAAAAGATTCATTCTATACAACAGTACATGGAGAAAAATATGATAGTCTCCTTTACTTTTACCCCATCTTACCTCCCCAGCTTACTGGCTATCACCACTAACAATGTAGCGTTTCTCCTGCCTGTCTTTCAAAATACTTTGACTTAAATAGGAGGATGCACATATGCACATATTTTTTTTTATTATACTGTAAGTTCTAGAGTACATGTACACAACGTGCAAGTTTGTTACATAGGTATACATGTGCCATGTTGGTTTGCTGCACCCATCAACTCATCATTTACATTAGGTATTTCTCCTAATGCTATCCCTCCTCCAGCCCCTCACCTCCGACAGGCCTCGGTGTGTGATGTTCCCCACCCTGGCACACATGCACATGGGGTCAAACGTGTACTGTTCTGTAATGTGGTCCACTCTCCCATAGTGTGACACACACACACACACACACCACAAACATGTATAGCTCTGCCTCTCCCTTCAACACCTGCTTGGCACTACAAGTGGATGAACCATAATTTTATCAATCTATACCCCAGATAATGAGGCATATAGGTTGTCTCCAATTTTTTACTATACCATTTTGGCAATGAACATCCTCTACATACATGTTAGCACACATGCAGGGGTGCACGGAAATGCATGGAAATCCATGGAAAACTTTCTTTGAAAAGCATATTATTTTTTAGTGGATGCTGCCATATTTCCTTCTAAGAAATCTTTACCAGTGAACACTCTCATCCAGTCAAACCCTTGTTCTTATGTCCTGCCTGGATTGACAGTGGGAACAAGAAAACTCAGGGCTGAGCTAAATTAGACTCAGGTTTTTCTCAGACTCAACATTCAAAGATAAAATGGTTTTGGATTTAAGGCCCCAAAGGGCTCAGGCCTAAACTTTAGTGCTATTTAATCTAATCGCTGTAGATTAAATGGGAGTTGTCAGTTAACCCAAGAACCTGATAGTTATTTATAACATTGTTCCTGGGGGATAAATGTTATGGTTTTAAACAACTTTAATTTTCTGGCCAGGCGCGGTGGCTCACGCCTGTAATCCCAGCACTTTGGGAGGTCGAGGCAGGCGGATCGCGAGGTCAGGAGTTCAAGACCATCCTGGCCAACATGGTGAAACACTATCTCTACTAAAAATACAAAACTTAGCTGCGGTGGCAGGCATCTGTAATCCCAGGTACTAGGGAGGCTGAGTCAGGAGAATTGCTTGAACCTAGGAGGCGGAGGTTGCAGTGAGCCGAGATCGTGCCACTGTACTCCAGCTTGGGCAACAGAGTAAGACTCCGTCTCAAATAAACAAATAAATAAACTTTTCAATGATAACAAACATTTGTTAAACTCCAACATATTATCAGGGAGTGCACTAGGACTCAGAGCATAGAGATGAAATCATTTCTGCCTTCAAGAAACTCATGATTAAGAGGATAGTAATTAATGTTGATTTTATTAGGTATGATAATGTGATTATGGTTACCTAATATGCCCCTTTAAAAGACACTGAAGTATTTACAGGTGAAATTTCATGATGTCTGGGTTTTGCTTTCAAATATTTTAGGAAAACAGAAAACCAAGAAAGAGATAATTGAGGCAGGTATTGCAAAATGTTGATGAGTTGAATTAGAGACTGGTATATGTGGATTCATTATTCTCTCTACTTTTGTAAATATAAATAGTAACATTCTCTTTAGTCTTCTAGGAACACCAGTATGTACATACACAATTACAATATAATAAAATAAAGATACAGGCACAAGTGACTATGGGAACAGAAAATGTCCCAAATCTACTTGAGTGAGATTGAATAGGACCGAGGAAGGGTTAAGAACCGAACTCTGATGTCAGATTATCTGGGTCTAAATTCCAGCTCTTCTTAGCTATGTGACTTTGAGCATATAACTTAGCCTTTTTGAGCCTGTTTCTTCTGCAATAAAATGGGAATTATTATAGTGCCTAATTAAGGATCCAATATATTAATATCTGCAAAGCTCTTGGAATAGAGCCTGACACATAGTAGACATTACATAAACTGCTTACCATTACTTACTTATTGCTGTTATCAATGTTATTATAAGGGCTTTTCAGAGATGTGCTGAGGCAGAGATGTTTCAAGAAAAGGTCAGAGAAAAGCAACATAACATAAGGCCCATCAGAGACAGGGGTGTGTGTGTGCTTGTCTGTTGAGGGGAGGAGGAGAAAGTTAATGTGATTCCAATATTTCTAGCTTAGATGACCAGATGAATGATGGTATCATTAACTAAGAAGGGAATATAGATGAAGGAGGGTTTATCAGTCAAAATACAATACAAATTGTATTTCTAATTATATACACAAATGGGCAAGTATTTAGCAAACTGAATTACTTCAGAATTAAGACAAAGTTCCCAGAATGAGATGGTAGAACTCCAGTGAAAATGGACAGAATGTGATAAATGATAAAGATCTAAAAATATTTTAGGGAATAACTTTATCTAGAATAGTAAATATTATTGTCATATATCTCACACATATAACCTAAATAAGTGAGTTCATTTTAGTACTAGAAGACTGCAAATAACAGTTCAGAAATCTAGCAACTCAGATATTAGAAATAGTTTAAAATATATATATATTTCTAAAAGGTTGTAATCAAATAAGGCAGCTATCATGGTTACCAATGGATTCTTCTAGGGAGGTACGAGAATTCTCAGTGGTGTCTAGGTTCTCATAAAAGTAGGGATAGAAAAGAGCAAAGATGAACTTTGGAATATTTTACTTTGAGTGCCCAGAGGTCTTACCACTGTCCAGGACCCAAAGTTTCTTCTTTTCTATAGCCAAGACACCTATTTAATAATCTCTCTTTAAAAACAGAAAAATGCTGGCCAGGCACGGTGGCTCACACCTGTAATCCCAGCACTTCTGGAGGCTGAAGCAGGTGGATCACCTGAGGTCAGCAGTTCGACCAGCCTGGCCAACATGGTGAAACCTTGTCTCTATTAAAAATACAAAAATTAGCCAGGTGTGGTGGCGGGCGCCTATAATCCCAACTACTCAGGAGGCTGAGGCAGGAGAATCGCTTGAACCCGGGAGGCAGAGGTTGCAGTGAGCCAAGGTCGTGCCATTGCACTCCAGCCTGGGTGACACAGTGAGACTCCATCTCAAAAAACAAACAAACAAACAAACAAAAAAACCACAGAAAAATGTTAACACAAAAATAAACAATTTAGCAATGTATCATGTTCAACGGTCTATTCACGATTATAGCTATGTACCTGGTTTTAATCTGTAATGTTTTTGACTTAATTTTGAAACAATCTCAAACTTACTTAAAAGTTGCAAGTACAGTACAAAAACCTTTCTCTCCAACCATTTGAGTAGTTGCTGACATGATGCCCCATCAACCCTGAATAGTGTTTTTCCTGCAAACAAGGATTTCCTCCTATATAATCACAATCAAACCATCAAAATCAATAAAGTAACATTGGTTATATCACTACCATGTAATCATCAAACCCCATCAAGTTTCATTCATTGCCCCAAATAACTTCCTTCACAGTAAAATAATCCAGTTCAGAATCACACATTGTCTTCAATTGTGTCTCTTAAGTCTCATTCAATCAGCAACAGATCCTCAGTATTTTCTTGACCTTCATGACCTCGACACTTTTCAAAGATTACAGTCAGCTACTTTGTAGAATGTCCTTCATTTAAGGTTATCTGGGCTGGGCACATTGGCTCACACCTGTAATGCCAGCACTTTGGGAGGCTGGAGGCTGAGGCAGGCAGATCACTTGAGCCCAGCAGTTAGAGATCAGCCTGGTAAGGGAGACCTCATCTCTACAAAAGCCACAAAAAATTAGCCAGGCCTGGTGGTGTGCATCTGTAGTCCCAGATACCTAGGAGGCTGAGGTGGGAGGATCACCTGAGCCCAGGAGGTCGAGGCTGCAGTGAGCTATATTGTGCCACTGCACTCCAGGCTAGGTGAGAGTGAGACTCTGTCTCAAAAAATAAAAAATAAAGTTATATCTGATGTTTCCTCGTGACTAGGTTCAGGTTGAGCATCTTTGGTAGGAATGTCACAGAAGTAATGCTGTGTTCTCATTATTTCCAATCAGGTAGCACATGATTTTGATATGTCCCATTACTGGTGATATTTAATTTTGATTAAGATGGTGTCTGCCAGGTTTCTCCACTGTAAAGTTACTCTTTTCCCCTTTATAATATAGTATTTTGTGTGGAGGAGGTACTTTAACCCTATGTAAATATTGTTTCTCATCAAATTTTTGAATTATTTATATCATTTATTTATATCAGTATGGACTCACAGTTTCCTACTTTAATAGGTTATAATCTCATTATTTATTATGATGTTCAAATTTCCCCAGATTTGGCCAATGGGAGTCCCCTTCAAGTCTGACATCATTTTTGAACACTTTCCACTTTCTGGCACAACAAGATGTCCCAGGTACATCTTGTTCTTTTCTTGTTCCAGGGACTTAGGATAAGCCATTCCTCCAAGGAGCCCTCCAAGCTTCTTTTTAGTGGAGAATGGTGTTTAGAGGGCAAAATCTGGGCTGTATGTGTGTTCGTTGCCATTGGGGGCATCTCTGCTTCCAGGCCCTCTCAGTGGAAGAGCTAGGAAACACATGCATGTGATACATATACACGTTTACATCTACATTTATTTCCATATATTTACTGAAATCTGTGAGTTCACATGGATACTTTAATTCCAATCCAGCACCAGAGGGTTCATTCCAATTTTCTCCCTTTCCATATTTGTAATCCCTTTGATAGTGAGAAACCTGGCTTCCATTATCTTCAATATATTTACTTACTTGATCTGTCCCATGTATATAACCAAACTTTCATTGCCATCACCTCTTACTCACAGAGATGGCTTCCTTACCTCACTTGAGGACCAATCCCCTGTGCTAGTGCTAGGTTCTTCAAAGCCCAAAAAGCCCTTCTCTTCCTACTTGGGCTCTGACACCCCAGACCTAGCCATGCTCCACGTGAATGCTGTTTTCACCTTGCTCTGAGGTATAAGGCTCTGAGACTCTGCCTCAGGCTTCCCTCCTTTATGGGTACTTCCCTCACCCCTTGGGTTCTGAAATCCTGCACCAAACTCCCACCCCACACAAAAGCCCTCCTCATCACGCTTGGGCTCCAAACTGCACTCTCATGCAGGTGCCCTCTTCACCCCACTTTTGTTCCAACATCCGGCCACCAAACACCCTCTTTACCAATTTTGTGCTCTGACAACCCCCTCCACAGATGCCTCCTCATCTTCACAGGCTCTGAAACCTCACACCAGGCCACTCCTCTGTGGGGATGTCCTCCTCACACAGCTTGGACTCCAACACCCTGTTCTGGGCCCCCATGGCTTCTCCACTTTGTATCTACTCCTACTTTACCTGGCTGCACCTAATGGCTTTAAGGCTGCATTAGTATTCAGACAGGGAAGAGGAAAAACTATAAACCCATTTGTATTTATTTTTTAATTTTCATTTTTGGTTCAGGGGTACACATGTAGGTTTGTTACATAGTTAAACCTGTGTCATGGGGGTTTCTTGTACAGATCATTTCATCTCCCAGGTACTAAGCCTAGCACCCAATAGTTATTTTTTTCTGATCCTCTTCCTCTTTCTTACCTCCACCCTCAAGCAGGCCCCAGTGTCTGTTGTTGCCTCTTTGTGTCTATGTATTCTCATCATTTAGCTCCCATTTCTAAGTGAGAACATGTGGTATTTGGTTTTCTGTTCCTGCATTAGTTTGCTAATGATGATGGCCTACAGCTCTATCCATGTTTGGAAAGGACATGATCTCATTCTTTTTTTTTTTTTTTTTTTTTTGAGGTGGAGTCTCAGTCTTTTGCTCAGGCTGGAGTGCAGTAGCGTGACCTCAGCTCACTGCAACCTCTGCCTCCCGGGTTCAAGTGATTGTCCTGCCTCAGCCTCCCAAGTAGCTGGGATGACAGGCACCCGCCACCACACCTGGCTAATTTTTGTATTTTTAGTTGAGACGGGTTTTGCCATGTTGGCCAGGCTGGTCTTGAACTCCTGACCTCAGGTGATCCGCCTGCCTTGGCCTCCCAAAGTGCTGGGATTACAAACGTGAGCCACCATGCCCAGCCAATCTTACTCTTTTTTATGGCTGCATAGTATTCTGTGGTGTATATGTACCAAATTTTCTTTATCCAGTCTACCATTGATGGACATTTAGGTTGATTCCATGTCTTTGCTATTGTGACTAGTGCTGCAATGACCATTCACATGCATGTACCTTTATGGTAGAATGATTTATATTCCTTTGGGTTTGTACCCAGTAATATGATTGCTGGGTTGAATGGTAGTTCTGTTTTTAGCTCTTTGAGGAATTATCACACTGCTTTCCTCAATGACTGAACTAATTTACACTCCCACCAATAGTGTACAAGTGTTCCCTTTTCTCTGCAATCTCACCAGCATCTGTTATCTTTTTACTTTTTAATAGTAGCTATTCTGACTGTTGTTCCCCTCTTTGTGTCTTTGTATGCTCATCATTTAGCTCCGATTTGTAAGTGAGAATATGTGGTATTTGGTTTTCTGTTCCTGCATTAGTTTGCTAATGATGATGGCCTACAGCTCCCTACAGATGGTATCTCATTGTGGTTTTTATTTGCAGTTCTCTAATGATCAATGATATTGGGTTATTTTTCATATGCTCATAGGCCACATGTATGACATCTTCTGAAAAGTGTCTGTTCGTGTCCTTTGCCCACTTTTTCTTTTTTTTTTGAGACGGAGTCTTGCTCTGTCGCCCAGGCTGGAGTGCAGTGGCGTGGTCTTGGCTCACTGCAAGCTCTGCCTCCCAGATTCACGCCATTCTCCTGCCTCAGCCTCCCGAGTAGCTGGGACTACAGGTGCCCACCACCACGCCTGGCTAATTTTTTGTATTTTTAGTAGAGACGGGGTTTCACCGTGTCAGCCAGGATGGTCTCGATCTCCTGACCTCATGATCCACCCACCTCAGCCTCCCAGAGTGCTGGGATTACAGGCGTGAGCCACCGCACCTGGCCTCCTTTGCCCACTTTTTAATGGGGTTGCTTTTCCTTGTAAATTTGTTTGTTTCTTATAGATGCTGAATATTAGACCTTTGTCAGATGCATAGTTTCCAAAAATTTTCTCCCATTCTGTAGGTTGTCTGTTTACTCTGTTGATATTTTCTTTTGCTGTGCAGAAGCTCTTAAGTTTAATGAGATCCCATTTGTCAATTTTTGCTTTTGTTGCAATTGCTTTTGGCATTTTCATCATGAAATCTTTGCCTAATCCTATGTCCACAACGGTATTGCCTAGGTTTTCTTCCAGGGTTTTTGTAATTTTGGGTTTTACATTTAAGTCTTCAATCCATCTTTAATTGATTTTTGTATATGGCGTAAAAAAGGGTCCAGTTTCAATCTTCGACATATGGCTTGCCAGATAGTCCAGCACCATTTATTAAACAGGGAGTCCTTTCCCTATTGCTCGTTTTTGTCAGCTTTGTTGAAGATCAGATGGTTGCAGGTGTGCAGCCTTATTTCTGCGCTCTCTACTCTGTTCCATTGGTCTATGTACCTATTTTTGTACCAATACCATGCTGTTTTGGTTACTGTAGCCCTGTAGCAGAGCATGAAGTCATTTTTTATGACTTTTTTAAAGCATTGTCTTAACACATTGCTTTTTGTCCTGTTTATAGTGAATGTGATTTAGCTAAATCACTAATGTAGTCTTTTCCCTTTAAATCAAAGGATCTTGTAAATGATTGAGTTTACTTAAGACAAAGTTAATTTGCCATTTGTTTATTTATTTATTTATTTTTCTGAGACAGATTCTCACTCTGTCGCCCAGGGTGGAGTGCAGCGGTGCGATCTTGGCTCACCGCAACCTCTGCCCCCCAGGCTCAAGTGATTCTCCTGCTTCAGCCTCCCAAGTAGCTGGGATTACAGGCGTGCACCACCACTGCCCATCTAATTTTTGTATTTTTAGTGGAGACAGGGTTTCATCATATTGGCCAGGCTAGTCTTGAACTCCTGACCTCAAATGATCCACCCACCTTGGCCTCCCAAAGTGCTGGGATTACAGGCATGAGCCACCATGCCTGGCCACCCACAATTTATTATATAGTATATCACCAATTCTCCAGTTTCCCCAACACTTGTTTCAAATTGCTGCCTTTATTAAAGGTGTTTTTGTCCAAAATTAGGGTAAGAGCCAAAGTCCTCATAGTGGGCACAAGGCTTTGCCTGACGTGGCCTCCTCTCCCTTTCTTTACACCTCAGGCTTTCCCCTGGCTTGCTCTTCTCCTGTCATCTTGGGCTCTGCGCAATTCTTGAACCAGGCCAGGCCACTCTTACATTAGGGGTGACGGCTTCTGCCCTGATGGTCTCTCCTTCTGGAATGTTTGCTCCCTAGATATCCCCATGGCTCATTCCAGCCACTCCAAGTTTTTGTTCAGGTGTTACTTTCTCAATGAAGCCCATTCTGAAGAACCTGTTTAAAATTGCAGCTGCCCCGGCTCTGTTTTCCCTAATTTTTTTTTTTTTTTGAGACAAGGCCTTGCTCTGTCACCCATGCTGGAGTGCAGCCTGTACTCCATGGCTCAATGCAGCCTCCAACTCTCCAGCTCAAGCGATCCTCCCACCTCAGCCTCCCAAGTAGCTAGGACCATAGGTACACACCACCATACCCAGCCAATTAAAAACTTTTTTTTTGTTAAGATGGGTTCTTGTCATGTTGCTCAGGCTGGTCTTGAACTCCTGGGCTCAAGCCATCCTCCCACCTCAGCCTCCCAAAGTGCTGGGATTACAAGCATGAGCTGCTGTGCCTGGCCTTCCCTACTCTATTTTCTATAGCACTTATGACATTCTAACATACTATTCTTTATTTTACTATATAAGATAAGGTTTGCCCAGGCTGGAGTACAGGGGTGCAATCATAGCTCACTACAGCCTTGTAGCTGTAATATGCTATACTTCTTATATATCTATTTATTTATTTTGAGATGGAGTCGTGCTCTGTCACCCAGGCTG
Organism: Homo sapiens; assembly: GCF_000001405.40. NCBI lineage: Eukaryota > Metazoa > Chordata > Mammalia > Primates > Hominidae > Homo > Homo sapiens. The sequence goes on from NC_000003.12 coordinate 57,221,656, forward strand.
GAGTGCAGTGGCACAATCTCGGCTCACTGCAAACTCTGCCTCCCGGGTTCAAGCGATTCTCCTGCCTCAGCCTCCCGAGCAGCTGGGACTACAGTCACGTGCCACCATGCCCAGCTAATTTTTGTATTTTTAGTAGAGATGGGGTTTCGCCATATTGTCAAGGCTGGTCTTGAACTCCTGATCTCGTGATCCACCCGCCTTGGCCTCCCAAAGTGCTGGGATTATAGGCATGAGCCACTGCTCCCGGCCAATATGCTATACTTCTAATACTACTTACTATGTTTATTTTTTATTGTCTTTCTCCCCACCATATCTACTAACCTGTAGCTCCACAATGACAGATATTTTTGTTTTGTTCATTATTTAATAAATATTTGTTGAATGAAGACAGCTGTTCCCTGAGGTAGTCTGAATCCTAAATAATTGGTGCCATCTAGTGTTCTTGGAAGCACGTGTGAATTATCCCTGAGAGTCTTATTTGTATTAGCCATTGGATAAATAGTACTGGTATAATCAATTCTGCTACTCTGTTTTTCACTGCCCTCTATGGCTCTGAAAATATTAAAATGTTTTCAATGATTAAACAGGCACAGGACATATTAATTTCCCTAAAAGCATTTTTTTGAGACAGGGTCTCGCTATCACCAGGCTGGAGTACAGCGGCAAGATCACGGCTCACTGCAGCCTTGACCTCCTGGGCTTAAGCAATCCTCCCACCTCAGCCTCCCGAGTAACTGGGACTACAGGCATGTGCCACCACACCTGGCTAATTTTTAAATTTTTTGTAGAGACACGGTCTCACTATGTTGCACAGGTTAGTCTCAAATTCCTGGGCTCAAGCGATCCTCCCACCTCAGCCTCCCAAAATTTTGGGATTACAGCTGTGAGCCACCGCCCCCAGCCTATGAGCAATTTTTTCCCCAATGATTTGACTGTTCCTTCCAGAATTCCCATGTGGGGTAAGTGTCATGAAAATCTTTTAACTTTGGGGCACCTCTACCCACTCACCACCCGCCAAACAAAAAACAAAACAAAAAACAAAACAAAAACTCCTAAAAACCTCAAAATGGCAATAATCTTGGCTATTTTGGTAATTGTTTTGGTACACTTTTCCTCCAGAATTTCAAAGTACATATTTATTGATTTTGAAATTTTGGTTTTGGCCTCAAAAGCCCCCAAATCAAAGTGATAAAACATTAGCAAGAGTAACTAATGTTATTTAAAATAGCATCAGGATTCTCTAAGGTAATGAGCCCAATCTTCTGATTTAAAAAATATTAGTTTTTAAAAAAATATGATAGAGACAAAAAAGCTTCCTTAAATGTATTAAAATATTTTAATATTTAATAGTTGATAATGAAAAAGATAATTTTTACTGAATGCTTATTGCGCTAGGAGCTACTCTAAAAGCTCATTAATCATCTTAACAATACTATTAATGTAAGTTCTCTAGTATTAAGCTCCATTTTTCAGATGGCAGAATGGAGAAACAGAGAAGTTAAATAACCTTACTTAAGTCACAGAGCTACTAAACAGTGGAGCCAGAATTTAAATCACAGCCCAAGCTTATTAGCTCATAACCATGTTCTCATCTACCTCTCCACAGAAGGGCTATGATGCTATTTTGTGTTAAAGTTCTTGGCCTGCTCAGACAAATTAATTAATGTGTTCTTCTAAAAAGGAATCAAGGCAACCATAGATAAACAAAAGCATATACAATTTTCCTAGAAGTTTTTTTTTTTCTTTTTACCATCAAGAAAGTTGAAGCTGCAGAATTGTCCCACATTCTAAGGATGCTGTGGCAATGAGTAAAAGTGACATCAAGGTCAAGGTCAAAGGCAGAAGCTAGTTTGCAGTGGCACAATGAAGAACCAACCAGTTGGTCCTTAGTGCCCTCCCACCTCTTTTTGCAACCCATTCCTCAGAACTTTTTGTTTTACCCTCCAATTGTCCAAAGCTTCCCCCTACTCTGCTACTGGCTCTAATGTTTTAAAATAGATTAAATGACTGAAGTTCCCAAATTATCAATTTTCTTGAAATCTGCTCTTTCCTGAATCTGCTTTATCTCAGCTGGTATTAAGAAAATAATGAATTATCTGTTAAAGTTAGTCCTATTAAGGAGTGATTTACTAGGTAACAACCAGAATTTTTTGCATTATACATTACACTCTTTAAAAGGAGTATGAATTTCCCAGAATTTTAGATTGATGGAGTCTTTTAGAGAATATTTGTGAGTAGGTGGTTTCCAGCTCGTTAGCCTGGAAATCATGTCCTCACCATCCTTAGCTGGAATCTAGGATTCCTTTTCTAAATGTTTGCTTGACTCTTTATTTTTTGTTAATTTTTGTTTTAATTTAGACTGAGTCTCGCTTTGTCACCCAGGTTGGAGTGCAGTGGTGTGATTTCGGCTCACTGCAACCTCCGCCTCCCAAGTTCAAGCGATTCTCCTGCCTCAGCCTCCCGAGTAGCTGGGATAATAGGAACCTGCCACCACATCCAGCTAATTTTTGCAGAGACGGGGTTTCACTATGTTGCCCAGCCTGGTCTTGAACTCTTGACCTCAGGTGATCCACCCGCCTCGGCCTCCCGAAGTGCTGGGATTACAGGCATGAGCCACTGCACCAGGCCAATTTTTTAAAATTTTAATTTAATTTAATTTTTTTTTGTAGAGATGGTGTCTCTGTGTTGCCCAGGCTAGTCTCAAACTCCAGAGCTTAAGCAATCCTTCCACCTTGACCTCCCAAAGTGCTAGGATTACAAGCATGAGCTACTGTGCCCACCTGACTCTTTAAAAATTTTTTTTAAATACAAAGTGATTTAGGAAAGGGAAATGATCATTCTCCATCTTGGATAGAGTTTTTCCTCATGTGGTTTGTGGATTACCCACTTCAGACTTAACTGGAGAGATTCCCAGCCCTGACTCTGACCTACTACACCAAAATCTTCCAGCAGGGCTCAGGAATCTGTATGCTAACAACCTTCCCAGATAACTTTTATGTGTGCATTAAGTTTGGAAACCACTGACCTAAAGGGATAATTTTTAAAAGTAAAGCACCAGCATCACTTGGGTTATTGGATTCTTTCCTATTACAGATCACAGACCAGAACTTCAAGGAGTATCATGTAAAAACCTAATTATAAGACCAAATATAATTTTAGGAGACTAATAATTAACAACTCTATTTACAAGACTGTACGTCCTTTTGTTGTAAATTATACGTGTGAAATGTCTCAAGGTATATATGTGAAACATCTCAAAGAAATCTTTAGTGGATGTTGTTTAATCCTGACTTGCTTTCCATAAAATTAACCAGTTGCCCAAAGTTTTTACTCTACTACCCACACGAGTCGCCAGTAACCCCTAAGGCATTCTCTGAACAAGCCTCATTTCCTGTATGAAAGAAAACTGGCTTAAAATGAACTGAGTTTGGTTAACTGCACAAAACGTAGGCTGAATAAACTTAAAGTGGTTATCAAAAAGGACTATGAATTTTGCAGCTTTGGAGATGTTTTAACTTAGGAAATACAACCATATTTTTGGATGAGCAGGGTATACAGTGGCCTAAAGCTAGAGAATCCAAATGGAAGGTTAAAACTGGATTCTAGTACAAATAGGTTAAAACTAGATTTGACTAAACCTACCTCTCCATCCAACTGAATGTGAACCTGTTTTTGTTTGTTTTATTTTTTCATTTTTATTTATTTTTTGTTTTTGAGACAGAGTTTCGCTCTGTCGCCCAGGCTGGAGTGCAGTTTCGGCTCACTGCAACCTCCACCTCCCGGGTTCAAGCGATTCTCCTGCCTCAGCTTCCCAAAGAGCTGGAACTACAGGCGTGTGCCACCATGCCCAGCTAATTTTTGTATTTTTGGTAGAGACGGGGTTTCACCAGTTGGCCAGGATGGTCTCCATCTCTTGACCTCTTGATCCGCCTGCCTCAGCCTCCCAAAGTGCTGGGATTACAGGCGTGAGCCCCACCGCGCCCAGCCTGTTTTATTTTTTAACCAGCTGAGTCCGGCAAGAATTCCTTGCCATTCTGCGATAATGTAATGGCCTCTTGAGAGTCCTTTACAGAAACACAGTTTAGATGTACATAACATACTAAGAAGGAAACCATTTAACTTGACAATACCACACCCAGATAATTCAGATAACTAATCGAATTTTTCATCGGAATTATTTGGTTTGGCCAAGTTAATTAGGTAACAAATACTTTTCTTTTCTTTTCTTTTTTTTTTTTTTTTTGATACGTAGTCTTGCTCTGTCGCCCAGGCCGGAGCGCAGTGGTATGATCTCAGCTCACTGCACCTGGGCCTCCCGGCTTCAACTGAGTCTCCTGCCTCAGCCGCCTGAGTAGCTGGGACTACAGGCACGCCACCACGCCCGGCTAATTTTTGTATTGTTAGTAGAGACTGGGTTTCGCCATGTTGGGCAGGCTGGTCTTGAACTCCTGACCTCAGGTGATCCAGCTGCCACGGCCTCCCAAATTGCTGGGATTACAGGCGTGAGCCACAGCGCCAGGCCTTTTTTTTTTTCTTTCTTATACATTGTTTACACTCCTCACTTACTCCTGATTCTTAACAGTTGCCACAACCTTTCTTCATTTAAAATCTAACTCAGTTCAATCAGGAAGGTCACTTACCTTGAAAGTCTTCCTTCTTTAGAGCTGGGGTGCATGGTGTTCTTGTTGGCAGAGTAGAAATGAGATATCAAGGAAAAAGAAACTGTAACACAACTGGGAACCCTTAACTCATTGTAAGAACTGCCTCCAAATCAACTTCCTCAAAAACTAAAGAACTCTTCGGGAGAGAGAGACTGGCTGATAAACAATCTAAGGGGAAAACTTTTAAAGATTGTAACACTAAAAATAATTCCGTAAAACTACAATGCAAGTCTACTCAACAAAACTTTAAAAATATAATTTTATTTTTCTTTCAAGAGATCATGGGAAAATCTACTATTTTCGTTTAAAATATATAACTTCTATTTGTTACTATATTTGGATTTGAGCTACTACTATTCTGGATTTGTTCCCATGTATCTGTGGAACCAGGCAGCTAATTAATCTTTACTCAGCATCTCTGGTATTTCTTGAATGAAAATGGAATGGATTGGTGGAATTAATGGCTAGATGTTTAGAAGACACTACTTACTTTGTTATTTTCTCTGTATAATGATGAAAGCCTACAACTATACAGAGACATAAACGAGCCAGGGTGACAGGTTGGGAAAGATGAAGAGGGAGGAGGAAAGGATAGGCTTGTAGCCCTCATCCGGTCAAATTCCCAACTTTGAGCTTCACTTTATTGTAAAATTAGAGGCTAAAACTATTTAACGCTTCCAAAACTTTTTGATTCAACAAATGCCAATTAGTTACTAACATAATTAATCAGTGTATCCTGATTTTTAAAAGATATTTTCCTTTGTGATTTAAAAGAAACATGGGAGTTGGAGTTGCAGCGTCAGTCCTGAAGGACTGACCTCGGGAGGCCAGGTAGGAACTGATAAACTGGCAACAAAATCACATGTTTTCAACTGAATATACTGATATTCAAGCGTCCAGAAAAACAATTTCGAGCCTACGTTCACAAGTTTGCCAGAAAGCCCTATTATTGACACAGCTGCGGATCTCAGACATCTGAGTTAGTCAGCACCATTCTGCTGGAGGGGATTAAGACTGGACGCTTCGAGCGGAGTTGGGAATGTTATCATCTGAGGAAACTAAAAGGCGCCAGCAGTAGGACTTTCTCCAAGGTCTCTGACAAAATATGTTGCGGGAAAAGTCAACCCGCCCCAAATTCCCCCGTGTGGCCCTAACTCGAGGCTCTGGCTCCTCGCGCCGGCAAGCTGAGGAAGAGACGGTCCCCTGCGATTTAGATACAAACGCGCGCGTGCAGGGAAGGCCATCCCAGGGCAGACACTGCCACCTCCGCCGCTTCCGACGCCCGCGCTCGCGGGAGAGCCTAGCGCCGCACGGGAACCTCCCGACCACCGCCGCAGCGCGGATGGGCGTCCCCGGGAGCCAATGGACGCGCCGGGAGGCGGGGCAGGGAGGCCGAGGGGGCGGGATTTCCCGCACGGCCGCTCGGCGCCTGGAGAAGGCTGTGCGGGCGGGGACGGCTGCAGCCCTTGCCGGAGAGGGCGGGCCGGGGTCAGCTGCGGCGGGCGGGCCGGCGCGGGGAGCTGTGGGCGGCAGCTGCGTCTCCTGCCACCGCCCTCCCTCCGCCACGATGCCGGGGATCGACAAGCTGCCCATCGAGGAGACGCTGGAGGACAGCCCGCAGGTGAGGCGCGGGAGCTGGTGGGCGACGAGGGAGAGCCCAGCTGGCCGACCCCAGGTCTGGCGCCTCCGCGGCTCCCGCAGGTGCCCGCCCCGGCCCAGGTGGGGGCCGCCGCCGCCCTAGGTCACCGCCCGTCGCAGGCCGCGCCCGGAGTTGTGGAGGCTGGGCCCGCCGCCCAAGGCCCGCGTGGGCCTGCTCGGCTGGGCCGAGGGCCGCAGGCGGAGACCGAGCCGCTGGTGCTCGTGGGCCGGGCGGTCACGTACGCGCGCGGGTCCTTTTTATTTGACGAAAGGCGCCGTTTTTATCGCGGTGATGTGAGGTGCCAAATCTCGATCCTGGAATTTTCTCCCTGAGAACCTCTTCAGAAAAATTGCAGAAGGGAGAGAAACCCCGATAGTCTTATTTAATGATTTCCGAGGCTCAGCAAGCTAAGGAAGGAAATGGATCGTTTTTCTTTGGGAGAGGCTGTAAGGTTGTGTGTGGAGCCCTAATGGCAAAGCCCGTGACGGGTCCCGGAGCCCAAGACCGCTCTCCCCGCCGAATGTGCCCGTGTCGCGGCCGTGACTGTGGTCGCTGTCACTCGAGCTGTGCACGGCGAGGGATGGACGGTGCCTTCGCCGCTCCGCGACTGCTGCGCTGCTCCCTGCAGACTTGGCCTTAATAAACTCATCAAAATAAAAGCCCTGTGTTCTGTGCGTCGGAATGATGCTGATGTGGTTGCTCTAGCTTAAGACAGTTTTGGAAAATGTAACCATTTAATATGTTTTCAGTACTGCAGAATGAAAGCAGCTATATTTTTTAAAATGTTGGCAGGGGCTGTAACTTGCATAGGGAAAACTTCATCTCTAAGCCGTTTTACACGATAATTTAAACGGTTTAAGACGGTGTTGCTGGTTGGACACTATTTAGAATGAAACATTTCTGAATTGTTGCTGATTTAGAAATGCAGTTGCACCATTTCGTGTGTCTTTACAGTTGAACATGGCCCCCAAAGAAGAAAAGCAGAAGAGGTCTAGATCTCCTTTTCCTGGATGGCACTTCTGCCATGGATTTTGTGCCAATGTTAATTGCCAAGTTGAAATGGGGCTCTGATTGTAGAATTGATTTGTTCTTTTTTATTCTGAAAGTTATCTTCACAGGCCAGTTGCCTGCTGCTAATGTACTCTTAACAGCTGATAGTGACAAAAAGAGAAACTCACATTTGGTTTATCTTGACTGCCAGTATACTCGGTTCAATTTTTTTCTTGATGATTTCTCCATATAAAGTTATAAACTGTATTTGTTTCAGATGATTTGCAAAAAGTTTGTGGAATTGGTCAGGTGTACTTTGTCATTTTACTTTTTATTATGTAAGATTCAACAGGTTGCCTTACCTTTCTTCTCTTACTTGGCTTTTTTTTTTAATAGCCCATAAAGACTATAAACGGCTCAGAATGGATTGCACACTGCCCTGGAAATGACTTGTGAGGCAGAGATAAACTCTTGACTCATCTAATGTCTTGAGGTTTTTGCCAGATTAGTTTACAACTTAAGAATTGTGGTTTTTTTTTTTCTTTACAAGCATGCATCATACTAGTGTCCGTTTTACAATATATTTGTTTGTTTTTTGAGATGGGGATCTTGCTATGTTTCCCAGTCTGGAGAGCAATGGCTGTTCACAGACACTATCGTAGTGCACTGTGTCCTGGAACACCTATGCTGAAGTGATCCTCCTGCCTCAGCCTCCCTAGCAGCTGGGAATACAGGCGTGTGCCACTGTGCCAGCTTTTTTTTTTTTTTTTTTTTTTTTTTTTCCTGAGACGGGGTTTTGCTCTTGTTGCCCAGGCTGGAGTGCAATGTTGCAATCTTGGCTCACTGCAACCTCTGCCTCCCGGGTTCAAGTGATTCTCATGCCTCAGCCTCCTGAGTAGCTGGGATTACAGACGTGTGCCACCACGCCCACCTAGTTTTTGTACTTTTTGTAGAGACGGGGTTTTGCCATGTTGGCCAGGCTGGTCTCGAACTCCTGACCTCAGGTGATCTGCCCGCCTTGGCCTCTCAAAGTGCTGGGATTACAGGTGTGAGCCACTGCGCCTGGCCTGTGCCAGCTAATTTTTAATGAAGTAGACACATTGATATCCCTTCAATGTTGAAAGGCAATAAATTTGAACTAGGTAAAATTTACTTGGGAAAATTAATTGGTACAACTGGGATTTAGGAAGTGTACATACTTGGAGGTGATTCTTAGGTCGAACCTGTGGCAGAATGCAAAGCCTTGGATCTAGGGTTGACGAGGTTTTTAGTCATCACTGCCACTTTACTACCTTCTGCTTTAGGGCAAATCATTCAACTTCTCTGAACCTCAGCTGTTGTGTCTTAATGACATGTTTTTATTTTTGACCCTGATTAAAAAGAAATAATAGTTGCTTCCTTCAGAAAAATTGGAAGGTCCAGAAAAGAATAACACACAATTACCTGTTGGTTACCCAGCAAAACCTTATTAACAGTTTGCTTTCTTTATTCTACTGTTTTTTTTTTCTTCTACATGTTTTAATGGAATTGAGATTATATTGTGCATAATGATCTTTATCCTGCTTTTAACTTAACATTATCACTTAAGTATCTTCACATGTTTTTACATTCCAAATAAAAACATTTGAAGACCACACATTTCCTTAACTGATTTCACAACCCTTTGCTGGACTTTTAGAGTTTTCCCAAAGTTTTGCTTTTATAAATAGGGCTGAGATTAATGCTTTGGAGCATAAATTTTCTTCTCAGTTTGAACTATTTTATCTAGAATAGAGTCCAAGAAGCAGAGCAGCAAAGAATATGAAGACTTTTAAAGCTCATGGTAAGTTTTTTGTTTTTTTTTTGAGACAGAGTCTCACTGTCACGTAGGTTGGATTGCAGTGGCACAGCCATAGCTCTGAAACCTCAAACTCCTGGGCACACGCCACCAAGCTCAGCTAATTTTATTTTATTTTATTTTTATTTTTTGGAGATGGAGTTTCGCTCTTGTCGCCTAGGCTAGAGTGCAGTGGCATGATCTTGGCTCACTGCAACCTCCACCTCCCGGGTTCAAGTGATTCTGCTTCCTCAGCCTCCCAAGTAGCCCAACTAATCTAAAAATTTTTTGTAGAAGACTGGGCGTGGTGGCTCATGCCTGTAATCTCAGCACTTTGGGAGGACGAGGCAGGTGAATCACGAGGTCAGGAGTTTGAGACCGACCTGGCCAACATAGTGAAACCCCGTCTCTCCTAAAAATACAAAAAATTAGCCGGGCGTGGTGGTGGACGTCTGTAATCCCAGCTACTCGGGAAGCTGAGGCAGGAGAATCACTTGAACCCGGGAGGCGGGGGTTGCAGTGAGCCGAAATTGTACCGTTGCACTCCAGCCCGGGCAACCGTGCGAGACTCCGTCTCAAAAAAAAAAAAAAAAAAAAAGAAAATTTTTTTTTTGTAAAGACAGGTTTTCACTATGTTGGCCAGGCTAGTCTTGAACTCCTGGCCTTAGTGCTGGGATTACAGATGTGAGCCACTGTACCAGGCCCTAAAAGTTTTTTGTTTGATTAGTTTTTAATTTTTTTTAGATCATTTAGATCTAATCAAAAGTGGCCTGCCAGTTGCTACCTAAAAAAGAGCCTTGGCCTGGCACAGTGGCTCATGCTTGTAAACACTTGAGGGTGGGGGTTCAAGACCACCCTGGGCCAAATAGCAAGACCTCATCTCTACAAAAAATAAAATTAGCTGGGCGTGGTGGCATGCACCTGTAGTCCCAGCTATTCAGGAGGCTAGGGCAGGAGGATCGATTGAGTCCAGGAGTCTGTGGCTGCAGTGAGCTATGATCACACCACTGCACTCCAGCCTGGGTAACAGAACGAGGCTTTGGCTCTTAAAAAAAAAAAAAAAAAGAGCCTGGGAGTGATGGAAGACTATCCTGAATTACAGTTACCCTTCTTTTAGTTTTGATTTATAGTAACTACGTATTAAATTAGGGAGAATTTGCAAGTCCAAAATCCAGCTGATCAAACAAGCATCTTTTAAGAATACTGCCTGGAACCTAGGTGGGGAAAAAGCATGTTTGGAATTACCTTGCCCAAACCAGACAGTTCTGCAAAAGATCATCCATTGAGCCAGAAAATCTTAAGCTTATAGTAGATGCCTTGTCCATATTTATATGTTGTTTTGAAAATCAAAATCAAAATAAACCTTGTTAATTACTAAGAACAGATAATGATCTTTAGAAAATTAATTGATTTTATATGTAGATATGTATCTTAGTGATTCATCTATGATAGAACAGTGAAGACAAACCCCAGTCCCAAATGGGATCTTCTGTTTTTGCATAATATGAATTAATCATGAGATGTGCCTTTCCTCCCAACATTTTGATGTCTCTGATTGGGATTCCTCTTAGAGTTGATGGTATATTAACAATTGCTATCAGCCAGGTAGCAGTAGTAATGTATTTCACATTGCCTGCAAATGTACATACTTGGTTGTTTCTCCTAGTAGCATACTGGCCAAGTGTAGTCTCTCAGTGTTCAACTAACAGATCAATTTTGCCACCATTTGAGAAAGGAATATCAGTCCTGGTTGTTGTCCGAAAACCTTCTTTTGACACCTGGTGAGATGTCAAATGACATCATCAAAATTTGCTGAATGAGTATCAGTTTCTTGGAAGAAAATATTAGGGACAAAAATGGAGTACTTCTAAGAAATACTTACCTCCTCATGGCACAGAGAATGATAATGTATAGGAAAACATGCATATTGATGACTCTCGAGTTGAAAAGTGGTTCATGGGCCCGGTGCGGTGGCTCACGCCTGTAATCCCAGCACTTTGGGAGGCCGAGGCGGGCAGATCACAAGGTCAGGAGATCGAGACCATCCTGGCTAACACGATGAAACCCCGTCTCTACTAAAAATACAAAAAATTAGCTGGGTGTGGTGGCTGGCACCTGTAGTCCCAGCTACACGGGAGGCTGAGGCAGGAGAATGGCATGAATCCGGGAGGCGGAGCGTGCAGTGAGCCAGGATCACACCACTGCACTCCAGCCTGGGCGACACAGTGAGACTCTGACTCAAAAAAAACCAAAAAACAAAAAAACAAAAAAGAAAAGTGGTTCATAAGATTCGAACTCTGTGAAGTTTTAGAAATAAATTTATGATGCTTATATTTGTTATGTTTACATGAGAGCTGTATATGATAAAATTCTGTGTGAAGGTCTGTTTTCATAAATATAAGGTAAAAAATTCAAGACATAAGAAAACCTTAAATCATAGCTTAATTGCCAGCATTGTTTTGTTTGAGTAGTACAAAAATGAAAATGATGCATCTTACAATGGATACCATCGTAGATTTGATGAAATGGTACCATATTGATTCTATTTTTTAAGCTACTAACTTTAAACAAACAGCAATTATCCAGTGTTGAAGTTGATATTGTTAGCTTAAAATAGGGAATCTGTTTCAACTTGCTTTGCGCTAAGAAGAGCTTTTAAATTTAATTATGCTACAAGTTTTTACATAAATATGTAACTCCTTGAATTGGAATTACCCATTTTTAGAAAAAAAAAAAACAAAACAGAAACGAAGCGGCAGATTTTTTTTAAGAATGGCACTAGCCAAACAAGATTTCCTGATGCTTTCTTTTTTACATCTTAAAATAGCACTATATGGAATTGTAGTGGAGTGTTTGAAAAATATTCTGTCAAATCTAAATCTCTGAGGCCTGGGGAAGTGGAGGACTGAAAATAGGGACTTACTGGCATCATGATTTTGTGTCCTTTCCCCTTCTTTATACTATATTGACTTAGCTTCCTCCTCTGAAAATAGGAAGCTAAGGAATAAGTTGATTTAAGAAAAAAAAATTTTTGGCCATGTGTGGTGGCTCACACCTGACCTGTAATCCCAGCACTTTGGGAGGCTGAGGTAGGAGAATTGCTTGAGCCCAGGTGTTTGAAACCAGCCTGAGCAGCATAGTGAGACCCTGTCACTACAAAAAATAGAAAAAAAGTAGCCAGACATGGTGGCACATGCCTGTAGTCCCAGCTACCTGGGAGGCTGAGGTGGGAGGATTTTTTGAGCTCAGGAGGTCAAGGCTGCAGTGAGCCGAGATCATGTTACTGCTCCAGCCTGGGAGAAGAATGAGACCCTATCTCAAACAACAACAGCGACACCCACAACAGTTTCTAAGGCTGAGGCATAAATTATTTTTAGAATAAAAATATATCTTTTAGATTTTAAGCTGCAGTTATCTCCAGTAGTTATTGGTATTTTCATTCTTCCCCTGGGCCTTTGGGATGTAATGTGAGTATGTCTACCTTGCCTTTGATAGCCTTAGTTTCCTTATCTTTGACAAATTTTTATTGACATTCTTTTTTTTTTTTTTTTTTTGAGACGGAGTCTCCCTCTATTGCCCAAGCTGGAGTGCGGTGGCATGATCTCGGCTCACTGCAAGCTCCGCCTCCCAGGTTCACGCCATTCTCCTGCCTCAGCCTCCTGAGTAGCTGGGACTGCAGGGGCCCGCCACCATGCCTGGATAATTTTTTTGTATTTTTAGTAGAGATGGGGTTTCACCGTGTTAGCCAGGATGGTCTCAATCTCCTGACCTCGTGATCCACCCGCCTCGGCCTCCCAAAGTGCTGGGATTACAGGCGTGAGCCACCGCACCCGGCCTGACATTCTTAACATTTACTTATAAGCTTTCCCCCTTAAAATAAAGATAATTTAAAAAAATTTTTTTATTTTGAGACAGAGTCTTGCTTTGTCGCCCGCCCAGGCTGAAGTGCAGTGGCGTGATCTCGGCTCACTGCAACCTTCACCTCCCAAGTTCAAGCTATTCTCTTGCCTCAGCCTCCTGAGTAGCTGTGACTACAGGCACGTGCCACCACACCCGGCTAATTTTTTGCATTTTTAGTAGAAACGGGGTTTCACTGTGTTAACCAGGATGGTCTCAATCTCCTGACCTCATGATCTGCCTGCCTCGGCCTCCCAAAGTGCTGAGATTACAGGCATGAACTACTGTGCTCGGCCTAAAATGAAGATAATTTTTAAATGTGCATGGTAGAAAAATGACAAAACAAAACAAAAGCCAAACAATATAGACATGTATAAAGAAGAAGAAAGGAAAACCCCCAAATTGTGCATTCGGAAAAACCTAGTTAGCATTTTATATGCTGAAGAGTCGGCCATGTTGGGGAGGGTGTACTGTGGTATTTTTAGATTAGGACAGGAAGGGGTTTGGCCTCTTCTAGCAAAAACTGTAGAAGAAATAATCATACTAAATTATCCTGAAGTAAGACATTTAAAATATTTATACTACATGGAATGCTGTTAATTTAGCTTTGAACGTTTCTGTTGATTTGTTCTTAGTTTATAGAATTTTTAGTTTATGAAAATATACCTCTGTTGTTTCTCCTAAAGTTTGTGTGACATAGTTGGAAAATACCTCTGCTTTGTTGAAGTGAAACTAAGAACAAAAAAAAAAGACTTCTTAACATTACTATCAAAAGAGACAAAATAGATTAAAACTCAGAATTACTAGAACTTTAATATCCTACGATTTTTGCTTCCTTTAGAAAAAATATTTTTCCATCTGATTTGTATAATGATTAACATAAACTTATTGCTATTGTTTTATACAGACAAGGTCTTTACTAGGTGTATTTGAAGAAGATGCCACAGCTATTTCCAACTATATGAACCAGTTGTATCAAGCTATGCATCGGATTTATGATGCACAGGTAAAACACTAAGGACTAACTTGATGCTTTTAAAACACGAATCTTTAAGCCTCATGAGGACAGATAGTGTCTGTCTTGTTTACCACTGCTTTAGCCCTGTGTTAGGCTCATAGTAATAAATATTTGTTGAATGGATTAATGAACATTGAGTGTATTACAGAACTGACATTTCAACTACTAGTGTACAGTTTGTAGTACTACAAAAGTGATAGACGATTGAAGCATCTGCCCATTCTCCCCAAACATAGTTTGGGGGGAACCCCCCATTAAACTCACTGATAGTGATCTTTCCTAAGATTTGAATGAAGACCCCATGTCATCACTGGTATTTTCCCTAATCATGCTTATTACAATCTTATGGAGCACTTCCCCACCCCCACTTTTTTTTTTTTTTTTTGAGATGGAGCTTTGCCCTTGTTGCCCAGGCTGGAGTGCAGTAGTGTGATCTTGGGTCACCACAACCTCCACACCCCAGGTTCAAGTGAGTCTCCTGCCTCAGCCTCTCAAGTAGCTGGGATTACAGGCATGCACCAGCACGCCTGGCTAATTTTGTATTTTTAGTAGAGACAGGGTTTCTCCATGTTGGTCAGGCTGGTCTCGAACTCCCGACCTCAGGTGATCCGCCCGCCTTGGCCTCCCAAAGTGCTGAGATTGTACCCAGCCCCCTTTTTTTTTTTTTTGGAGATGGAGTTTTGCTAATGTCTCCCAGGCTGGAGTGCAATGGTGCAATCTCAGCTCACTGCACCCTCCACCTCCCAGGTTCAAGCAATTCTTCTGACTCAGCCTCCTGAGTAGCTGGAACTACAGGCATGCACTACTACGCCCAGATAATTTTGTATTTTTAGTAGAGGCAGGGTTTCACCATGTTGGCCAGGCTGGTCTCGAACTCCTGACCTCAGGTGATCTGCCCGCCTCGGCCTCCCAAAGTGCTGGGATTACAGGCGTGAGCCACTGCACCTGGCCAACACTTTCCCTTTTTCAGTGGAGGATTTGAAAGTTGGCTGCCTCTGTCTAGTTAAAAGAAGGCACTAAAAATTAGATGTACCTCTGGAGTACAAGAAGATGAAGGGTATGACTAAGTTTTCTTATTGACCAGCAATAAAATTTGAAGCTATGTTTGGATAACTTAATTATAAGCTTAAACAGCAACCTAGGTTCTGTAATATACTTTCTTTGGGATTAATTAAGCGTACAAGTTTTATTTTTTTCCCTTCTCATATTGTTTGCTTTCTGGCTTCACATTTTCATTATGTACTTAAGAGTTGCTATGTTGTTGTTTAGTTTTTCCTTGTGATCAGGCTCTGAAGCTTTGCTTTCTGACTACAGAGATATATGATTAATATGTTAAAGAAATGTTCTCTTTGTTATATTCACCAAAAAAACTAAATTAAAGTTTTTCATATGGCTGTGTTGCTATGTTATATGACTGGGTCAACCACATTTTGGTTGTATGTTATTAAGTGCTTACTGTAGTCTAGTATCAGCATCTACAGAGGGCAATAATCAGTCATCAACGTAGATGCTCTAAAGATTTTGCTAAGGTTATATCAGTTTATTTCTAGGCTTTAAAGTATTTAGTGCTTAGTTTTTATTAGCAAAAAACAAACACCAGGAACACTGCTGAATTCCTGGAGAGTGTCTATTTTATGGTTTGAGTTTTCTTTTAAAGTGCTTTAATGGTAGTACCCCTTTCCAGTGATTTAATGAAGGTTTTAAAAAACATGTACAATATTTATGTTAAGTGATAATAAATAAATTAGGTATTTAATTAGAAAAAACTAAAACTTTTTTCCCAGTAATATGCTAATTTGAATGCTTTTTCCATAGAATGAATTAAGTGCAGCAACACACCTGACCTCAAAACTTTTAAAAGAATATGAAAAACAGGTATTGTATATCAAAGTTTTAAAAGCATAATTTTAAAAGTATAGTATCTGTATAGATAGACTTTCAACAAGAATCCTTAAGTTTTCTTGAATTCACAGAATATGCCATTGAAATTTCATGATAGCACTTATGTTCAGATAATTTTAATGATTTAATATTAAATACAGAGGCTATCTAGTTTACTTGTTTTCTTTTTACAAATGAAGAAGCTGTGACTTGCTGAACATTACAGTGTTATTGGAGGAACTGGAGCTAAATGCTAAATCTTTGAACTTCCAGTACAGTGGGTATTCCAATATGCCATGTCAATTGCTTACTTAATAAACAATTAATGTTTATTATATACATTACACAATTTTAGTTAAATGATATTTTAGAGCTTTTTCAAAATTTTGGAAGTTTTCTGAAGTTATTTAAAAATGTAAATTATAGTAATGTCATTCCCAAAAGACACAGCATTGAAACTTTACCTCATCTGTTTCTTGCTTTTCAGCGTTTTCCATTGGGAGGTGATGATGAAGTTATGAGCTCTACATTGCAACAGTTTTCAAAAGTTATAGATGAGGTAAACGTTTATTTTATTTTGCTTGATTAAATGGTCTTATAATTGAGTTACCCAGTTGCTTAGCTTTTATTTTATGAATAAAGCTCTATTAAAGAGATGACTAAAGAGGAACCTTAATTCCACATCCTGGTGGCTGGCTCATCAAAACAATACTTTCTTTACCTGATTAAACATTGTTTTCCAGGAATAAACTTACAGATGTGCTTCTTCTATACGCAGTCCGTGCTAACATTCAGTCTTGACATGTGTCATTTGATGTAGGCAGGGAGAGAAGAGTTAGGTAGTGAACTGCATCTGGGTTCTTTGTGGTTGCTCTTTTGCTATTAAGCAACATTTTACTGTTTAGTCTTTATTAATCCTGCTATCCTAAACAGCCAGAATCAACCCTGAATTCCTCAAATCAGTCATCACAACAAATCATTAAAACAAAGACCTAAAAGGTAAGAGGAAAAAAAGGTAGTGAGAGATTATGGAGAATCGTTAACTGTTCTCTACTGTTGCAGTAAAACCTCTTCTTTTCACATGGACCATTCGATAGTCCTGTGTTTTCTAGACTCTTAACTGGAAAAGTAATTTTTTTGAAATATTTTAATAACCCATTATAGCAAAATGTTTTACCGGGAAATCAAGATAAAGAAATAATGTAATTTTTTTCATTTAAAAAAATTGTGGTAAAGTACGCATAGCATAAAATTTGTCATTCATGATATTTAGTGCATTCACAGTGCTATGCAACCATAACCACTGTATGGTTTTTAGGACATTTTCATCATCTCAAAGGAAGCCTTGTGCCCGTTAAGCAGTGTATTAGTCTGTTTTCACACTGCTGATAAAGACATACCTGAGATGAGTAATTTATAAAGAAAAAGAGGTTTAATGGACTCACAGTTCCATGTGGCTGGGGAGGCCTCACAATCATGGCGGAAGACGAAAGGCACATCTTACATGGCGGCAGATGAGAGAGAATGAAAGACAAGTGAAAGGGGAACCTCTTAGAAAATCATCAGATCTCGTGAAACTTATTCACTACCACGAGAACAGTATGGGGGAAACTGCCCCCATGATTCAGTTATCTCCCATGGGGCCCCTCCCACAACATGTGGGAATTATGGGAGCTACAATTGAAGATGAGATTTGGGTGGGGACACAGCCAAACCATATCAAGCAGTCACTTCCACCTCCCTGCTCCCTCAGCCCTTGTCAACCACTAATCTTCTTTCTGTATGGATTTGCCTACTTTTGATATTTCATATAAATGGACTCATAATTTTAGACTTCTTTATGTCTGTTTTCACTTAGCATAATGTGTTCAAGGTTCATTCATGTTGTAATATGCCTCAGTACTTCATTCCTTTTTTGGCTAAATAAAATTTCATTGTTATGGATATACCAAGTTTTGTTTATCTGGTCATCTCTTTATATATCTGTGTATCTGTTTATCTAGTCATTGTTTATTTGTGTTGTTTCTACCTTTTAACTAGTTCAAATAATGTTATTATGAGCATTCATATACAAGATTGTTTTTTTTGTTTTGAACAACAGTTTTCAGTTCTCTTGAGTAGGTACCCAGAAATGGGATTGCTGGATCATTGCATGGTAATTTTATGTTTATTTAAAAGTTAAATAATTTTAGAAAACCACCAAACTGTTTTCTACAGTGCCTGCACCATTTTACATTCCTACCAGCAATGTAGGAGGGTTCCAGTTTTTCCACATCCTCGCCAACAATTATTTTAGTTTGTGTGTATTTAAAATTTTTTTAAAAATTATGGCCATCTGAGTGAGTGTGAAATGGTATCTCATTGTGGTTTTGATTTGCATTTTCTTAATGTCTAATGATATTGAGCACCTTTTCATGTGCTTATTGGCCATTTGTTTATCTTTGAAGAAATTATATAGATCCTTTGCCCGTTTTTAAATTGGTTGTCTTTTTATTAGTTGTAAAAGTTCTCTTTCTAGATACAAGTTACTTATCAGATACATAATTGGCAAATATTTTCTCCCATTCTGAGTTGTTTTTTTTTTTTTTCACTTTCTTGATGGTGCGCTTTCATGCATAGAAGTTTTAAATTTTGATGATGTCCATTATATATTTTCTCTTGTTCCTTGTGCTTTTAGTGTCATATGCAAGAAAGTGTTACCAAATCCAAGGTCATTCTGTGTTTTCTAAGAGTTTAGTAAATGGAATTTTTTGACTATATAGTATTTTGTACTATATCACATAATTTTTAGTGTTTTCCTATATAAAATATATCAGAACCATTTTTACTAGATTATGTTTAATTTACATAACACTGGTTAAATGTCTGTGTATAGTTATTTGGCCTTTTTGGTCTTTCTTTTTCTAGCTTAGCTCTTGTCATGCAGTGCTTTCAACTCAACTTGCTGATGCCATGATGTTCCCCATTACCCAGTTTAAAGAAAGAGATCTGAAAGGTATTGAAGTCAAGCTTATGTTTACTTTCATTGGCTGTGAGATCAACACTTGTAAAATGCATATTACTCTGTACTTACACCATTTCTGGATGACAGCCTATGCCACTCTTACTTTGCTCAGTTACCAAACATTTATAGGAGCTCCTGCTAGATGTCAAACTAGATATTGAGAAATACCGATATGGATAAGATATCCCCTCTTTTGAGAAATTCTAGAGAAGGAAGTGGGCACATGCATAATTACAACACTTATGTCTCTTATAATTAGGGAATGAGCAAGGTGCTGGCGGGGCTGTTAGGAGGGGGTCAGCAAGGCTTTACCCAAGGATGTGACATGAGCATTGAACAGTGAAGAGGAATTTGCCAGGAGAACAGTCATTGTTCTGTTAGAGGGACTAGAGTGCACAAGATATGGCTTTTAGAAATACACAGCCTATTTGACAGTAGCAAGAAACTCAGTGTGGCTGCAATGCTGTATGTGTTAGAGTGAGGCAGGAGATGAATCCAGAAATAGAGTAGATGGGAGTAGGTCATGCTAAGAGGCTAGAACTTCAGATTATGAGCAAAGGAGAAGCCAATGGGGGTCTTTAAGGAGAGACACAATTCCTTTGGAGGATGGAATAGAGTAGCCTTGTTATGTAGGAGACTAGACTGGGAAGTTGTGGGAGTCCAGTGAGATATGACCAAGGCCTGAGTTAGGATAGTGGCACAGGGTATAGAGGTGTGTGTATGGGCCGAAGTGGCAAGAGGTAGGGGTACTGGCACATCTAACAATCTGCAACCTAGTCGTTTCTGGGTTTTATTTTTACCCACTTAGGATTACTAGGTGATACAATGAGAGTTTTATAGAGTTGGTTTTGCTTTCCCATAACTTGTAATCTCAGCCATACACACTTACTTCCAAAATATGTAGAGAGATTAAAAATATTGAACTAATGTATCAGTGAATGGTAAAGTATTTAAATTATACATGGAATACAGACAAATGTGTATTATACTATTCTACACCTACACCATTTCTGGACTGCAACCCGTGCCACCTTTACTTTACTCAGTCACCAATACATCTAATGTATTTTAAAGATGGAGTTACTAATTGTGGTTGTGATCCTCAAGAATGGTCATTTCTAAGGTCTAGAACAAGATCTCTTTTCTTCAGTGTAAGGGGACTGAATGGCATAATCTTATTAATGAGATGTTTTGTTTCTCGTTTAGCATTTGAATATTTAGATTCATATATCAAAAATGCATGATTCTGGCACTAAATCAGAATATTTGCATATCTTACCATTTACAGTGGGTTTTTAAATTTGTTTTTATGTCATATCACTAATTTGTAGCAAGTAGATTTTCTGGTGGTGTAACTGTTGCTAATGATAGTAAATGTTTCATAGACTAGCTGAAACACAGAGTAGCTTTTTCACCCTGAATGTTGAACTATGAAATATTATTTTGAGTTTTAATTATAGTTTAAGTAGCAGTTATTGTTTTCCAAACAAATGTATTTCATAAATGTGCCAAACTTAAATTATTCTTGAACTTTTTCAGAAATACTAACATTAAAGGAAGTATTTCAGATTGCAAGTAATGGTAAGCCCTATAATTTGCACACTTATTTCTTGCAGTGATGTATTTGTTTATCAGTGCATATCTGTGGCCAGATTCTTTGTAATAATTGAAAAAAAACCAATTAAAAATAAGTGAACATTACTTAAATCAGTATTGCTACTTAAATTACACTGTTTATACAGTGTAATTTAAGAAAAATCTTAAGGAAATTAAGTCTTACAGGTTACTATCTTCATAATGCCTAAAGAGGTAGTGTAATATTTTACCCTTCTTGTTCTTTTATATATCCCAATTTTTCTTTAATGAGTGTTATATATATATATATTTTAAGATACAGGGTCTTGCTCTGTTGCCCAGGTTGGAGTGCAGTGGCTTTTCAAGCCACAATCATAGCATACTGTAGTGATCCTGCTGCCCCATCCTCCTGAGTAGCTGGGACTATTGGCATATGCCACTGTGTCTAAGCTGCGTTTGCTATTTTTGTACTAGAAAATACTTTAAAAAGCTTTAGTGCATTAGTTTCCTTGGAATTAATTTTTTAAAAACCAATTTGAGAAGTAGACACATAATTTAGGGGAAATTTGGCTGTGGGGAAAATTGAGTGCAGTGGTCATGTGGTAGGAAATTCTTGCTTTAGTACGTTTGTGGAAAGGTGCACATGTGAAGACCATTGAAAGCATTTGTAAGTTTTGAAAAGTACTGTTGTATTGTTAACACTCATTTCTTTTTTCCAGATCATGATGCTGCGATTAATAGATATAGCCGTTTATCAAAAAAAAGAGAAAATGACAAGGTGTGGTACATATTTATTCCTTCAGTGTCATAATTAACTATTCATTAGGTGGTTTAGTTTTTCCTCTATCAAAATAGAGCCAGCAGTTACTTTGTATGTTTTGTTATATTACTATTAGTTTATTCTTTCCTTCTAGCTGTTCAAAACCTTTCTGATAATCATTGACCTCTTTAAACAAAATATTTTCTTCTGCCAAAATTTGATGTTATAAGTAAATATAACTATTCTGGAAATTTAACTGATGCCCAGTATATAACATTGCCTTTTGTTGCTTTGTATTTTGATGACATGGCATTGGTTCTGTTTGAATATATAGGTGTGTTCAAAAATGTCTTCTGAGATAGAGTGGTCACACACATAATGAAATTCTGTTATGAGGCCCTCCTTATTTATAGACATATATATCTTTTGATATTTGTTCAAGGAGTGAAATACAGAAATATTACACTATATTTGAGGAGAAATGCATTCAAGTAAAGATGAGAGTACAGAGTATTAACAGGTTTTTTTGGGCGTGCCTTAAGATCATGTCTTTCTCCAGCATCTAGTCCAAGGCTTGATGTGTAGGTCTTTCTAGATGCTTGTGACTGAGGTGATCTCTGTGCCTGGGTGTTGGTGTCTGCAGCCTTGGCTGCAGCTGCTGGTGGAAACACAGTGACTGCTTGTGGGAATCCACAGTTGGGTAGGATTTACTGTGCAACAGCTACTGTGACAAAGGAAATGTTTCTCACACAAAGTTTAGTACAAAGATTGATTTCCTTTTCGTTTCTAATTTTAGCTGCAGACTACTACTTAATGGTGTATTGATAAAATGTATACATTTGAGATCTCTATTAGTCACTTGGCCTTAGAGAAGTAGTTAAAGGCTCTGGGTATAAAATTTGATATATTTTACATTACTTCTGGCTGCTCAAAGTATTTTAAAAAACACTCTGTCACCAACTTCATTTTATTTAAAAATTCATTGAGCACCTAATATACGTCAAGCAGTCTGTTGGGTACCTTGGGGGAACAACATGAATAGGCTTCACTCCTGCCCTCAAAGACTGGATACTCCACATTTATTGAAGGCTACCTGTGTGAAGGCATGCAGGTGGACTAGGAACCAGAGTACAAGGATGACAAGAAGGCATGAATTAACTCTGTTATTAGTTAAATACAATAATAGGGGTTTTAATAAAATGCTGAGAGAGCACAGAGAGGGCAGCAGTTCACTTTGATTGGTGAATTGGGAAAGGTTACACTTTTTTTTTTTTTTTGAGACAGGGCCTCATTCTGTCTCCCAGGCAGGAGTGCAGTGGCTCCGTCTCGGCTCACTGCAACCTCCGCCTCCTGGGTTCAAGTGATCCTCCTGTTTCAGCCTCCCCAGTAACTGGGATTACAGGTGTTAGCCACTATGCTCAGCTAATTTTTGTATTTTTAGTAGAGGTGGGGTTTCACCATGTTGGCCAGGCTGGTCTCGAACTCCTGACTTCAGGTGATCTGCCTGCCTCGGCCTCCCAAAGTGCTGGGATTACAGGCTTGAGCCACCACACATGGCCAGCAAAGGTTACACTTTTAGAAGGTGACATTTACATTAAAGATAAGTGGATAACACCAGTTTGGAATCGGAGAGAGTGCTTTCCTGAAAGAAAAACAGCCTTTCAGAGGCACATGGTGGAGTTGGGAGAGTGTAAAGATTAAGAGTACTCTGTGACAATAAAGGAAATGTTAGGAGATATGGCAGAAAGAGTAAGAAGTATATTAGTACCAGATTACTATATTAATGACCTTGAAATTTGTGTTAGAGGGAGTGGACAGCCGCCAAAGGATTCTAAGTAGGTGAATAACATCATGCAATTGTGTTATAGAACAAACATACTAATGAAAATGTGAAGAGGACAAGACTAGAGGATATCCAGTGAAAGGAATTGGAATAGTTTGCAGAGATACAATGAAGGCCTCAGCTAAGGTTGTTACTGAAAATGGAGAGGAAGGAGTACTTTTGGGAGATATTTTTTTAAGTAGAATTGACAAGACTTGTGGTAATAGGAGGAATAAAAAATGAGTCCTAGATTTCTTGGATGTCTGGATGGATCCTGTAGTAATTAAGAAAGGTAAGAAACAAAGCAGAAGAACAGGTTTTGTGTACAAAACTATCTTCAGTTTTGTACATTTTTAGCACATAAACACACATAAAGAACCCAGCTGGAGATGTGTTTACTCTGTCACTTGGGAAGGTGAGAGGGAGGAGATAAAATTTGTGAGTCATTGAGTCATTGGTGTATTGGAATATTAGAATATTCTTCGTACTTGAGGATTCTAAGGAAAGCAGGAAGGCAGAAGAACCTAATGCCTATTACATAATAGGTATTCAATAAATATTTGTTGTCTGAATAAAAGAACTCTAGGGAGCACACGTATTTCAAGTATGGGTGAAGGAAGACAAGCAAGTGCAAGAGAGGAAGACTGATAGGGAGAGAACCAGGAGGGGAGAATGGTATGCTGTGAACTGATCAAAGTCAAAGACTAATGACTAAGCTAATAACAAACAATTGTCTGCCATTCCTCCTTGTCGTAAGCTTTCTCTGCCATGCTTAGTTTAGTTATTGTACCATTCTTAGTTACGTACAGAATTCTGTTTTCAATATGCAGTTTTTTTTTTTTTTGAGACAGTCTCTCTCTGTCACCCAGGCTGGAGTACAGTGGTGTGATCTTGGCTCACTGCAACCTCCCCCTCCCAGGGTGAAGCTATTCTCATGCCTCGGCCTCCCCAGTAGCTGGAATTATAGGTGTGTACCACTGCACCTGGCTAATTTTTTTTTCCATTTTTAATAGAGTCGGTTTCACCATGTTGGCCAGGCTGTTCTTAAACTCCTGACCTCAAGTGATCGTCCCGCCTCGGCCTCCCAAAGTGCTGGGATTACAGGCATGAGCCACCACGCCTGGGCTCAATGTGCATTTTGTAAATTATGTGGTTGGAAGTTAAACAGGAAAATTTGCTTAACCAGTATGTTGAAGGATTTCTAAAAGATCAGAAAACAGGAACATTAATGCTCAATTGCTTGTGATACTCAATTCCTTGGGTAGGCTCTTCTCCACAGCTCCTACTGAAGATAATACAAAATTAAGTAAATAATAGCAGATTATTTACTTAATTATTTAAATCTTTTCATTCAAAGGTGAAGTATGAAGTAACAGAAGATGTGTACACATCCAGAAAGAAACAACACCAGACCATGATGCATTATTTTTGTGCATTAAATACTCTTCAGTACAAGAAGAAAATAGCATTGTTAGAACCTCTACTTGGGTACATGCAAGCTCAGGTAAATACTGTACTGTATTTGGATTATAACTGTCCTAAAAGTTTTATATTAAGCTTGATATTTACATTAAGTATAAGGGTATTATAAACTATTTTCAACATCCTTGTTTATGTCTGTGTTTTAAGAAGTTATTTTTAAAATGTCATCAGACTATTATTTTAAGGAAGTTAGGAAGAATGGTTTTCCTTGCAAATGAAGATTTCAAATATTTTAGGTAAATGAAACCACTTGTTCACCATAGCTGGGGACTGAGAGAACTAAATGAATTTCAGAGTTACACCTATTGCTAGAGCTTCAACTAAACACTTGCTTCATAATAGATCTGAAAAAGAATAAACAAGTTTGAGTTTATCCCATATTCCTTGCATACTTCCTGAGTTAAAAATAATAGATGAACTCCAACGTGCCCAAAGAGTACATCAGGAAGGGGGCTAGAAAATTTGGGTAGTATAAGACAAAGTGTCAGTCTCCTAAAAATCAAGAGTTTAAAGAAAATTGAGGGCAGGCACGGTGCCTTATGCCTATAATCGAGCACTTTGGTAGGCCGAGGTAGGAGGATCATTTGAGTCCAGGAGTTTGAGACTAGCCTCAGCAACGTAGGGAGACCCCATCTCTACAAAAAATGAAAAAATTAGCTGGGCTTGGTAGCATGCCTCGGTGATCCCAGCAACTTGGGAGGCTGAAATGGAAGGATCCCTTGAGCCTAGGAGGCTGAGGCTGCAGTGAGGTTTTATTGTGCAGTCTGGATGACAGACGAGACCCTGTCTCAAAAAAAAAAAAAAAAATTGAATCTATTTAGGTAAAAGAGTACTTTACTGATTATTCCTCAGATAGAAAACTTATCTTTGTAGTAAACATGAAATACTTTATATAATTTATTGGAAATACTTTAAAATTTATTTTCCAATTTTAAAAGATTGTTAACCATATGTATATATTACTTGTTCCAATTCAAAAAATATAAAAGGATATGCAGTGGAATTTAAGTCTAACTTCCTTAATGGCTCCCTGTGCAGTAGAAGTCACAAACTACAATGTATTTTTACACAAATGGGAATATTCCTTTGTTTTTTACTTAACCATGTGTCTTAGAGATTGTTTATATGATTTACTTTAAGTATTGCTTAATCTATTTTTGTATTGTTCAATTCCCCCCACTCCCCACTCTCCAGATAAGTTTCTTTAAGATGGGTTCTGAAAATCTTAATGAACAACTGGAAGAATTTTTAGCTAATATTGGAACAAGCGTTCAGAAGTAAGTATTTTTTTCCTTAAAATTGAAAATGAAATGATGTGAATGATAACAGCTCAATGACATAATGTAAAGATATTTATCATTTACTTTCCTGAGGGAATATTTTCCCTGCCATGAGAGTTTCTTATGTGGTTCATGGTTACTTCTTGTTTTTTTTTAACCTCTTTTTTCCACAGATTGTGAACTTTGAATTTCATAATAGTGATAATTTTATTGATTCTACACTCAGTTTTATGTCTGAATATAACAGACACATAATAGTAACTCCCCATAAGTGAAATTATCTTTAAACTTGAAATTGTGGGAGTTTGATGGGAGATTACTAAATATTGTTTCCAAGCCATGAAAGCTTAGAGAGAAAGCAGTTCTTATCAGGTTCAAAATGCCGAGCAGTGTATGTGGTCAGTCCACGGTATGGAGAGAGATGAAAGTGATTGTTGTTTTAAAGGCACAGGGCAGAACAGTTTGAAAATTACGCCAAAATCAGGCATTCGGGGGGCTTCATTTGTTTTTTGAATTTAGTATTGTTTCCAAAATATCTAAGTTTCAAATAAACTGTAAACCTGTTTTAAAATATATTCGTGTTGTTTTAACCACCCATGCCGCTCTTCCTCTCTTTAAGAAAACATACCCGAAACAAATATGCAGGTAAACATGATTGGTAAGGAGTTCTTTATTGGTTGTGATTTGTAGCAAATAATCTGTTCTGTGTCAGTGTTCGCAGGGAAATGGACAGTGATATAGAGACCATGCAACAGACAATAGAGGATTTGGAAGTAGCCAGTGATCCCTTATATGTGCCTGACCCAGACCCCACCAAATTTCCTGTTAATCGAAATTTAACCCGAAAGGCTGGATACCTTAATGCTAGGAAGTAAGAAAACTATTGTTATTTTTGTATATTGTGTATCATGTAAGACAATACCAAATGAATATAGTAAATAATTGATGTCTGTCATATTTTGATTTTTATTAAAGGTTGAAACTTTTTAGAGGTGTTAGTATTTATGTGAACTTTTTGACAGATGAAGTACATGAATACTTTTCAGAAGTAAAATCCTACCTAGATATTTATTGAATAATGTAGAATGATAAAAGAAGTGAAACCAGGGCTGGGCATGGTGGCTCACGCCTGTGATCCCAGCACTTTGGGAGGCTGAGGCGGGCGGATCACCTGAGGTCAGGAGTTCGAGACCAGCCTGGCCAACATGGTGAAACCCCACCTCTACTAAAAATACAAAAATTAGCTGAGCATGGTGGCTTACACCTGTAATCCCAGCTACTCAGGAGGCTGAGACACGAGAATCACTTGAACATGGGAGGCAGAGGTTGTGGTGAGCCGAGATCCCACCACTGCACTCCAGCCTGAGGGACAGAGTGAGACTCTGTCTCAAAAAAAAAAATGAAGTGAAACTAATTTGAGTTTAAATAAATATTCACATATTGTATCATAACATGAGAATGCTATGAAATATCATTTATCCTACTTTAATATATTTGTAATTATAGCACCAAGTCAAATGTTAGTTTTCACCTGATGATAGGATGAAGCAGGTTAACCCTAGAAATAAAATAAATTCTGTTGTTTTGAATTTACTCCCTTGGAAATTGAACTATAACCTATATTTTATGGATCATTATTATAACAGCCACAGTTTGATAATTTCCAGCCTTGTTTTGGAAACTGTATACACATTCACAAAAGTGAGTCAACATACATGAATTTATTTTAGAGACTGAAAGCATATTTATATTTATTTTCTTGGCATCTTGGTGCCTCTTCGCAAGCCAGTTCATTGTAACATGCTTTATCTTGTGTCTAGCTGATGATGAGATTTCAGGTATGTTGTTATTAAAGAGTGAATGTGCTTTCTTCATTCAGTAAAACAGGCTTGGTGTCATCTACCTGGGACAGACAGTTTTACTTCACGCAGGGTGGAAATTTAATGAGTCAGGCCCGTGGGGATGTAGCAGGAGGCCTGGCCATGGACATAGACAACTGTTCAGTGATGGCTGTGGACTGTGAAGACAGACGATATTGTTTTCAGATCACCTCTTTCGATGGAAAAAAGTTAGTATTTTTTTTCTACTACTACTAATCTATAGTATATTAAACTTCTGAAATGTGAGATAATTCCTTTTTGTTTAGAAATTTTATGGACATTTTAGGTTCATTATGTATTAAGATAAATTGCTTTTTAATCTTGTAGAAATATATTGAATTTTTGTCTCTGGCTTGGTTAAATGGTTTCTTGATATTTTGAAGTTGTCAAAGCAATGTCATATAGTAAAGACCTGTGATTTCATGTTAGGGAACTGGAACTGAAAATCCTGCATAGTATCAGGGAAGACAGAACAAGTTAATGGAAAGAGTCCTAAACCTGGGGTCAGAAGGATCAAACTCTGGATCCATTACTTACTGTGTGGTCTCAGACAGTACAGTAATGTCTGTAACCCCTCTCCGCTCCATTTTTCTTCATGTAAAATGTGAATGGGGGGGGGTTGTAATCCCTATCGTAAATTGTTGTGAGGAACAGAAATTCTAACATATGTAATGTGACTGACATATAGTAGGTGCTAACAATAGTGTTATTTTAAAATGTTAATCAAGTATTTCTGATCAGATTATTTTTCCATTAATGTTTATAATACCATTTAAAAAATTTCTGTTACCTTTTTTTGAGGCGGGGTCTTACTGTGTCTCCCTGGCTGCAGTGCAGTGGTGTAAACATGGCTCACTGTAGCCTCAACCTCCTGGGCTCAAGGGATCCTCCTACCTCAGGATCCCAAGTTGCTAGGATCACAGGTGCATGCCACTGTGCCTGGCAATTAAAAAAAATTTTTTTGTAGAGATGTCTCATCATGTTGCCCAGGCTGGTCTCGAACTCCTGGACTTAAGTGATCTTCCTGCTTTAGCCTCCCAAAGTGCTGGGATCATAGGCATGAGCCAGCATGTCCAGGCTTCTATTACCTTTGCATTAAATGAGAATCTTTAAAGTAGCATTTAAAAGAAATTTTCAAAAAGCATGGAAAATGTAAAAAGGAGTATGAAAAAATCCTACTGTCTTATTAATCAAAAGCGACAATTAACTTTTTTGTCCATTGCCTTCCAATTTTTAACTTAAGTACATTTTTAAAATAGTTGAAGAAATACTATAATTTGGATTTGCAGCCACCTATTAAAAACATGTTATAATGGCTATTCTATAATCTATTTAAGGACATACAGTATAATTTAAACATTTTCCTAATGATAGATGTTTAGACTATCTGCCATTTTCCCCCCACTCAATTAAAATACTGCTTTTGACCTTTGAACTTTCTTTCTTTTTTTTTTTTTTTTTTTTTGAGACGGAGTCTCGCTCTGTCGCCCAGGCTGGAGTGCAGTGGCGCGATCTCGGCTCACTGCAAGCTCCGCCTCCCGGGTTCACGCCATTCTCCTGCCTCAGCCTCCCGAGTAGCTGGGACTACAGGCGCCTGCTACCACGCCCGGCTAATTTTTTGTATTTTTAGTAGAGACGGGGTTTCACCGTGTTAGCCAGGATGGTCTCGATCTCCTGACCTCGTGATCCGCCCGCCTCGGCCTCCCAAAGTGCTGGGATTACAGGCGTGAGCCACCGCGCCCGGCCTGAACTTTCTTAATTTAATATTCAGGAGCAGCCTGTGGGTTCCCTGACAGTCATTTTTTCCCCTGTATTTATGCGCATTAAGATATTATAAAAATAAATAAATTTGACCTTTACTCCTGAAAAAAAGATACTATAGGCCGGGCTTGGTGGCTCACGCCTGTAATCCCAGCTCTTTGGGAGGCCAAGGCGGGTGGATCACCTGACATCAGGAGTTTGAGACCAGCCTGGCCAATGTGGTGAAATCCAGTCTCTACTAAAAATACAAAAATTATCTGGGCATGGTGGTGGGTGCCTGTAATCCTACCTACTTGGGAGGCTGACACAGGGAGAATTGCTTGAACCCAGGAGGCAGAGGTTGCAGTGAGCCGAGATCGCGCCACTGCACTTCAGCCTGGGTGACAGAGTGAGACTTTGTCTCAAAAAAAAAAAAAAAAAAAGATACTATAGCTCACTATCCTTTATCAAAATGGTTGTTTAATTTCACATTCCTTCTACAAACATATAATGAATGCCAATATTGTGTGGATTTATCACACTAGATGTTGGAATCACTGTATTCATTTATCAAAATTACCAACTTGTTAACATGTTACTTACTATTAAGTATTTACTTTTTGCTTAATGCTTACCATGATTTCCCATTTCACATTCCTGGTGTGATGCAAAATTAATAAAAATTATTATTTTCTCAAACTCTAATATCTATAGAAAAGCGAAATAATGATATGTTAGTGATTAACATTGAAATATTTGATTTAATATTAAAGGAGAAATAATGAAGTAAAGTTTTTTCTATTAGGATCATTGATGTATATTTGAAATATATATGAGTTCATAATATATATGAAATATATATGATAAGTTGAAATGCATTGCCTTCACTGAAATGTAACTTTGTCATGGTCTGTCTTCTGAGGATCAGCACCTGTTCCCTTTTTGGTACATCTTGGCATAGATAGTCAAAGTCAGAGCTGTTAAAGTCTGCATCCTGATACCTCTGGTGGTCTCCTTTTCCTAAGATACCGTTGGTTGTGTTTTGTTTTTGTTCTTTTAATATCGATTTTTATATATGCCTTTAACTTTAAAGATTAAAAAGTTACCTCGGATTATGTTGAAAATACTTTTTTAAACAGTTGAGGCTCAAACGTCTCTTCTCTTCCAGATCTTCAATTTTGCAAGCAGAGAGTAAAAAAGATCATGAAGAGGTAAGATTTTACCTAGTTCATTTCTTCATTGACATTTTAAAATATTTTTCTGATGACAAAACATATATTAATGTGTTCATTGTAGAAATTTTGGAAAATCCTAGTTAATTAAAAATCTTTCTTTTTCTTTTTTGTTTTTGTAAAAGTCTATTGTCCTCGAGCAATATTCTTAAGTTTCTCACAGAATTTTATAGTGGGAGGGACCTTAGAGATCATCTCTGCTATTTTAAAGGCTCAGATTGAGAAATGACCTTGTGACTGTTGCTGTCTGGCAGGCTGTTAGTATCATGAGGTGACAGTTTAATTTATTCCCTTCTCTCACCAATCCTTTGAGACACTATTTGCTACACTAAGAACATAGTGGCAGCAGATGTGACATGGCAGGAAGCAACTAAAGCTGAAAACCTTGGAGAAATGAAAGATAGAAAAACAAAAATTTGGGAGTCTCTGTTCTTCCTCATGAGCCTTTTATTTTTGGCTCCATTTTTACTCCTAGTATATCAGATATGGAAGGTAAGGTATTAGCAATAATTGATGCTTCAAACCTTTATCTTGAGAAACATTCTTCCATGAAAATGTATCTTAGCTTGATTTTTAGCCTTTTAATTTGGCATTATAATTGTGTTGGTAAAAGATAAAAGTTGGAAATGCTATAGAGATCTACCTTTATTTACTTCTTATGGAAAAGAGTAATATTAAAACTTGCTTTTAGTCTCTGAGGAACACAGACAAATGTCTCTGTTCTCTGCATAGTTTGCCAAACAAAATATTTGTTTAGATTAGTGAGGCTCTTTGGGCACTTGAATCCTCGAGAGTGAAGCAGAAGATGTAGAGCAGAGATTGTTTTCTATGCTAATTATTTATAAACTTGACAGAAGGGAGGCATGTAAAATATATTCACCAAGAATATATTTATCTTTTAAATTTTTTTACATTTGTGTTAATTATGATACCCGAGTTCACACTGTCTTGTTTGGTGGGGATTAGGAGGGGAAGTGATATAAAAAGATAAATATAGATTATTAAGTATAATTTAACATGATTGCTATATTTTTTATTGCCTTATATGAATTAAACTTGAGATTCTTACATAAATCTACTAAATGTTTTCATATATTTAAATAATAAAAATGTTGAATGTGCTTTTATATATATTTATATATATGCACCCTCCTTATGAAATGTTTTCTTATAAGGAAGATAAATATATTACTTCTAATGAAACATCTGTTATGAAATGTTTTCTTATAAGGAAGATAAATATATTACTTCTAATGAAACATCTGTTGCAGTTGAGTATTGAACATTTGCCTTTACAAGAGAAGCTTTGTAGAAAAAAAATTATATTTTTCTATTTTTTCCTCTTGCAGTGGATCTGTACAATAAACAACATATCTAAACAAATATACTTAAGTGAAAATCCAGAGGTAATATTTTTATTTTATGTTACCCAGATCTAGCAAAATTGAGTAATTTTGTGGCTTACATGTTTTTATTAATTCATAATTTCTCAGGTTCTGTAATTTTTTAATTTGACCTTGAATGAGTAGCTTTTTTTTTTTTTTTTTTGAGACAGAGTCTCGCCCCATTGCCCAGGCTGGAGTGCTGTGGCCTGATCTTTGTTCACTACAACCTCCACCTCCCAGGTTCAAGCGATTCTCCTGCTTCAGCCTCACCAGTAGCTGAGATTACAGGCGTGTGCCATGACACCCAGCTAATTTTTGTATTTTTAGTAGAGACAGGATTTGGCCATGTTGGCCAGGCTGGTCTCGAACTCCTGTCCTCAGGTGATCTGGCCATCTCGGCCTCCCAAAGTGCTGGGATTACAGGCGTGAGCCACTGTGCCTGGCCTGAATGAGTAGCTTTAATGTGCCATGAATGTAATGAGTGGTCTTCCTAGAACAATAAATTATTTCAAAAGATACTCAGTCAACCAACAAATATTTATTGGGTGTGGACTATTTAACTCTGCGTTGAGCACCATGAAGAAAGGAAATACAGAAGAAAATTGAGCCATGGCCTCTGCCCTCTAGGAGCCTATCTGTATGGAGAGACAAAACTAAAACTTTAAGTAACATTTCAGATAAAACAGGATGTAACTGAAAGCATATGGCGATGACTAAAGGCTTAGGTTTTGAGAATAGTTTTGAGAATATTAAGATCAGTGTGGACTTTAGAGAAAGCTCTGTGGAGATGGTGGAAACCTGAGTTGGGTAGGATTTGTTTGTTTTGAGGAAAAGAAGACACAGTGCAGATAAGAGAAAAAAAGAATACAAATGCAGAAATGGCAGGTTTATGAAACTAGCAGTGTAATTAAAGATTCTTTTTTTTGAGACAGAGTCTTGCGGTGTTGCCCAGACTGGAGTGCAGTGGTGCTATCTCAGCCCACTGCAGCCTCTGCCTCCCGGGTTCAAGCGATTCTCCTGCCTCAGCCTTTTGAGTGGCTGGGACTACAGGCCTGCGCCACCATGCCCAGCCAATTTTTGTATTTTTAATAGAGACAGGGTTTTGCCATGTTGGCCAGGCTGGTCTTGAACTTCCAACTTCAGGTGATCCACCTGCCTCGGCCTCCCAAAGTGCTGGGATTACAGGCGTGAGCCACCACGCCCAGCCAAGTTAAAGATTCTTGATAGAGAATACAAAACTGAAATGTGCATACAAGTCACTTAGGGGTCTTGTTAAAATGCGTAATATGATTCAGTATGTCTGGGGTGATACAGCGTGAATTCCCAGTTTTGCAAATTATATTTTGTGTGGCAAGGATATCAAACCAGATGAACCCTGAAGTGTAGACACAGCCACAGGTGCAGTCCAAACATACAGGTAGAACCCAGGGGTACAGAGAATTCTGGAAGGAGTCAAGTAG
This sequence comes from Homo sapiens, assembly GCF_000001405.40. Taxonomy (NCBI): domain Eukaryota; kingdom Metazoa; phylum Chordata; class Mammalia; order Primates; family Hominidae; genus Homo; species Homo sapiens. Next base: position 57,255,178 of record NC_000003.12, read on the forward strand.
GTACTGCAGTATAGTTGGAAGAGGACTTGACTCTAGGACAGGAGCTGCCTGACCTCTGCCACTCTTAGTGGGCCTGTCTGTGCTATGGGAGTCCAGGCAACTCCTGGCTGATGATTTCAGCTGAGGCTGGGAGGGCTAATTTCTTTGGGAGGCTCTCACTCTTCTAAATTGTAATCTGCTGTTGATGTAATGGTGGATTAGATGGGAGGCCTAGACTAGTTTAGTAACTGATTGATATGAAGGATGAAAGAGATGACTAAGGTAAAGATGACTTCCAGGTTTTAAACCCAAGGGAAGAGAAGAAGAATTTGGGAAAGAAGAGTTCTGTTTTTATCTTAACGGCTTTGAGGTGCCAGCTAAGGAATGCCTAGGAGGAAGTTTTGAACCATAGAAACAAAATCTCATGACCTCCAAAATACTCGTAATTTGTTAGTTTTATAATGTTATTATATTTACATTGTAACATATTTATTACAATTATGTCTAATAAAATAAATTATGAGTTTAATTACGGAAAATCAGTGTTAACTATAGAGAAGGCTTTTGCTTTTAGTAATTTGATCTCCTGCCAATCTAGCTTTTCCTTTTTGTAAGGTTATTTGGGAACAACAAAAAATACCATTAAAATACAAATTAAATAATTTATTTTATCATTTAGGTCATACAGTGTTTGGATTTGAATAGTTTGTAATACTTACAGTCTTTTACTACCAATTATCAGAACTCTAATTTTTAGTTAATATTTCCTAGGTTATCCAGAATTATTTTATCTGTATTAGTGAGAATAGGAATTTTGATCAGTTTTTAGCATTGTATTAGTCATTTTGCTAACCATAAGACACAGAAGTGCAAAATTGTTATGTGATTATTTTTTCTAATTTAAAGACCATTTTTATGGAATAGTGCCTGTAGTCTCAACTACTCAGGAGGCTGAGGGGGGAGGATTGTTTGAGCCTAGGAGATCAAGGATGCAGTGAGCCATAATCATGCCATTGCACGCCAGCCTGGGCAATAGAGAACGTATCTCCCAAAAAAAGACCATTTAAAAAATTGTGAAAAAATCTGTAAATTTACCATGTTAACCATTTTTAAGTATACAGAAATGTTAACTATATGTACGTGATTAAAACAGATCTCTAATTTAAATACCATTTTTTATTTAGCCAGTATTTTAAATAAAACAGTAAGTCTAAAGTATTTCTTATGGAAAGCTTTCTTATTTTCAATTTTTTGGTCTGAAAATATGACAGCTTTATAAATTAATAAACAGATACTTCTGAGCATAAATATATTCTGGAAAATTGTGAAAACTTTACCAGCATAGTTATAAAATACTCATATTTTGTGAATATTTCCTATTCCTTCTAAATTTCTTTATTCAACAAATGTATCGATTGTCCATTGTGCCAGGCACTGGGCTGCATGTTAGCAATACAAACTTTAATAAAAAATATCTGGTAGTTAAAAATGTAAAGAAAACAATATTTTCTTTAAAAATTTAAAGTGTGCAACACTTGCAGGGAATTTTAAAAAATTAAAAAGCAATATCTAATAATTATGTATAAGTAGAAAATCAGATTTTTTTGCTAGATTATAGGAAGTAAGAGGAAATCAGTTATGTACCCTAATATTAAGACGAGGGAATATAGTACTACTTTAGTAGCTCTAATTTATATTTTAAGTGTAACTCAGAAGCATTCTAACAATTCAGAGTTACATTCAAACTTTTGGTTTGCTTACTTTACTAATATTAGTCCTTTTTTAAAAAAATTGAAATAGGAAACTGCTGCACGAGTAAATCAATCAGCTCTGGAAGCTGTCACTCCTTCCCCATCTTTCCAGCAGAGGCACGAGAGCCTGCGGCCAGCAGCAGGGTAAGTTACCACACTGAGTTATTTAAAGAAGGAGATGGGCTATTTAAAGTATCTGTGATCTGGGATTATGTTTGTACTGAAACTTAAGACTTCTCATTGACTTATAATATTGTGTTTTCTTTTTTCATAGTTTGTTAAATATTTAATATCCAAAAGGGAAAATTAAATGCAATGCCTTCTTGTTTTATGCTTAGACAATCTCGGCCACCGACAGCTCGAACCAGCAGTTCAGGATCCTTAGGATCTGAGTCTACAAATTTGGCTGCCCTCTCTCTAGATTCTCTTGTTGCCCCAGACACCCCAATACAGTTTGACATAATTTCTCCTGTGTGTGAAGATCAGCCTGGCCAGGCAAAAGCCTTTGGCCAGGGAGGCAGGTGGGTGATAGCATCACAGGTACATTGTGCTGTGGTCTGTAAGGCTTATAATCCCCTGTCTGCATTTCAGAGTCATCTCTTATTTATAATGTATATCAGCTATGTTGTACTTTCTTTGTTTAATTATGTAACATATTGTTAGGGAAGAACCATGCAGGTTTTTTTCTCTATGTCTTCTGCCTCAGTTAAGGAGTTAAGATAATTTAGTTTCCAAATATTTAATTCTGTATTGCTTATTAGGTCTATTTCTTGGATACTTGCTCTTAAAATTGCAGAAGAAAGTTGATAGCTGTCTTTAGGTCATGACAATTTTTAAAAAATTCTTGAGGGTAATACATGTGATATAGGTTTATTAGAAAATATTATCTTATACCAGAATAAGAAATCTTCAGGAAGTTACTAAAACATTATCACTATTATGAATTATGAATGAGTCATTGTTTAGTTGTATGATGAATATTCTCACCAAAGCAGTTAAAATTTTTCCTTGGCTGTGATTGAAGGAAACATGACTTAAGGCAAATCATTTATTAAGTAGAGTGGACACCTAATAAACTGATAATATATTAATTTGGATATACATGGCTGTGACCCAGAAAAAGTCATTTACATTTGATCACAGAAATACACTTAGCATTTGATGTAATAGGACACATACTAAAGAGATTAATTTCCTGTTATCTTACTGTCAGTGTTTTTTTAGAACCACTTAGCTCTCTGCTTCCAAAACCTACTTTGTTTTGTTTTGAGATGGGGTCTCACTCTGTTGCCCAGGCTGGAGTGCAGCGGCATGATCATAGCTCACTGCAGCTTTGACCTTCTGGGCTCAAGGGATCCACCTGCCTCACCCTCCTGAGTACCTGGGACCACAGGCGTGCGCCACCACACCCAGCTAATTTTTAAATTTCTTTGGTAGAGACGGGTTCTTCCTGTGTTGCCCTAGCAGATCTCAAACTCCCAGGGTCAAGCAGTCCTCCTGCCTCGGCCTCCCAAAGTGCTGAGATTACAGGTGTGAGCCACAATGCCCAGCCCTCCAAAACCTACTTTGAGTTGTACTTTTCTTCCTTCACTGTGGTGTGCCACAAGCCATGCACACTAAGGAGGAAGGTAGCTTCCATCTCCAGTTCACTTTTCTTTTTGCATTGTTACTTACGCTTTAAGAAATACAGGTTTAAAACTAGATTATAGGTAACTTGTAACATGTACTTACAGAACCTAAAAAGAAGTTTTTACAATTCCAGGACATTCTTGGCATTTTTCTCAAGCAACTAAGATTGCAGTTAAATAAGTGTTCCTCTGTGCTAGCTTATTTAAATTCAAGAACTTTTGCAACATGGTTTATTATGTTGATTTTTTGTTGTGTATGTCTAAACTTCCAATTCATCTGTGTCTTCTAAAGTGCACCAACATTGATCAGTTAGTGTGTGAGGGCAGAGGCCTTCATCATAGTAATTTAGTGATCAATAGTGTTTCTTAATAGGATGGGGCATTTTAGAGCTTTTTTTTTTTAAATGTTAACTGTGGTTTTAATAATTAGATTTCTTCTATGTGGCTCATGGTAACTGACCATGTGTTCATATTTTCTTCTAAACTTTTTAGGCGTACAAATCCATTTGGAGAATCTGGAGGAAGTACAAAATCTGAAACTGAAGGTAAGACAGATGTGCAGCATTCATATATTTTAGAACTGCTTCTCAGCAAACTGTGAATAATTTATTGTTTATATTTGCTCTGCTACTAAGCTCAGTTTTAATGCTATCTTTACTTCAGAATTTCCTCTACTTACTTATAGTACACTTGAAGCAACAGAACTTAATCTGACTTAAGATGTTGTGATTCATACAAAACGATAGACTCTCATACTTTTGACTTTATAGTCAAATTCAGTGCCTAAGATACCTTTCAAGCTTTTCCTAACAGCTGATGTTTCTCTTCTGGTACTGGAGCATAAATTTTGTTTTTCCGCCACTAACTATTTATTTGAATTCTAAACTTACAGAAATGCTGTAAGAACCACCAGTTGTTGTGTGTTTGTGTGTGTGTGTGTGTGTTGAGACAGGGCTCCCTATGTTGCCTAGGCTGGTCTCGAACTCCTGGGCTCAAGGGATCCTCCTGCCTTAGCCTCCCAAAGTGCTAGGATTACAGGTGTGAACCACCACGCCTGGCCTCAGAACTGCCAGTTGTTGAAGCATTACTTTTAGCTATTTGAATTTGAAACCCTAATTTTCCTATAACTTGGAATACTGTAGTTAGGAGTTATTTTGAAATGTCTCCCTTAGGCTGTTGAATTTTTCACTAGAAAACCTAAAAGGAGGCAGTGTATTTTATTCTTTTGGAAAAGAAATATGGCGAAAAAAATAAAATGTAAATTTATACAGTAAAAAAAAAATATGTAATACACCTTGTTCTATTATAGATTCTATTCTTCATCAGTTATTTATTGTCCGATTCCTTGGTTCAATGGAGGTGAAATCAGATGACCATCCAGATGTTGTTTATGAAACTATGCGCCAAATCTTAGCTGCCCGGGCCATCCATAACATCTTTCGTATGACAGAATCGCATTTATTAGTCACTTGTGACTGTTTAAAGTAAGTAAAACCCTCCCTTAAAAAACTGTAGAAAAAACATTTACATGATTTCAGCCTAATTAAAATTTGTTTTCCAATTTTTAAATTATTATTTTAGGTTAATTGATCCACAGACACAAGTTACAAGGCTCACGGTGAGTTCCACATGATTTAAGCTTTGTTTTAGGTCCCTTTGTATATATACACATCTTACAACTTGATAATAATCCTGATCCTGTATATTCAAGTGTGATAGTATCAGCTATGATTGGTCTTTGGCTGTTGTAGTTAAGTCTATGGCCATCTCCAAAAAGTTGTCATTGAACATTTTATGTAACTTAAAAGAATTAACACAATTCTTTTTGTAATTTTTTTAACACAGTTCTTTTTGACTTTGTAAAATGTGTTAATGACTAATAAAACAAATGTAATATTCAACAACCTTTTTCTGCTTGTTAATTCAAACCAAATATGACATTACTTGTTTCTGCATTACAAGTCTGTTAAAATAATTGGCTTTAATATATTAAAATATTTATATTTTTAGAACTTAGCATATGAGTTTGTCACAAGTGCTGCTGTAATGACTTGTAAGATCTCATGTTTGCTTCTGATGTTTTCTGTGGCAGTTTCCATTACCTTGTGTAGTTTTGTATGCTACACACCAGGAAAATAAGCGCCTTTTTGGATTTGTTCTTCGGACATCAAGCGGGAGAAGTGAAAGTAATCTGTCATCAGTCTGCTATATATTTGAGTCAAACAATGAGGGGGAAAAGGTACATGGCTTTTCAGAATATCTCTGTCATAACCACTTACTAATTGATTCTTACTAAGATTTAATAATAATTAAATTCTTACAAATTAAATTAGTTAGTAATTACTGATTGAATTCTTTACAATTTATACAAATTTATGAGGCACATGTGAATTTTGTTACATGTATAGAATGTACAGTAAGCAAGTCAGGGTATTTAGGGTGTCCATCATCCAAGTACAATACATTTTTGTGAAGTATAGTCACCCTACTCTGCTGTCAGATATTAAATATATTCTTTCTATCGTAATTTATGGTTGTACCCTTTAATCAGCTTTTCTTCATCCTCCCCCTTTCCTCATCACTCAGCCTTCCCAGTCTCTGTTGTCTGTCATTCCACACTCTGCCTCCACGTGATCAATTTTTTGGCTCCCACATACAAGTGAGAACATGTGATATTTGTCTTTTTGTGCCTGGCTTATTTCACGTAAGATAATGACTTCTAGTTCCATCCACGTTGTTGTGAATGACATGATTTCATTCTTTTTATGGCTGAATAGTACTCCATTGTGTATATGTACCACATTTTCTTTATTCATTTATCTGTTAATGAACATTTAGATTGACTTAATATCTTTGCTATTGTGAATAGTACTACAGTAAACATGTGAGTGCAGGTATCCTTTTGATACAGATTTCTTTAATTTTGGGTAGATACCCAGTAGTGGGATTGTTGGATCGAATGGTAGTTCTATTTTTAGTTTTTGTTGTTGTTGTTGTTTTTGAGACGGAGTTTCACTCTGTCGCCCAGGCTGGAATGCAGTGGTGCGATCTTGGCTCACTGCAACCTCTGCCTCCTGGGTTCACGCCATTCTCCTGCCTCAGCCTCCCGAGTAGCTGGGATTACAGGTGCCTGCCACCATGCCCGGCTAATTTTTTGTATTTTTAGTAGAGACGGGGTTTCACCGTGTTAGCCAGGATAGTCTTGATCTCCTGACCTCGTGATCTGCCTGCCTCAGCCTCCCAAAGTGCTGGGATTACAGGCGTGAGCCACCATACCCGGTCTATTTTTAGTTTTTTGAGAGATCTCCATACTGTTTTCCATAGTGGTTGTACTAGTTTATGTTCCCACCAACAGTGTATGAGTTCCCCTTTTTTCTGCATTTCACCAACATCTGCTATTTTTTGTCTTTTTAGTGATAGCCATTCTGACTAGGGTAAGAATGGCTCATTGTCATTTTGATTTGCATTTCTCTAATGATTAGTAATGTCGAGCATCTTTTCATATACCTGTTGGCTGTTTTTGTGTCCTTTAAGAAATGCATATTCATATCCTCTGCATACTTTTAAGTGGGATTATTTGATTTTTTCCCTGTTGAGTTCGTTGTATATTCTGGATATTAGTCCCCAGTTGGATGAACAGTTTGCAAATAATTTCTCCCATTCAACAGGTTGTCTGTTTACTCTGTTATTTCTTTGGCTATGCAGACACTTTTTAGTTTAAGTCCCATTTGTTTATTTTTATTGCCTATACTTTTGAGGTCTTAGGCATAAAATCTTTGCCGAGACCAATGTGCAGGAGAGTTTTCCCTTCATTTTCTTCTAGTGTTTTTTTTTTCTATGGAAAATAACCTTTTTTTTTTTTTTTTTTTTTTTTTGAGACAGACTCTTGCTCTGTTGCCCAGGCTGGAGTGCAGTGGCACAATCTTGGCTCACCGTAACCTCCACCTCCTGGATTAAAGTGATTTTCCTGCCTCAGCTCCCAAGTAGCTGGGACTACAGTTGTGTGCCACCATGCCCGGCTAATTTTTTTAGTAGAGACAGGATTTCACCATGTTGGCCAGGCTGGTCTTGAACTCCTGACCTCAAGTGATCCACCTGCCTTGGCCTCCCAAAGTGCTGGGATTACAGGCATGAGCTGCCACACCCAGCTGGAAAAAGAACCTTTAATAGAACAATTATTGAGAATATCGTACTAACAAAGTTTCTCAAGAGACTAATTAGAGCTAAAATGGTGAAAGTAGGATGATCTTTGTTTTTCGTTTTTTGTGGGTACAAGGGGTGTGTGTGTGTGTGTGTGTGTGTGTGTGTGTGTATGCATTTTTTTTTTTTTTTCCAGATGGAGTCTTGCTGTGTCACCTGGGCTGGAGTGCAATGGCGCGATCTTGGCTCATTGCAACCTCCGCCCCCTCGGGTTTAAGCGATTCTCCTGCCTCAGCCTCCTGAGTAGCTGGGTCTATAGGCATGCGCCACCACGCCCAGCTAATTTTGTATTTTTAGTAGAGACAGGGTTTCTCCATGTTGGTCAGGCTGGTCTCAAACTCTCGACCTCAGATGATCCGCCTGCCTCGGCCTCCCAAAGTGCTGGGATTACAGGTGTGAGCCACCTCGCCCAGCCAGGTGTATATATTTATGCAGTACATGAAATATTTTGCTACACTTATGCAATGCGTAATAACCACATCATGGAAAATGGAGTATTCCTTCCCTTAAGCATTTATCCTTTGTATTAGAAACAATCCAATTATACTCTTTTAGTTATTTTTAAATGTACAATTATTATTGACCGTAGTCCCCCGTTCTATCAAATACCAGGTTTTATTCATTCTATTTTTTTTTTTTAATCATTAACCATCCTCCCACCCCCCATCCCCACACTACCCTTCTCAGCCTCTGGTAACCACCCTTCTGTTCTCTGGCTCCATGAGTTCAATTGTTTTGATTTTTAGATCCCACAGATAAGTGAAAACATGCAATATTTGTCTTTCTGTGCCTGGCTTATTTTGCTTAACATAATGACCTCCATGTTCCATATATCTTATTGCAAATGACAGAATCTCATTCTTTTTTATGGCTGAATAGTACTCCATTGTATGTAAGTACCACATTTTCTTTATCCATTTTCTTTATCCATGTATCATCCATTCAAATGACAGAATCTCATTCTTTTTTTCTGGCTGAATAGTACTCCATTGTGTGTGTGTGTACATTTTCTTTATCCATTCATCTGTTGTTTTTTTTTTTTTTCCATTCATCTGTTGATGGACACTTAGGTGGCTTCCAAGTTTTAACTATTGTGAACCGAGCTGCAGCAAACATGGGAGTGCAGATGTCTCTTCAATATACTGATTTCCTTTTTTTAGGTATATACCCAGCAGTGGGATTGCTGGATCATATGGTAGCTCTATTTTTAGTTTTTTGAGGAACCTCCAGACTTTTCTCCATAGTGGTTATACTAATTTACATTCCCACCAACAGTGTACAAGGGTTCCCTTTTCTCCACATGCTTCCCAGCATTTGTTATTGCCTTTTTGCTATAAGCCATTTTAACTGGGGTGAGATGATACATTGTAGTTTTGATTTGCATTTCTCTGATGATCAGTGATGTTGAGGACCTTTTCATATGCCTGTTTGCCATTTGTATGTCTTCTTTTGAAAAATGTCTATTCAAATATTTTGCCCAGTTTTAAATCAGATTAAGGTTTTTCCTATAGAGTTGTTTGAGCTCTTTGTATATTCTGGTTATTAATCCCTTGTCAGATGAGTAGTTTACAAATATTTTCTCCCATTCTGTGGCTTGTTTCTTCACTTTGTTGATTGTTTCCTTTGCAGTGCAGAAACTTTTTAACTTGATGAGATCCCATTTGTCCATTTTTGCTTTAGTTGCCTGTGCTTGTGGGGTATTACTCAAGAAATTTTTGCCCAGACTGATGTCCTGGAGAGTTTCCCCAATATTTTCTTGTAGTAGTTTCATAGTTCAAGGTCTTAGATTTAAGGCTTTAATCCATTTTAATTATATTTAAAAAAATTTAAAAAAAAATAAAAAAAATAAAAAAAAATTTTTTTAAAAAATATTTTTGTATATGGTGAGAGAGAGGGGTCTAGTTTTATTCTTCTACATATGGATATCCAGTTTTCCCGGCACCATTTATTGAAGGGACTGTCTTTTCCCCAATGTATATTCTTGGTGCCTTTGTCAAAAATGAGTTCGCTGTAGTTGTGTGGATTTGTTTCTGGATTCTCTATTCTGTTGCACTGGTCTATGTGTCTTTTTTTTTTTTTTTTGCCAGTACCATGCTGTTTTGGTTACTATAGCTCTGTAGCATTGTAATTTGAAGTCAGGTAATGTGATTTCTCTAATTTTGTTATTTTTGCTCAGAATAACTTTGGCTATTCTGAATCTTTTATGATTCCATATACATTTTCAGATTGTTTTTTCTATTTCTGTGAAGAATGCCATTGGTTTTTTGATAGGGATTGCATTGAATCTATAGATTGCTTTGGGTAGTATGGACATTTTAACAATATTGATTCTTCCAATCCATGAACGTGGAATATGTTTCCATTTTTGGTGTCCTCTTCAATTTCTTTCATCAGTGTTTTATAGTTTTTTGTTTTTTTTGTTTGTTCTTTTGAGACAGAGTCTCATTCTATTGCCCAGGCTGGAGTGCAGTTGCATAATCTCGGCTCACTGCAATGTCTGCCTCCCAGGTTCAAGTAATTCTCATGCCTCAGCCTCCCAGGTACCTGGGATTACAGGTATGCGCCACCACCACCTGGCTAATTTTTGTATTTTTAGTAGAGATGAGGTTTCACCATATTGGCCAGGCTGGTCTCAAACTCCTGGCCTCAAGTGATCCACCTGTCTCGGCCTCCCAAAGTGCTGGGATTACAGGCCTGAGCCACTGCGCCCAGCCTGTAGTTTTCATTATAGAGATCTTTCACTTTGGTTAACTCCTGGGTATTTAATTTTATCTGTGGCTATTGTAAGTGAGATTACTTTATTTATTTCTTTTTCAGATTGTTCACTGTTGGCATATAGAAATGCTACTAATTGTTGTATGTTGATTTTGTATCCTGAAACTTTACTGAATTCATCAGTTCTAATAGTTTTTTGGTGGAGTCTAGGTTTTTCTAAATATAAGATCATCATATCATCTGCAAACAAGGATAGTTTGACTTCTTCCTTTACAATTTGGATGCCTTTTTTCCTCTCTTACCTGATTACTCATCTTCCATCTAAAAGGTGGAAAGGCTTTTTGTTTTTCTGCATTCAGTATGATACTAGCTGTGAGTCTGTCATATATGGCTTTTATTATGTTGAGCTATATTCCTTCTATACCAAGTTTTTTTGAGGGTTTTTAATCATGAAGGGATGTTGAACTTTATCAAATGCATTTTCAGCAGTAATTGAAATGATTAAATAGTTTTTGTCCTTTATTCTGTTGATGTGATGTAGCATATTGATTGATTTGCATATGTTGAACTATCTTTGCATTCCTGGGATAAATCCCACTTGGTCATGATAAATGATCTTTTTAATGTGTTGTTGAATTTGGTTTGCTAGTATTTTGTTGAGGATTTTTGCATCAATATTCATGAGATATATTGGCCTGTAGTTTTCTTTTTTTGATATGTCTTTGTCTGGTTTTGGTATCAGGTAATACTGGCCTCGTAGAATGAGTTTGGAAGTATTCCCTTCTCCTCTATTTTTTGGAACATTTTGGGTAAGATTGGTATTAGTTCTTCTTTAAATGTTTGGTAGAATTCAGCAGGAAAGCCATCAGGTACTGGGCTTTTCTTTACCAGGAGACTTTTTATTATGGTTTGGATCTTGTTACTTGTTATTGGACTGTTCAGGTTTTGGATTTCTTCGTGGTTCAATCTTGGTAGGTTGTATTTGTCTAGGAATTTATCCATTTCTTCTTGATTTTCCAATTTACTAGCATGTAGTTGCTCATAGTAGCCACGAATGATCCTTTGAATTTATGCAGTATCAATTGTAATGTCACCTTTTTAATCTCCAATTTTATTTGAGTCTTCTTTTTCTTAGTCTGGCTAAATGTCAGTTTTATCTTTTCAAAGAAACCAACTTTTTGTTATGTTGATCTTTTGTATTGTTTTCTTCATGTCAGATTCATTTATTTCTGCTCTGATCCTTATAATTTCTTGTAGTATTTTTATAGTTTTGGGTCTTATGTTTAAGTCTTTAATGTATTTTGAGTTGATTTTTGTGTATGGTGAGAGGGAGGGGTCTGGTTTCATTCTTCTACATGTGGCTCTCCAATCTTGCCAGAACCATTTATTGAAGAGGATATCCCTTCCCCAGTGAAAGTTCTTTGTCACTTTTGTTAAAGATCAGTTGGCTGTAAACAAGTGGCTTCGTTCCTGGGTTCTCTATTCTGTTCCATTGGCCATGTGTCTTATTTTTATAACAATCCCCTGCTGTTTTGCTTACTATAGCCTTGTAATATATTTTGAAGTTAGGTAATGTGATGCCTCCAGCTTTGTTCTTTTTGTTTAAGATTGCTTTGGCTATTTGCATTGAACCTATAGATTGCTTTGGGCAATATGGTTATTTTAACTATATTATTCTGATCCATGAGCATGGGATGTTCTTTTGTGTCTTCAGTCTCTTTCATCAGTGTTTTGTAGTTTTTTGTGTAAATAAAATTCTTATATAATTCTAAGATTTTTGGAAAAAACTCCCAAATTTTGCCTAGGCTTACTGAGCTGCTTGAGCAAAGCATCTCTGAATAGAGCCAAGCTGATGGTTTGGGCCTTCTGACTCTACAGACCCATGTTTTCCCTGCCACTGATAGCTGGTGCAATCTTTTAGCCTCTCATTTATGTTGGGAACCAAACATTATGTTGGGAACCAAAACCAGCCATTTTCAGATGTCTTCAGCTGAGAATAGCATTAGCAGCTGCATGCTTCTTCCTCGTAGGCCTTACTGTGACAGTAATGAATTTGACATAACAAGAAGTGGGGTATATATGAAGGTGAGAGTCAGCAGTGGAATCCTGTAGACTTCAAGGAAAACATACAAAGCCTTGGTTTGGGGGCTTGAGCATTCTTAAATATGCTTTTGCTTGAAGCAATGTATTAGGATTAGTTATAAAACTAGTTCCATCAGTTATTTGGATACTTGACATTTTTGCTTTGTTGTGAGAACTGCCTGAATTTTTCATACTTTTTCTCTTTTTAGATATGTGATTCTGTTGGACTGGCAAAACAGATAGCTTTGCATGCTGAACTGGTAAGAATCCAAGATGTGGCTGGGCACAGTGGTTCACACCTGTAATCGCAGCACATTGGGAGGCCGAGGCGGGCAGATGACTTGAGGTCAGGAGTTCGAGACTAACCTGGCCAACATGGTGAAACCCCATTTCTACTAAAAATACAAAAATTAGTTGGGTGTGGTGTCGTGCACCTGTAATCCCAGCTACTGAGGAGGTCTGAGGCACGAGAATGACTTGAATCCGGGAGGCGGAGGTTGCAATGAGCCGAGATCACACCACTGCACTCCAGCCTGGGCAACAGAGCGAGACTGTATCTCAAAAAAAAAAAAGGAATCCAAGATGCTTGATTTTCCAAGAATGTTAACTAAAATAGTATATTAGCTCTTTCATATTAGCAAGTAAATAAAATGATTTTGCTAAGCAAGGTTAACAGTGATACTATTACCAACATAGCATTTAGAATTTGGATAATTGTTTACCATTGAATATAAACTGTTGATGTGCTTTCTTATGTATAAATGCAAAAAAATATTGAAAGGTTACCATGTGATATTAACTGAAATGTCTAAAATTTAAAGTTATTTCATATTTAATTCATTAGTTTTATTCATCTGTTCTTTAGGATCGTAGGGCATCAGAAAAACAAAAAGAAATAGAGAGAGTAAAAGAGAAGCAACAGAAAGAACTCAATAAACAAAAACAGATTGAAAAGGTATACAGTCCTAATGTCTGGATCTTTATGTGTTGTTTGTGAAGACTTAATTCAGCACTATGACTTTCAGATTTGAATTTCCAAATGAAGGGCTGTTTCTGCTTGTTCAGCCACTTCATAAACAGATGATTCATACCATAGCAGAAAAGGGTCACATCTGTTTTTTGATATGATGTTTACATTATAGTTACGTTGACATGTAATATGACTGTTTCAAAAATATACCAGAACTTTAATATTTCAGAGGAGGTTGTCTCTGTCAAAGCAGTTGAGAGGCTGTGTAGACTTAACTGCCATTGCTGAAAGCCATTTTGCCTTCTATGGGGGGGAAATAAATAAATATATATGTTATATGAAATATATAATGAAATGTATATTTTTAATATTGCCAGGAGTGTCAAATCATTGTCCATCCAACAGAATAATTTTAAAAGACAAATTTCAGAGCAAAACTTGAAGAATGCATTAAATGATCCATGAAATTGTAAGAGCGTGTTATGGGTTGTAGATTGACAGTAGGAATAGAAAAGAGGAGACAGCTGGGATGCTTAGAACAGATCAATAAGCATTGGCTGTGGGCTGGCTCTCTGGACAAAGAAGAGGGAAGTGGCAAAGATGACATTGAAGTGAGGCTTTCTTGATAGGCGAGGCTGAGGGAAGGTGACACCTGATTTAGCAAAGATGAATTGGACAGGGATGGAGAAAAGGGCTGGAGAGGGGAAGGGAAAGGAGTGTGGGGGTGATCCCTTTCGAGGGTTTTACTATAATATATAGTGAGAGATGATTGATGATGGGCTTTATTTGGTTGTTGGTCATAAAAAAAGAAAGATAAAATATTAGATTTTAGTTTGAATGCTGGCTTTTATAGGATGGTGCCAAAATTCATTTTGGTGTTGTATTGTTTGGGTGTAGCTTTTCTTTTTATCAAGTTGTCAGAAGTATGCATACATATTTATGACAGAAGAAGTGGCTCTCAAGAATGTATCTTAACTGCATAATTTGCCATTTGACTGCAGACAAGTAACTTAGTTTCTTTTTTGTCTTTTCCACTAGGACTTGGAAGAACAAAGTCGGTTGATAGCTGCTTCCAGTAGACCAAACCAAGCCAGTAGTGAGGGGCAGTTTGTTGTCCTTAGCAGTAGCCAGTCAGAAGAGAGTGATTTGGGAGAAGGAGGAAAGAAGAGAGAATCAGAAGCATAAGCTTATACTTTTGGTAGATATTCCCCCTTGGAATTTGACAGTTTCTATGGTGAAATGGCAGAAGGTAACAACTATGTTGAAATATCAAGGAGGAGATTAAGCTTTATATTTGCTTATTTGTTGTAGCTACATTTTAAAAAAAAGATTGAACTTGATGACTTAGGTTTGCATTGATCTTTTTTCCCCCTTAAACATAATGTACTATGTATTAACATCTAAAGGAAACCTGCTCATCTCCCTGAAGCAGACTGCTGAGGAATTACATTTGCTCAAGAATTTTTTCCGTCAAATTGTGAACTTTTAATTCTTGCATTGTAATTGGCTGTGTCCATAAGAAATCATTTATTCTTCAGGCTTAGACATTCATGGATATGCTTTTCTTTCATTAGGAACATTTTGCTGGTGATGAGGAAGCATTTAGCTGAATAAGTTTAAAGCCCTTTATACAGAGAATTCTACAAGTTTGCAAATATTTTAACAATATTAAATGTGCAATAGAACTTTTATAAAATAATTAGAACAGAGATTTTACAGTTAAGGTTTCAAATTGTGGCAGGTGGTACTGTTGATCTCAGGGTACTTTCTGGGATTGCTCACATTTCTCTAATGTACTGCACTTGATGCCAGTAGGAAAGAAGCTTAAGTGTCTTCAGTTCAAGATTGATAGAGCCCTTGGCATTTTATTATCACATTCTTAGTTCTCAGGTTGGGACTTCAATTACTGCTGCAGAGCAGTAGTGGTTAAAAATAAGATATTGGAATTTATTAAAAGATTTTTGTTCAATACATTTTAGATTAGGATTGACAAGTAAAGATACTGCTATGGAATGATACATTGTATTTTCTGCATTGTGTGAAATAGTTTTTATTGAAAGTCAAGTGACATTTCAAAAGAAGTTCTATAACAATTATGTTTCATGCTTAAAGTAAAAATTCCCAGAGTTTAGTTTAGAAAATGTAATCTTTTAAATTTCAGACTGATATATTCCCAGTATTTTCATAATGCCATGTTTTGATAAAGTACTGAATCACCACTTTATATCCACAAAGGCAAATAACTAATGTATGATAATAGAATAATTTGCACTAATTATTGTAAATATGTCTACTCTTCAAATGAGTAAAAGGTCCAATTTTGTGAAAGATTGAAAATGAATTGAATGCCTAGTAGAGTATAGGAGAAGTTGACCAAGGAAGGATTTAACCTGGTGCCAAGGTTAAAATAACATTTCTCTACTGCCTATTGTTTATGTTAAACCTTAATTTTTTTTCTGTAATCACTTTTAACACTGCTAATAGAAATTATGTTTTCATGTGTTTCACATGAAAAAGTATATATATACAAAGTTAATATAGTGGGTAAAATACTTTACATAGTCACACATTTACAAATTTTTCAAGAGGTTAGCCACTAAGACTTTAATAATTTTACAAGGGAAAAAGCCTTTTTTTTTCTTTGATATACAGTTTTTTCTTCTTAGTTCTGCATTAGAAATGGCATCTGTTTTAGGTCTCAAAATATAACTCAGCTGTTTCACACTGTATATGTACATTGTTTTCTGTAGGAATAGGATAATGATATATAGGATCATGATATTCCTTCTATCCATGTGCCAAATGGGTGTAATGTTTATTTACTGATGCTTTATGTTACCAAAACATACAGTAAAAAAGTAGAAATTTATGAAATACTTTTGATAAAAAGTTTATTTTGTGCTTACCAAAAGGAATGCTTTCACAATAGTGTATCAGTTCTTTTGTTTTGTTAAAGTTGGAATTTATTCTGTTGCCAGCATTTAAGTAGTCATGGCAAGTCCTGTTTTTAAGACCTTTTGGAGACTGGAGCTTTCTGTTCCATTAAGTCTTTTGTTTATACTACAAATTGTCACCTCACTTAGTTCAGATGAAATCTGTTACTCTACAAGGAAGGTGTTCATCATTAGGAGGCAGCTTTACTAAGCTGGTGCTTTGCATGGTAGCAAGTGCTGCCCTTTATCAGCACCCTGGGTCATAGTGTAGGCTAGAGTTAAGGCACTGGCAGACTTAGGGATGCTGGACAGACCTGTAGTTCGTTTTAAGTCATGTTCACAGGAATTTCTACAATAATAAACCCATCATCTCCATAGGTCAGATCGAAGTGCATTCCAATGCTAAATAGAAGTTATGAGTGGGTTTAACAATTTTAGATGATTCAGCTTTTGTTCCATTACTGTTGAACTATATGAACTATTCCATTACTGCAGAGATTTAAGTATCTGTTTTAATAAGCTCTTTTTGTTATTTAAAGGCTGCCCATGGGTTTCTGCCTAGTGGTAAAGCTGATTGTTACCCTCCTTTGAAATCCCTTCTAGTTCTGAGATGCTTTGAGGGTAACTGGATTCGATTTTGGGATATCTTTTCTCACATTCAGACTTACACTTAATGGTGTTAGAAATCAACAAAACTCCTTTTTAAAAAGAAAAGATATTAAGCCTGCCTACTTCTACAATGCATTCTGTTACCTATTTGAACAGTATGTTTGTAACTATGGCAATGAAGTCAGTAGATAGGAAACCAGTTATTCCTTCTACCTTTAAAAATTTTGAGAACTTGCCAACCAGGGATTAAAGCTATTATCTTGAACAGAGTCCCTAAAGCTAGTCTAGTTTTTGCCACATCTGCAATGATTATTGTTTAATTTCAAAAGAATCCTCAGGCTCTACAATCTAGGGGTGGTAAATGTGTTTCCACTATACTTGGGAAAAGGTCAGTAGGATGTGCATCCTAGGGAAGATAAAATCGTATATGGTAAAGGCATTTGAGTTAATTTTGCATTATATCTAGGAACCATATTATTTAAAATTTGAATCCTATTAATGCTGAGAGATCCTAAGAGCTAGTATGTTGTAAAACCTGCCACCTGAATAAAATGAAAAAAAAAGTGTTTTTTTGAGACAGAGTCTTGCTCTGTTGCCCAGGCTGGAGTGCAGTGGTGTGATCTTGGGTCACTGCAAACTCCGCCTCCCAGGTTCACGCCATTCTCCTGCCTCAGCCTCCCGAGTAGCTGGGACCACAGGGGCCCACCACCGCGCCCGGCTAATTTTTTGTATTTTTAGTAGAGACGGGGTTTCACCGTGTTAGCCAGGATGTTCTCGATCTCCTGACCTCATGATCCGCCCGCCTCGGCCTCCCAAAGTGCTGGGATTACAGGCGTGAGCCACCGTGCCCGGCCCTAAAATGAAATTATTAATGTTGGTTCTGAAACAGCCTCTTAGCATTCAGATTGTATTTTAAATACTTAAACACACCAATTGTAGAAAGCAACCCTTTATTTTTAGCAAGTTTGGTTTACTCTTCTCCCATGAGATTTTGTCTTTCTACATTAACTAGTAAGACATAAAGATTTGAAACTGGAACTATATTATACTTTTTAACCAATCTCTGTGGCTTCACTCATGAAATTTACTTCAGTTAATATGAGACTGGGGGTTAAGTTGTAACTAATATGCAAAATTGCTTTGTATATTTGGTGATTTTGTAATGTAAGTGAATTGATTCTTATTTCACTGATACTATTAATCATGCAGTGTACAATTCAAAATCATGCAATGTTTCACTTTAGAATTGGATTTGAAGAACTCGACTTTATGTGATCATGGTATTGGTATACATGTGGGGTGGAGAACTTATTTTTTCATTTTGTCACAATAGGTATATACTGACAAGGCTTCAGGAAAAAAGTTGTTAGAAGATTTTTTAATGTATAATAAAGTCCATGATTTTTGTACAGTGTTTTTTAATGAAATATTTGATACTCTGAACTTTATTTCTCAAAGTAATTTCAGATGTTTGTAAAACAATGGACTTCTTAAGCTGTTATGACATTATAAATTATACAGCTAGCCCAACTATAATTCCACAGCAGCTAAAATGAAAAAAAAAAGTCACTTTATTGGGAAAAGTTTGTTATAGAAGCAAACTAATCGATCACTGGTGACTGTTTTTCTTTTAGCAAAGGAAAAAGACTTCATTAATTGACGTATACTTGCTACTGTTTGGTCCTACTTACAGAAATTCCTCTAATTTACAGGGGCAGGTTATTGTGCATACCACAGTATAGCTTGGATTTGTAATTTCAATACTAATGCATATTCATCCCATGTGCTCTTTATAGTTTCTTATGTCAATTAGTTACTTTCTTCTGGGATTTAGTGTTTTGTCTTGGATTTTATAGAAATGTATATATACTTTTAGAAGGTACAGGGAATAGATGAAATTAACTTTAGAATTATATAATTTATCTGATATAAGTGCATGTATAGCCTAAATATATTTCTATATTGAAAGATATAATCTACCACTCACTTACCAGTTTGATTTAAAAAATAACTATTCATGTCAGCTATATAAATTTTTTAATGTAAAAAAACTATAAAAATAATTTAAAGTCTGTGCTTACTGAAATAGTCTATATAGCCATTAATCCCTACACTAGAAAAAAAATCATATAGCTTCAGTTTCCCTAGAATGGACTATCTAATTCTTTTAAAAAGTACCAAGACTAAACATGTAAACATCAAGGCCATAGCTGACTGGGCTGTAGTGAAAATGGACGATATCATTCTACCTGTTTTCCCTGTTGATATGGCTTCTAAATGTGACACAAGTATGGTTGAATGAATGTCTTTTTCAGTTTCTTTCCTCACTTTCCACACATAGAAATGTATACTTACAGGCCTGGCACACTGGCTCATGCCTGTAATCCCAGCACTTTGGGAGGCCAAGGCAGGCAGATCACTTAAGGTCAGGAGGTCGAGACAGCCTGACCAACATGGTGAAACCCCATCTCATCTCTACTAAAAATACAAAAATTAGCTGGGTGTGGTGGCACACTCTTGTGATTCCAGCTACTCGGGAGGCTGAGACATGAGAATCTCTGGAACCCAGGAGGCAGAGGTTGCAGTGAGCTGAGATTGCACCACCACACTCCAGCCTGGGTGACAGGGCGAGACTCCATCTCAGAAAAAGGAACCTATACTTACATGCAGTTTGAAATATACAGAAATAAAAATTTAACGTAACTGCCATCGGTGAGCCTCTTCATGTCCATTATCAGGCTAGGTTCAATACAGAAACCATAAGCCATCATTCATTTGAAAACACTTGTAATTCCAATTCCAGTGATCACATTAACCGGTAAATGGTCAGCCATAGCCAGGATTTTGTGGAAAGAAGGGACACACATTTCTCAATATTGAAATTTCAATTGAGGGTTCTATTTCAATTAAATGAATTACCCTACCTCTGTACTTGACTCTACAAAGAAACAGTAATAGACACTAAGCTGGTATTGGGACTTTCCCACAAGAACAGCAAACTCCTGAGTCATGTACTGGGGTAAGTATATATTCAGTCCAATCACTGAAATGTACAGTAGGCCCCTTATCGCTGGTTTCCCTTTGTGTGGTTTCAGTTACCTGCGGCCCAAAACTATTAAAAGGAGGCTGGGCACGGTGGCTCATGCCTGTAATCCCAGCATTTTGGGAGGCCAAGGCGGGCGGATCACCTGAGGGTCAGGAGTTCAAGACCAGCCTGGCCAACATGATGAAACCCCGTTTCTACTAAAAATACAAAAATTAGCCGGGCATGGTGGTGTACACCTGTAATCCCAGCTACTCGGGAGGCTGAGGCACAAGAATCGCTTGAACCCGGGAGGCAGAGATTGCAGTGAGCTGAGATCATGCCACCGCAGTCCAGTCTGGGTGACAGGACAAGACTCCATCTCAAAAAAAAAAAAAAAAAAGTATTAAGATGAAAATCTCAGAAATACATAATTTATGAGTTTTAAATTGCACACCATTCTGAGTAACATGATGAAGTCTCTCACCATCCTGCCTTGTCCCACCTGGGACCTGAGTCATCCCTCTGTCCAGTGTATCCACACTGTAGGGCATGCATGTACAGTTGTATGTTGCTTAACAACTGGCTTAAAGATGTGGATACCTACTGAGAGATGTGTTTTTAGGTGATTTTGTCATTGTGCAAACATAGAATCACTTATACAAACCTAGATGGGATGGTATACTACACACTAGGCCATGTGTTATATAGCCTGTTGCTCCCGGGCTACAAGCCTGTACAGCATGTTACTGTACTGAATAGGCAATTATATAGTAAATATATATTTAAACATAGAAAAGGTACAGTAAAAATAAGCATTATAATCTTTATGGGACCACCATTACATATGTAGTCCAATGATGACTGAAACATTGTATGATACGTAACTGTAGGAAAAAATACAGTATGTTTAGGGTTCTGTACTAACCCCGGTTTCAGGCTTCCACTGAGGGTCTTGGAACGTATCCTCTGAAGATAAGGGAGACTACTGTATTATATATACTTCTCTATAAAAAAGATACTGCAGTGAGTTATCTTGACTTGTCAGAAGTGGCATCTATTCTTTTGAGCACATAGACATTGGATTTATACACTTAATTAAAACTGGTGTATTTCAGTTAATTGAAATTTTTACTATTTGGGTTTTTTTTTTTTTAACTGCCTAGAGAATGCTAGTCATTTATATGTTGAGAGGCTATGTTCAAAGCTACTTTAAAAAATTTTTTTTTTCTTTTAGAGATGGGGTCTTGCTCCGGTCACCTAGGCTGGAGTGCAGTGGCGTGATCACAGCTCACTGCAGCCTTGACCTCCCAAGGTGAAGCAATCCTCCTGCCTCAGCCTCCCAAGCAGAGCTACTTTTTAAAGGACTTAGACTGCATTGAGATTTTAGTTGGTGGGTAAAGCAAAAAATATGAATCATACATAAGTGAAATTTTAAGGAATACAGCTGCAAAATTATACCTTTTCCATTAGAATGGTTTGATTACCAGGTTCCTGTAAAAATTCCTTGTCCATAAAGGTCGTATTCTTTGTAAAGGACATATGCTTTTAGACGATTGGGTAATGGAAGAAATGACATGAAGACAGGGCAGCGCAAATGTAACCGTCCCATGCATTTCCGGATCTTTAGGCGGCACAAATGTTTTAGGGAGCGAGGGTTTGCTAAAAAGAAAAGGCACATTATCCAAAGAGAAAAAGAACTTTTTTTTTAGTATCTTAGGGTTTTGTTAGCAAACGTATTTGATAGCATTTCATTTGCTGTTACTAAATGGCAAAGTCAATAGGGAAACAGTTTTTCAGTTCTTATTGCAATCCTTGTTGTAGATATGGTTCCAGAGCCATGTCAAGTTAGAATCCAAAGACTGGCATCAATCATGGATCTGGCCTGTGAGATCTGAAGTTCTTAAATCTGCATGTGGCCAGGCGGGGTGGCTCATGCCTGTAATCCCAGCACTCTGGGAGGCCGAGGCAGGTGGATCATTTGAAGCCAGGAGTTCGAGACCAGCCTGGCCAACATGGTGAAACCCCGTCTCTATTAAAAATACAAAAATTAGCTGGGCGTGGTGACTGCATGCCTGTAATCTCAGCTACTCGTGAGACTGAGGCAGGAGAATCGCTTGAACCCAGGAGGCAGAGGTTGCAGTGAGCTGTGATTGCACCACTGCACTCCAGCCTGGTTGACACAGACTCTGTCTCAAAAAAAAAAAAAAAAAATCTGTGTGTTTTAGCCCCCTCAGGGACAGGGTAGAAACTGAAGATTACCACCCAAAGGGAAATAACATGAAATAAATTATTAATTTGTCTTACGTGCTACTTTGAAAGAATTTGCTTTGAAGAAGGTCATTTTGATACCCTCTACAGACATGGCTCTTAGCTTTTTCTCATCCTTGTTTTTATTGCCATATGATATTAGCTTTTCATTCCGGTGTCCATGGTGTTGTTTCCATGATTTAGGTGGATTGGGATGAAAGTATTACCTATCTATATAATAAGTAGTTACCTAACAGATTTTGTCTCCTTGGAAAAGGTAATAAATACAAATTAAGTGTAGTTAGTAACATTTTTAAAGATAGGAATAGTATTTTTCTGGTTTAAGTCAAGCTTTTAACCAGAAGAGAAGGGTGTTCTAATTCTAAAACAACCAAATAAGAATACAATTAGTACTTTTGTAAAAAGTCATTCTATGAGAAGGATACTTACTTAAGATAAAATGTATTTCTGACCAGATCCCCTGTTTTTGGAGCACAGCTTTCAACTTTGAACAGATCCGAACTTGATCAACATAATCAAGCATCACTCGAACAACCTTTCCAGAGAGATGTTGCAGCCATGACAAAGTTATTACTTCACAGAACTGAGGGAAACAAAATCAGAATTAGGAAAGTAAATGAAAAACACAAAGTATCTATGGTTTAGCATAGTAGTCAAAGGAGATGTGGTGTGATGAAAGCCAAGAGAGAAAAATGTCTCAAAAATGGGAAGGGATGGTAGTGGTCAACTGTACTTATCCTGATTCTTTTTTTCATCAGAAATAAGATCAAAATAAATCATTTAATCAGTTGCTTCGTTTATGAAACTTCCTCACACTGCTAGGCAGAGTTAAATCACTTTTACCTCTGTACTGTTTTTGTTCCTGTTGTATCTTTCTACTATTGTGTTTATTTTATCATAATTATTTTATCATATAATTATTATACTAGGATCTCTTCAACCAAGCCTCTGGAGAGAGTGGATGTAATCTATTTATTGCCATAGTTCCAGGGCCACAAATAATGACTGTAAGGGAATACAGCCAATACTGTGGACTTACCTTAGTATCTTTGATAACTGTAGATGTCCAGCCTTCAACAGTATAGGAAGGATGGACTTTGTCTCCATGTGGGCAATCAAAACATCGCTCTGTGTCATACCCATAGTTCAGCAGCATCCTGAGCATGACTTCATCTTTCAGAGTGTATTGCAGTGCTGATGGGAAATGTAAAGGGTTAACTCTGCAGAAGTAATTGACATTGGCCCCATGCCTTAGCAGCAGACTGATCAGCTCATAGTTGCCCATCCTGAGGGCTATCTGGAGGCAGTTAACCGGGTCTTGATTAGGCAGAGCTCCAGCACTCAGAAGCAGCTTGACTGAAGAGAGGTCACTGTTTGATACAGCAAAATACAAAGCTGACTTCCTGTGGTCATCGTAGTGTTTGTTAATTCTCTGATCCAGCATGAAGTTCACATCAAATCCAGCCTGGATGAGGAGTTCCAGGCACTGAGGATGTGCTCCTGCTGCTGCACAGTGAACTGGACTGATCCCACTCTGCTTAATGGCAGCAAGATCCGTAACTGGAATCAGTATCTTTAGAGCTCTGAGAAAGAATTTCAAAATGCATTTCAACATTGTTTTTAAGATGTAGCACTAACTTGTTTATTATTGTTTTATAGCAATACTAGATAGTATCAGTATTCAGGGGGCATTTAGAACCCACAACCAAAAAAAAAAGCATAATTCCTTCATCCAGAAGCTCAGATACCAAGTAAAATTGAATGGAATTACCGTCTAAGCTATAAAATTCAGAATTAGCTCAGAGGCCTGAGGCTTCCCATATTGTCTAAGTACCTGAGAAAAAAGTTTTATATCTCTTCGGTGGCTTCAGAGGATGCCTGGTTAAACAGCCATTTCTAGTTCTTCCTAGTTGGTCAAGAGTTTTTCTTTTTTTTTTTTTTTTTTTTTTTTTTTTGAGACGGAGTTTCCTCTTGTTGCCCAAGCTGGAGTGCAGTGGCGCAATCTTGGCTCACTGCAACCTCTGCCTCCTGGGTTCAAGCAATTCTCCTAAGAGTTTCTCATCTTTAAAAGGTATGTTTAGGGCTGGGGGTGGTGGCTCAAGCCTGTAATCCCAGCACTTTGGGAGGCCGAGGAGGGCGGATCACGAGGTTAAGAGATTGAGACCATCCTGGCCAACATGGTGAAACCCCATCTCTACTAAAAATACAAAAATTAGCTGGTGTGGTGGTGCCCACCTGTAGTCCCAGCTACTCAGGAGGCTGAGGCAGGAGAATTGCTTGAACCCGGGAGGCGGAGGTTGCGGTCAGCCGAGATCATGCCACTGCACTCCAGCCTGGCTGCAGGAGTTCAGTCAGCGTGGTGGGAAATATTATTAAAATTATAGAAAGAAGCACACCTTCTTGGAAGGCCGGGAGGTTTTGCAAAAGCTTCAGGAAAGGATTTGGCTGAAGGCAGCTGAATTCTCTCAGAGTAGGTTACAAGGAAGTGTAAGGGAATTGATCTAGATAAGTTAGTTTACTTAGGCCTCAGAACTGGCCTTTAATCATCCACATGTAGGACTGTTCTGGCAGCGGGGGTTGGGGGGGAACCGTGTTAATTACTCACACGATGTGCTGACTCAAAGCCTTTGTCATTAAACCTGTACTAAATAAATGCCTGAAGCACCAGCTTGTCAGGGCCATGGCTGCTACAACTCTTTCTTTGAGCAGCCTGGTCCCCTAGCCCACTCTTTCACTGGATACCTATGTCTAAGTACTTTCATCTGTCACTTGGCCAGGGTCTATGGTTCAGACCCAGCACCTGGCGACAGAGGGAGACAGCATCTCAAAAAAAAAAAAAAAAAAAAAAAGTATGTTTAGATTGTGGGATCAGTGATTAAAGATTATAAAGTTCCTAGAAGCAGCACAAAATAAAAGGTAGCTATTACTGTTTTTATTATTTATAATAATGTAATTGAACTTAACAGTAAGTGGCCCCTGTCAGCTGCCACATGGATGGGCAGGTGGCCTGAATTCTTAGGGATGTTGGCATCAGCTCCATACTCCAGCAAGAGAGCCACAGCATCTGGATTTCCTCCACTTGCGGCTTCAAGTAAGATGGAAGAAGAATCAGAGGCCTGACCATGAGCATTAGCTCCTAAGAGGAGAAAGACTCTTGTTAATGCAAAAATTATTTTCCACTGTATTTCTTGAGCAATCTTAAAAATATATCCCCATCACCAAAAAGCAATTAGTGAGCACGCACTCTAGCAAAGCACCAAGAATCAAAGTAACAGAATATATACCTCCTGCTCTCAAGTAACTTATAAACTAGTTGGGGAAGAAAAAAATGGCAGTTTCTAAATTATAAGTAGGTTAGTTTTTGAAGTAATTTGATGTCCATTTGTTTGGAACTTGAAAATTCCAGTAGAAATACTGTTATAAAAGTTGCTTTTATTTCTAGACCAGCCTATAAAAGCCCACTTAACTCATAACACACATATAGGATGGTACTAACAAATCTATCAAACTATAATACCATGCCATCTAATGATACTGTTTTGGTGGAAAAGGGCATTTGTTCTGTTTTAGCTTGTTCGTAGGGGACCATAGTAGGAGACACTGTAACTGTTTTTAATTGAGGTTAGGAACTGCCAATAGCCAAAGAGGTAAGTTGTTGTAGTTATTAGTACAGAGTATCCCTTATCCAAAATGCTTGGGACCAGAAGTGTTTCATATTTCAGGGTTTTTAAAAAAAATATTTGCACTACACTTACAAGTTGCATTATACTTACAAGTCCCAAATCCAGAAATCCGAAATCTGAAATGCTCCAGTAGGAATTTCTTTTGAGCATCATGTTGATGTTCAAAAAGTTTCAGATTTTGGAAGATTCTGGATTTCAGATTTTCAGATTAAGAATGCTTAACTTACACCCTGTATGTTAAGTGTTATGTGAGTGATGTGAATAATAAGAGTACAGGGACAGGCAAAAGGTCTTCTAGAAGATCTAGGGCTGGGGTTGTAAGGGGGGCTGGGGTTGTAAGGGGAGCTGGGAGGTGAAGGAAGGAGAAAAGAGTTTGGGTCAGTTGTGGAAGTGTTCCCAGTAAAATGGGCTCTGAAGAAAGAGTAGCATTTGAATGGACAAAAGTTACGGAGAGCATTCTGAAGCTCATATAAAAAAGATGTAGTGACTTTAATTTAACACAGACTCCATAAGAGTCATCAGGGTCCAGTGGCTGCCCAAGAACCCCATTCCAAGAATGCCTTAGAAGTCCAATAAGCCTCTGCTTATTGAGTGCCCACTATGTGCTGGTTCCATTATGTGTATAATAATTTTTAAACTTTGTAACAACCCCCAGCAGTAGGTGCTTAACATACTCATTTTAAAGATGAAGAAACTCATTGAGTTTCAGTGACTTCCCCAAAGATGCACACCTAGTAAGCAAGGTAGTCAGGATTCATATACAGTTATTCTAGACCCAGGGCTTATATCTATGATGCCATGTTGCCACTCTAGCAATGCAGGGTGATAATGTGATTTGGAATCAGATGAACCTTGAAATACTGGCTCTGTGATGTACCATCTGTGTCACTTGGTGCAAATTACTTTGTAAGGAGTCACTTAAAGGAAATGCTTACTCACTGAGGTCAACTGATACTGGTTTCTTTGCAGGGTAAAGGATTTAACATCTGTTGCTTCTTTCTCTGTATTTTAATCAATGATCTATACAAAAGGTTACTCTTTCCTCGTAGATGAAAGATTCCAATGTTTATTTTTGTTATTCCAGCTAATGACTTTAGACATTTCTTATATTGATCATTTAAAACATCTTACTTAAAATGTCTTATGGCCATTGATTAGCAACTAGCCTCCCCTATATGACAGGAAAGATTTAGATAATGTCTAAAAAGCACAAGGTTGTTTTTAAATATGAGTCTCTGCCATCTAGAATACTGGAGACCAGGACTGTGTATTGTTAAAGAACAAAATAATACTTCTAGACAGGGAGGAGAATAAAGATAATTCTATTATTGAGACTTTTAAAAATCTTGGTAAAAATTTGCTTTTTTGAAAAAAAGCTTTAGATTGATCCTACCTTGCTTCATCTAACAGTGTCATCAATGAGCTCTCCTCGAAGACAGTAAAGGCCAAAGTTCTCTGAGCCAAGGGTCCCTGCTAGTTAAGCCAGGATTCAAAATGCCCACAGCTACAGAGCTGGGGATAGGGGAGGGGGCATGTTTGAAGGGAAGTCCTGCAGCTGGTACCATGGCTGACCCTCACTTTCCTCAAGTATAAAATTAGGATAATACCTACCTCACAGAGTTTTTAAAGGGTTATGAGGCAACATGGGTAGTTTAATGCTTTTGCTTAGATAGTACCCAATAAGTTTAAGTTGCTTTCCCCTTCCCT